>NC_000002.12:99610830-99913860 GCF_000001405.40 Homo sapiens
AATTTGGCATTTTTAAAGCCATTATGAGTATGAATACTTTCTGGATAATTTCCAGCCTCACTCTTTCTCTTGTCCTTCTGGAACTCTGATGACACCCACGTAAGATCTTTTCTTACAGTCCTGCAGGTCCCTGGGGCTCTGTCCTTCTCTACCCCCCAGTCTGTTTATTCTCTGTTGTTCCTATCAGGCAATTTCTCTTGTTCCATCTTCAAGTTCAGTAATTCTTCCCTCTGTTCTCTTCATTCTGCGGTTGAGCTCATCCATTGAGTTTTTCAAATTTTGGTTATGGAATTTTTCAGTTATAAAATTTCTATTTGCCTTTTCCTTGTATTTTCTGTATTATTGTGGTGAGACCCCCCCTACTTTTTCAGTTGTCTCAAGCTTGTTTTTAATTGCTTACTGAAGCATTTTATGATGGCTGCTTTAAAATGCTTGTCAGATAATTACAACATCTGTGTTGGTCTCAGTATTAGCATCTGTGGATTGTCTTTTCTCATTCAAGTTGAGATTTTCCAGGTTCTTGGTATGATGAGTGATTTTCTATTGTATTCTGAGCGTTTTTGGTATTATAATACCTTGATTTTTAAAAATTATTGCTTGTTTTTGCAGGCCTCCACTAATGCGATGTTGGCAGGGGAAGGGAGGGTTGTCTCCCTACAGTTGTGCAAAGGTAGAAGTTTAAGCTCCCCACTCAGGCTTTGCTGATGGAGAGGGGGCCACAGTTTTTTTTCCCCCCACGGTGTTTGTCTGGAATAGGGTGGTTATTGTCTACAAGTTTCCCACGGTGGCTCACACCTGTAATCCCAACACACTGGGGAGGCCGAGGCTGGTGGATCACTTGAGGTCAGGAGTTCGAGAGCAGCCTGGCCAACATGGTAAAACCCCATCTCTACTAAAAATACAAAAATTAGCTGGGTGTGGTGGCGCGCGCCTGTAATCCCAGCTACTTGGAAGGCTGAGGCAGGAGAATCGCTTGAACATGAAAGGCAGAGGTTGCAGTGAGCTGAGGTTGCGTTACTGCACTCCAGCCTGGGCGACAGAGTGAGATATCATCTCAAAAAAAAAAAAATTTATTCTTGCTAGGATATGAATTTCCTGACCCTTTCACTACAGAGAACTGGCTTTCCTGTGGCTTCCGTCTGTGCCTACTGCCAGGTTGCCAGCTTCTCCAGCATCCACTCTGTGCTATACAAGGAAAAAAGGAAACCTGGGGAAGTCACCACCATGTCTTTTCCTCAGGCCCGAAGGCCCAAGCTGATTTGCCTTCTCCCCGCCTTTCAGCCTTATTATGTTTGTTTTATATGTAACATCCATGGAGTTTAGCTGTACTTAGCAGGAGGAAGAGGAAAAAGTGCATTAACATCTTGTCCCAGAACAGGCAACCACCCACTTGGTATTTAGCAAGTAGAAAGGAACCCTCTCTCAATACTTCCAACCTCCAGCTCTAGTTAATTATCTCAAAAGCTGACGAATGAAACAATTACAAAAGTCTCTGCTATAGTTCCTGCCCATTTTATCACCTAGTCAAATTAGGCATTAATTCATTCATTTAAAAACTGCTATTATGAGAATTAAGCTCAGATTTTACAAGGGTGTATACCAAACCTGAAAAGGACATGTTACCAAGAATGTACACAGCCTCGTGAGAAAAATGACTCAAATGAAATGAGGCTGTAAAAATGTTAAGGATAGAAAGTTGAGTGCTTTAAATGTTATGTTCATAGTGAAACATTCTCTCAGTATATCTGTGAGGTAATGGGCTTTCCAGGATTCCAGTTAGCTGGGGACAGAGAAATGGATTGGAATATCTAAGTGTTGACTTTGCTTTTTCCCTGGGAGAGGATAGGGTTTTGCTGATGCTGGGTTTTGCTCAAGATTGAGTTAGAGCCTCTTGGGGCACCTGGAATCTGAGCTGGTGCACGGCACACCTGTTCCAGCTCTGTGGGAGCACCTCTGCCTCAGTCATTCCGTGACCTTGCCTAAATAAGCCGAGGACCTCATCTAAACTCACAGGGTGTAAGTTTGTGGTCTTTCCCTGCCAGTGTGTGGGCTACAAAGCAGCATGATCACAGTTATGTAAAAATATACACACAGAGGAAAAAAATGCTGGAAGGATATTCAAATGTTAACTGTGGATATTTTTGGATGGTGGAATTATGGGGATTAAATGGTTTTTGAACTTTTCTGTATTTTCAAAATTCTCATTTTCTTTTCACCAATAAAACACATGACACCATTTTCAAGTCTACGTGATTGTGGGAAATGACTATTCATGTATTACTGAATTTAGCTTGCTCGCATTTTATTTAGGAGTTTAGGGGGTTGATATTCACAGGGGAACTTAATATTTACATTTACATATTTTACATTTTGGGGGAGATTTTTGGCAGGTTTTGTATCATGATGGTTTTAGCTTAAAAGTATAAATTGGATAGTGTTTTACCTTTTCATAGTGTTCTGGGAAACGTTAAGTAATATAAAAGTTATCTGTTCCTTGAAAGTTTAAAATAATTTGTCACCAATAAAACCATCTAATCTCAGAACCTTTTAGAATGGCAATTCTTTGATATCTTTCACAATTTATTATTTGGTTATTGGCCATTAATTCTTTTGTCAATTTTTGAATTTTTTTCCCAAAAGATCCTATTTAATTTATATTTTCAATTTTATTACCACAAAAGTTATATAATGTTCTCTTATAATAAAAGCATGGTATCTATTATATTACTTCTTTTTAAATTTTTCCTCTTTCTTCATTATATTTGCCAAAAGTTTTCTATTTTCAAAGAAACAGCTTTTGATTGATATACCATAATAACTCTAGTATTTTCTGGCTTTGCTGCTACATTTTCATGTTCATTTATAATACTTTTACAAACTTCTTGTGTTGAATGCTTGTTTCAGCTATGTTTACTCTTCCTTAATAATAGCAGCCTTTGCGACTATCATTCTGCCTCTGAGTATACCCGTGGTTGCAGGCGATCATCCTTGTTATGTTCTGTTTTTATTTTCCTTACTTTCTAAATAGATCATTGAAGTAGTTTTTAAGTCTTGTTTGATCAAATAGTCATTTAGAAGAATGCTTTTCAATACCTGATGACATTTCAGTGGGATAAACATTACACTTAGGTCCAAAAATAAACAGGATGGGAATGTATAATAGCTTAGCACATGTGGAAACCTCAGTGGTCAGCAGCTTCAGCCCGGGGCAGGAACCTTAGAGCTGTTTTGAGCCGATTTGGAAAAGGTGAGAGGAGGGACAGGCAGCACAGCTCATTAACTCTGAACCAGGAGTGGGATGGGAGTAGAGAATGGCCTGGGGAAGGGATTAGGCCATAAAGAAGACTTATGCACCACTGTGATATCCCAAAGGGCCCTGAAACCTTCTATTGGCCGTAGGGAACAATAAAAGTCAACAGAACCTGCCACATTTAGCAGAGGAGAAACTCAGTAATACAGGAGGTCCATAAACTTGGACATAAATTAAGTCTCACATTTCACTGCTGATGCTATTGTAGCATCTGGAACTCTTTCAGTTACAAACCAAAGAATTCAAAGATCCTCCTGACCAGCCCATTAGGCATTTACACAGACATATCAGGGAGTGAGGTGCTGAGGCCCAACTTCCAATTTAAGAACAGTGTTGAGACACAAGGCTTGATCCCCAATTTGAGATACCAGAGAGCACAGATGTCACCTTGTGGGGTCCTAGTTACTTCCATAAAATGTCATAGATGACAATAAGCCATTAGTTCTTAACCAGGTGCTGGATCCCGTGCTCTCTTGCTTAGAGGGGCGCTTTGGCTTGGGGAATCTGTTCTAACACTCGAAACATTTCTTAGTTTGGAATTCCTGAGTTTATAGCATCACTACCTGACTACTGACATTTGCTAAGAAATACAATTTCTTTTGTTCAGGGTTCAGCCCTGCTTTTGGATTTATCAGCTTTTCTTTTTCAGATGGGTGAAGAACCTTCTCTTGTAGATGAACCAAGACAAAAAAGCTATTGCTTGGAGCTCTGGGTCATATTGGGAACCAAGTTTTACTTTCAGTTGAATAAAGACCCACGTGTGGCCCCACCAAAGATAAAGGCATTTCACAAATAAAGAAAAAATACAATAATGTACAGACATTCATTGGTTCCCAAATATTCCTGGGCTTACTGATAGTTTTTCAGAGTATAATGTAATAATATATTTATTTAATACTAAAAGTCCATCAGAGAACAGTTTCTATACAGCTGTCTTCTCTGGACCCAGGGCTTTGAATGGGGCAGAGCCCTCTAGCCTGTCCTTCAGATGGAAGTGTTCTTGGAGATCTGTACATGTCACTGGGCAGCATGGAAATGGCTGCCGATCTTTTTATGTACGAACATGAATTAGGCTGGGAGTCCAGATGGTAGAGGGCCCTGGAGGACGCCAGGCTTGTCCGCTGTAAAAGGCTTCTCTGAAAGCCCTGTGTTGGCTTGGCCAGGTCCCCTCTGCACCACACAGCTTGGCAAGACCAGTTTGCAGCTGCACTTCCCGCCTGTCCTGGGCACTGTTTGAGAGACTGTGACAAGCGGCAGCTGCCTTCTGGTGATACAACTCGCCTCCCCACTTTCAGGCGGGTGGTACCACTAGAGACACTGAGTTGAAAAGCCCTTCTTGGCCCAGAGAGAACCTCAAGCAGGGAATTCAACATCCTTCTTCGACAACTGGGATGGGAGCTGCCATGTGGCCTGGGCCCAGCCATGAGAAAGCTGAGAACATCCACTTGGACAACTCCTCCCCTGGCAGAGGGAGCTGAAAGCGTGGATGGAGTGACTGCCATCTGGTGGGCGTGTGGGAGCCAGGGTGCATGGGATGGGAGGCGCTGCCTCTTTGGAGGCTGAGATGGCTGGCTGGCGGGTGGGATGGCCGTGCCAGGGGTTGGGGGCCATTGCCCTCCAGCTGCCAAGAGTGAGCAGGCTGCCCCAGATGAGCGAATAACCTCAGCAGTGTTTCATCTAACCTGCTTGCAGGACACAGCTTCCATATGCTTCCAACTTCCTCTGTGTGCTCTCCCTGCCACTGCAGCTGCTGGATATGGGCAGGGAAGCTCCTACTCGATGGCTTTTCAGGCACCAGGTCTATGGGGAAATGCTGGGAGATTCTGGGCTACCAGAATTGCCTGATACTCTGAGCTTCTTTCTAGCCCTAATCTCAGAGGTTAGATTCCCAGGGACTGCTTATAGAGGTGAAATCATGTTGAGGGCACCTCTGTAAACCCATCTGCTTCCTACCTCAATCCTGGAAGAGAGAGGCTCTACTGTGAGGAACACCTCTTTTACCCCAAGCAATGGGAGCGTTTTAAGGCAATGTAACCCATTAGAGATCCTGCCACCCATGCACTTATTTGTAATAGTCCTTCCATTTATTCATATATATTTTCAGTTCGAGGAGGCCTTTTGGATAGTGCGGCCTCAAACTTCCATCCTCATGGAAACTCCATAATCCATATGGCAGTAACACTCTACCAGAGCTCTTTGACTTTTTTTTTTTAAAAACATCTTTATTAAGATAAAATTTACATACCACCCCTTTAAAGTATATAATTCAATGTATTTTATAATCTTCATAGGATTGTACAACTATCACCATGATCTAATTTTAAAACATTTTTTATCCTCATTTATCCTCCTTAAAAGAAAACAGCACTTTGGGAGGCTGAGGCAGGTGGATCACCTGAGATCAGGAGTTTGAGACTAGCCTGACCAATATGGTGAAACCCTGTCTCTACTAAAAATACAAAAAAATTAGCTGGGTGTGGTGGTGTGCACCTGTAGTCCCAGCTACTCGGGAGGCTGAGACAGGAGAATCGCTTGAACCCAGGAGGTGGAGGTTGCAGTGAGCCGAGATCGCGCCACTGCACTCCAGCCTGGGTGACAGAGTGAGACTGTCTCAAAAAAAAAGAAAAGAAACTGTGTACATCAGCAGTCAATTCCCATTCTTCCCACTCCAAGCTCCCCTTGCCCCCAGCCCTAAGCAAGCACTAATCTCCTTCCTGTAGCTATAAATTTGCCTATTCTAGACATTTCATAGACATGGAATGATGTAAGTATGTGGTCTTCTGTGACTGCTTCTTTCACTTAGTGTAATGTTTTCAAGGGTCATCTATACTGTAGCGTGTATCAGCACTTTGCTGCTTTTCCTGGTTGAATAATATTCCATTGTATGAATATACCACATTTTGCTTATCCTTTCATTAGCTGATGGACGTCGGATTGTTTCCATTTTGGGCTACTATGGATAATGCCACTATGAGCATTCATGTCTAAGTTTTGTGCGAACATACGTTTTCATTTCTCTTGGGTATATACATAAAAGAGGAATTGCTGGGTCCTTTGTTAACTCTAAGTTTAATCTTTTGAGAACTGCAAGACTATTTTCCAAAGCAGTTGCACCACTTTGCATTCCCACCAGGAGTGCATGGGGTTCTAACTTCTCCACATGCTTGTCGGCAACTGTTATTGTCCATCTTTTTCATTCTGCCCATCATAGTGGGCGTGAAGTGGTGTCTCACTGTGGTTTTGATTTGGATTTCCCCAGAGGAAAATGATGTTGAGTATCTTTTCATGTGCTTGTTAGCCATTTGCATATTTTCTTTGGAGAATGTGTATTCAAATCCTTTGGCCTTTTAAAAACTTATAATTGAGTTATATTAATTTTCTATATATTCTGGATACAAGTTGTTTATCTGATATACATTGTGCAATGTATATCAGTATATATCTCTGTCTGTGGTTTGTGTTTTTACTTCCTTGATGGTATCATTTGCTACAACACAAACATTTCTAATTTTGCGGTAGTTCAGGTAACCTGTATTTTTCTTTTGTCACTTGTCCTTACTTGACTTCGCTTAATAGTAACAGATGTTTAAATATATAGGATTCTTTAACTGTTTTCAAGGCATTTTCTTTTCAAGTCCCACCTCTGAGCCTCACAACAAACCAAAGGAGTAGAAAAGTCAGCTACAGTTATGTCTACAGAAGGCAGAGCAGAGGGGTCCAGTGACTCACTCTAGGTTGCATATCAGGTTAGTGGAGGAGAGAGGTTGAAGCCCAGATCTCGGGCTCCTAATACTACCCTGTGTTCTCTCAGGAGTGAAACTTTCCCAACAAGTGGGGATAAATTACCAGGCTTCTGGTCCCATTTGGACACATCAGGTCATTTTGCCCCGTGAGGCAGGATGGTGCATAGTCAGACAGACCCAGGTGGACGTTTTACTGCCTCTGCTCGCTGGCTATATGACCTTTGGGAAGTTATTTACCCTCTCTGAGCCTTGGCTACCTCGTTGACATTTAAAGGGGTAACAAAAGTGACAACCTCATAGTGTTGCTAGGTGGTTTAGATGAGAAAATGCTCATAACATTCTTTTTTTTTTTTTTTTTTTTTTTTTTTTTGAGACAGAGTCTTGCTCTGTCACCCAGGCTGGAGTACAGTGGCGCTATCTTGGCTCACTGCAAACTCCGCCTCCTGGGTTCATATGATTCTCCTTCCTCAGCTTCCTGAGTAGCTGGGATTACAGACACTCGCCATCATACCCAGCTAATTTTTGTATTTTTAGTAAAGACGGAGTTTTGCCATGTTGGCCAGGCTGGTCTCAAACTCCTGACCTCAGGTGATCTGCCTGCCTTGGCCTCCCAAAGTGCTGGGATCACAGGTGTGAGCCACCGCACCCAGCCTCATAACATTCTTAACATAGTGCCTAGCACATAGCAAATGCTCAATTAATAGTTAATATTATTCTTTAATTTTTATTAACTGTAATGCTTCTTCCAACAAAGTAGCCTAACCAGTAAGAATTCTTCCAGTTTACCTGCATTATTAACTCACATTACCCATCTGGTCATTTTGCAGAATTATAAATGTTTTCTCAGGAAGGAATTGAAGAGATCAGCTAGTCCAACTCCCCAGAAAACGGAAGTGGTGTGTACAAGATTGCACAGCAAGTGAGTTTTCTAACACGACCTCTCAGAAGTCTCCTCTTTTGTTTCCATAAACCTGGCTGCTTCAGTGCAAAGCTACAGATAGCTCTGATCGATTCATTCATTCATTCATTCATTCATTCATTCATTCAGAGACAGGGGCTTGCTATGTTGGCCAGGGTTGTCTAGAACTCCTGGCCTCAAACAGTTCTCCCAGCTTGGCCTCCCAAAATGCTCGGATTACACGTGTGAGTTACCATGCCCGGCCCAGACAGCTCTGATTTTGAACAAGGTCAAAGGAAGCTCCCAAGAGAGACTGCAAGGACCCAGAGAGATGGCAGTGCCCAGATCTTAGTCTGGAATCACATTTGGCTCCTGAAAACCCTCTTTCTAACCCAGTCTCTGTCTGAACAAACCAATTCCATTTCTCTCCTGTGTTTAAAGCAAATAAAGTGAGCTCTGAATGTCAGCAGCATGTGGTGTTTAATTTGCATCTCACCAAGGAATACAAGACTTAAGGATGATGAGCGAAAAAGATTTTTATGGAAACCAAATTACAGCATCTGAGACACAGGCTTGTGGCCATATCAGCTCAAGCTGTGATCTTGTTAGCTGTCATAAACCAAGCTGGGTTTGTTCCCTGGGTGAGGACACTCAGGGCAAATGTGTAAAATATTACTCAGGTGTTTCTGCAGGGAGTGCTGTTCATCCTTTTCAAAGGCTGCACCACAGAGCACAGCTGATAGACTGTGTCTGGTGACAGGGAACAGGGACCACAATTAAAATGAGTGAAAACACAGTAAGAACATGCATGTCTCGCCATCAGAAGCCCCTAAGGAGGGGCGTGCCCGGGATTGGGTAATTCTGAGGCTCAGGGGCCTTACCAAGGACTTGGGCTCTGTCTGTCTTTCCTTACTGACACCCTTGGCTTGTCTTTAGGTGGATTCGCCTCACTCCTCTGATGGCTGCTGCGATTCTCACACACAGATGACAGTGTCCAGAGAAAGGGATATTACTGCCCTGTGTCCCTTGCTAAGTAGATCACCCCTCACTGGCTTGAATGTCACCACACGCCCATGACTAAGCCAGTTCCACAGCAAGGGTAATAAGGCAACAAATGCTAGCTTAGGCCAATTAACAGTCACCCCTTAGGATGGAGGACGACCAACCTCCCCTGAAGACCCTGGCCACTCAGAGTAGAGTGACCCAAACGGGTTCTCTGTGAGGAAGTGATGGATGACTGCTGAGCAGGCAATCAATGGTGTCTCCCTCATGCAGAAGGCCTGCTCCAGTAATGGGATCCTGGGTATTCCAGACAAACCAGATTAGCTAGACATCTGCCCCAGACCAACAGGCTGGCTTGGTGGGTCATCCCAACTGAGACTCCGGGAGAGAGGCATTGGGCCTAGGAACCTGCACACCAGGGCTCTAGTCACAGCTGTGCTGATAACCCCACTGTGGGTCTCAGTGACCCACATGAAGAGATGGGCTTGGACTAGATGATTTCTGTGGTCCGTCACTTCTAATACCCTTCGATAAATGTATACTTAATTAAAAAGAAAAAAACAGGCCAGGTCTGGTGACTCACACCTGTATTCCCAGCACTTTGCGAGGCCAGGGTGGGAGGATCACTTGGGGCCAGGAGTTCGAGACCAGAATGGGCAACATAGTGAGACCCCTGTTTCTGCAAAACCAAAAAAATTTGCC
Source organism: Homo sapiens (assembly GCF_000001405.40). Classification (NCBI taxonomy): domain Eukaryota; kingdom Metazoa; phylum Chordata; class Mammalia; order Primates; family Hominidae; genus Homo; species Homo sapiens. The sequence continues at coordinate 99,620,486 of NC_000002.12, forward strand.
AGGGGTGGTGGTGCACACCTGTAGTCCTAATTACTCGGAGGCTGAGGTGGCAGGATCACTTGAGCCAAAGGAGTTAGAGGTTTCACTGAGCTATGATTGTACTACTGCATTCCAGCCTGAGTGACACAGTGAGGACCTGTCTCCAAAAACAAACAAAAATCCCCAAAGACCCTCTGAAACTTTGGATATTTGTCCTGTCCAAATCACATAATCTGAGCTGCATTGTTGGAGGTGGGGCCTAGTGGGAGGTGTTTGGGTCACGGGGGAGGATTGCTCATGAATGGCTTGGTGCCCTCCCCCAGGTAATGAGTGAGTTCTCACTTTATTAGTTTATGCAAGAGCTGGCTGTTTATAGGAGCCTGGTACCTCCTCCTCTTCTCCCTCTTCTTGTCATGTGACACACCTGCTTCCCCTTCACCTTCCACCATGAGTGAAAGCTTTCTGAGGCCTCACCAGACACAGATGCTGGTGCCATGCTTCCAGTACTGCCTGCAGAACCATGAGCCAAATAAATCTCTTTTCTTTATAAATTACCTGGCCTCAGGTATTCCTTTACAGCAATGCAAATAGATTAACACACCGTTTTTTAAATTACTATCCCTAGAGATGCCTAACCCGAATTTCCAACTAGAAGCTGTGTTAATTTCTATTTTAATTCTTTCTGTTCCTCCCATTTAGGCTGATGAGCAATGGCGAGGCCAAGAAAAGACCAGAGAACCCTGGAGCCAGAGTCACAGACAATTCACTCCTGCTAATCTTCAGTTGACTATAACAAGCTGCCTGGGGTTTCCTCCCTAAATTCGCACACAGCATTGCTGTGTAACAGCTGAGCAAGTGACAGATTCCTGGCTTTGCTACCTCTAGGAGTCTAGATAATTCTCATCATAACTAAGTCTGCTATGCTGTGCTGTGGGTAGAGATTTCTTAACTTGCTGTATATAAAGTGGCTTCAAGGGATCTGCCTGCGACCTCGTCCACCCAGAGCATTTTGGATTTCAGGTTTAGGTGGGTGAGGATTTTTCTGCCATGAAGAATGGTCGGTGCTCCTTGCCTGTCACTGTTGCTCTGCAACCATATGTGCCTGGTACTGTTCTGAGTGTGGTGGGGACAGAAGGCACAAGGTTAATCATGTCCTTATAGTTGGAGGACCTAGAATAATGTTTAAGAGAAAACAGTGTATGTCAAGCGCTCAATGCGGCCATAAAATTCCTAGTCCTAATTCTTAGTTCTAAGACTTGAGAGGCCAGGGGGAAGAACGAGGAGTAGAGTTTCCAGGCAGGAATTCTTGGAGGAAGTGGGGCCTGAAACACTGAGCAGGATTTGCTAGGAAAAGAGAGAAGGGGGCAAGCTCCAGGCAAAGCGGGTGGAATAACAGGAGGCTGGGATTTGCAGGGCGAGTTGTGTGGGGGAAGCTGAAATAGACGCAGGCCACGGGGAGGAACCATTTATCCTTCCTTCAATTTTATAGCATCCAGCACCAGGCAGCCCTTCTATTTAGATATGTGGGTGATAAGGAAGAGAGCTGAAAAAACAGACTGGGATTGCCTGGTTTCCTATAGGGTGTGAAGCTGAAATTCTATGAGCAAATCTATGTAATTTAAATAAGACTACACCAACTAGGACGTGCTGAGAACAATACAGGACCAGGGGTCTCCAGCCCCACTTTGGTACAGTCACTGCTGGAGTGGAGGGAAAATGAGTCGAGGGTGGGTGCGTTCTCCTCCAACCATGGCAACTCATTCTGAATGCACTGCAGAGGCTGTGCCCCCAGAGGACCCTCAGGGAGGTGGTCCTGATCGAAGATGGCTCCCACGTGCAGACGCTGAGAATGAGCCCAACCCATGAGAGGCAAATTACCACGAACACATTTTATTCAAGGGAAGGAATGTCAAAGCCAGGCCTTTGTTTCTTTAAGGTTTGCTGAAAATAGAAAGGTTGTTTTATGGGCAGGCTGAGCAAAGAGAGAGAAGGCAGAGAGGGAGTGGTAAGAAAAAGAAGGGGGAATGAAATAAACTAGAATGTGGTCAATATAATTTTATTTGCTTTATTATTCCTGAGTATGGTGCCAATAAGTCTGAGTTCTGCGACTCCCAGCTCCACCATCACAGAGAATGTGAGCAATCTCGCTTCCAGAAATGAGCTGCCCACTAAAAGGAAAAGAATCACCACATCACAGAACAGGCCAATAAAACTCTCAGCTCAGCCCAGCCTGATTGGATGGAGTCCTCCCAGCAGGTTCTGAATGACCTGTGCATCAGTGCTGGAGGACAAGGCAGGCCTGCCGGGCTGCAGCCCATTCTTTCATTGAACTCAGACCATGGGGTCAGTGGATGCAGAGTCAGGCCCTGGCTGGGCATGGGCACAGGCAGGACGACTCAGACATGTACTGGAGACAGTCCTTGCCGACAGGGAGCTCCCGGTGGAAGCTCTGGTTCATGTCTTTGATCAGAATGACTCTGCTTCAAACAAAGGTAGCCTTGCTTTTTTCCACTGCAGAAAAGATGAGTGAGAGAGTTCCCAGGAGACTTTTGGTGGTCGAAGGGAGAGAGGACAGGAGGAAGGTATTTAGTCAGACTTCAGAGCACACCTGGCAGCACGTGCCTCCGTTAACTCCAAGGAGCAAAATGCATTTGGGACCTCCAATTTTTTTTGTTGACCTCTGGTTCTTTTTTTTTTTTTTTTTTTAACTTATAAGATAGGCCTTTCCTGATGCCAAATAAGGGCAATGATCAGCTTCCCCATTCCTGGAGCCAGGACCTGCCACATCATTTGCAGTGCAAAATGCAAATGAGAGCCCCTTGTTCAAAGAGCAAGATAAAAGTGCCATCCTAGGCGCTCAAAATACAAAGGTTCCTCCTTTCTTCTATGGTCTGTCAATTGGTCAAGGCATTTTAATTTGCTACTTAATGTCATGCTTGCTGGGCACTGGAATACTCATGCGGTGAGTGTAGGATCCCACGGGTATCTGGAGGCTCGCCCTGCAATTTAGCATGTGCAAGGAGCTCCCCACCTCTGCCAGCCCAGGATGGGCGTGTGATGCCCTGGCTGGGGTGAGTGAGGTTGAGCCAGGTATCTCTGTGTCTCATGGGCCCAACCGACACGGGAGAGAAGACAATCCCCATGGGGACTGCAACCTTTGAACTGGGACACATGAGGCCTCTGGGTTAGGGTCGGGGAGAGGCTCGTCCCCCTGCCCAGCCACCCACTGCATGTGCCCTTGTGCTGTCAGCTTGGGGCAAAACGCGGGTGCCATGTCTGGGCCTGTGAGCCCTGTCCTGACCTGGCATGCACCCATGCCCTCCTGGGGTGCTGGGTAGCAGCAGTTACTGTGTAGGGTGGAACAGGCAAGGCCAGGTGGGGCCAGGGCAGCAGGCTGGAGCTGGCAGCTGAGAGGGACCCATGGGAGCCAAGGCTCTGAGCCCAGGCAGATGCTCCATCATCCCATTGGACTTCACTTAAAAAACACGAATTCAAAGATAAAGTTATTAAGGATTTCAATATGCCAACCACAGAGCATTAAACTAAGTAAGAGGCCATCGGCGTACAGGGCCCTGGGAGGCTGCACAGTTCACTGCTCCTGCCTGGAGCCACCGGGTTGCTTCTACCTTTGTCTTCCTCTAAAAGAAAATGCCCAAGCCACAGCTACCTCCAAGGTTCTGGGGATTGTTGCCTTCTGAAGGCATCCAGTTCCTGCCAATCATCTACCCAGCTACCTATCTGCTTGAATTCCCCTAGGTGCTTGCTAGTAGAAAGGTGGAAGAAAATTTCCCAGACTATCTCCAGGTAACCAAGGAGGTGACAGTTTGGGAAGCTTACAGAAAGCTCCATGGAGACAGAATTTTAAATAAGCTGGAGTCCCATGTAATTAAAATAATTTTGAATTAAAACTACCACTTCAGTAATTGCTTTTATATTATAATATTTACTACCATTGCCATTGTGTAACTTACCTCATTAGCTACTGTTGGAGAAAAGTCAGTCAATGAATAATTAATAGGATGTGATAACCAAGGGAGTAATGGTGTTTAAAAACAGAGCTTGAAAGAAAGTGTCACCCACACGCAGCCCCATTAATAAGAGCCTCGCAGTCCAATGCCACTTGCAAGGAGGTGAGGCCCTGGCCCGTTGCCTCCTGTTATTAGAGGTCAATAGAAAAATCTCCTCAGCCTCATCACAGACGTGCACATAGGTCAGGAATTCTCCTTAATGGCAGCAAGAAAAAGCTTCCACTTTATCAAAGCAGACAGTCCTTGGCACAAGTAACTCAGCAAAAATACAAATTAGAAATAGCACCCAAAGGCCAGCCAGGTGCTGAGGCTGCCAGCCATGCTTCAGAGAAAGTGGCAGTCTCGTGTCTGCCCTCCGGAGACGAAGGCGGGAGGGCAGCAAGTGGGAGCTCCGCCAGATGCCTCCGACCTGCATACGGCTCCACCCTACCGATTTCCAAACAGGCCCAGTGCTTGCAGCAAGCACCACACACACTTGACACACACAAGATACAGTCTCTCGTGGAAAATCTGGAGGAACGGTTGTGCACAGCTCCTGCTGGAAGTGAGATGCTTATTCTACTGCTTGGAAAGAGAGGAGATTCATTTTCAAGGAAGCTTTCTTGAAGGGCGAGATAGAATTTTGACTTAAGTTGCATCCACTGTTTGTATATAGATGGTCTTTCAAGATCCTGACATTTTCTTATGCAATTTCCAAGAAAGATCAAATACTTTTAGAGAATACTTTTTTCTTAACGGTCTTTCAATCAAAATATCGTTTGCGTAGGGTTGCCAGGCAAAATACAGGGCACCCCGTGAAATTTGAATTTCAGATAAACAATGAAAAATATGCAATATTAGGGACACATTTAGACTACAGAATTATTCATTGTTCCTGGATTTTTACTTGCTGAATCTGGCAACCTTAAGTTTGCAATCTTTCTTATCCATCCAACATAAAGATGTGTGGTGCTGAGCATGTCTGGTGCTGAGCACAGAGAGGGCCTTTCTTGGAGGGGTTGTGTATGGATTACTTAAGGAAGATAAATGACACCTGGAAACAGCATCAACATTAAACCATGTGCAGGAGATTTCCTGCTTGAAATTTTGCAAAGTGTCTTCTGGGTTGTATGACAGGATACTAGACGAAATGACAAGCGAGAGGATTAATTATAATTAATCACAGAAGGAAAGTTTGAGGGCCTGGGAATTCATATTTCAGGTTGCCAAAGCTATTTAAAAAGCAATGTAATACAACAGTTGTAATGGAAGAACAGTCAGAAGATAAAAGTAAAGCACTGATAAAATATCATATGAGTCTATTTCAAAGTTGCAAAATTCAAGGTTAAAATATTTCTCTTTAGAGCTTTTGAATTAGTTGAAGGGGATGAAAGGCAAGCTTTATGTAACCACTTTTCCAGTGAAATAAAACCTGTTTACATCTTGGTGACTGAAACACCTTCCAGCTAATTTAGAATTCTCAAGTGGCCACATGAAAAGATTAGAATTTCTATAAAAAGAAATGTCCCAGTTGCGTTCCAGTTCAGGTATAGAGAACGCAGTTACTGAAGGGTCTTCAGTTCATCTGAGCTAGCTGAGTGCCACCCATCGGAAGCTGCTGCGTTTGGACACTAGAACATTAGAAGATGTTATTTTATTCAACAGAACCAGCTTGGTAGAAATGTTGGAATTTAATAAAGACAAGCTCTCTTTGTGGTGTTTTACTGAAAGAACACAGTATCTGCAAACCTAGAGTCCATTTCCCAAGCTCACGTTTGTTGTTGCCAGTTTTATTTTTACACTACAGAAAAGGTAGAAAATTCCTTTGGAAAGTCTGCCTCCCTCCCTTCCTTCCTTCCTTCCCTCCTCTCTCTTTCCTTCCTTCCTTCCTCTTTCCTCCCTTCCTTCCTCCCTCCCTTCTTCCTCCCTTCCCTTCCCTCCCCTCCCTTTCTCTCTCCTCCCTCCCTCTCCTTCCCTTCCCCTTCCTTCCTTCCTCCCTCCCTCCCTCTCCTTCTCTTCCCCTTCCTTCCCTTCCCTTTCCCCTTCCTCTTCCTTCCTTCCTCCCTCCCTTCTCCCTTCTCCCTCCCCTCCCCTCCCCTCTCCTTTCCTTTCTTTCACCTTTAAGGTCAGGGGTACATGTGCAGGTTTGTTATACAGGTAAACTTATGTCACCGGGTTTGATGTGCAGATTATTTTGTCACCCAGGTGTTAAGCCTGTTATCCATTAGTTATTGTTTCTGACTATCTCCCTCCTCCCAGCCTCCATCAACTGACAGGCCCCAGTGTCTGTTGTTCTCCTCTATGTGTCCATGTGTTTTCATCGTTTAGCTTTCACTTGTAAGTGAGAACATACTGTAGTTAGTTTCCTTTCCTGTGTTCGTTTGCTAAGGATAATGGATTCCTGCTACATCCATGTTCCTGCAAGGAACATGATTTGTTCTTTTTTATGGCCGCATAGTAGCATAGTATTCCATGGTGTGTATGTACCATATTTTCTTTATCCAGTCCACCACTGCTGGGCATCTGGGTTGATTCCATGTCTCTGCTATTGTGAATAGTGCTGCAATGAATATATGCATACATGTGTCTTATAATATGATTTATATTCCTTTGGGTATATATCCAGTAATGGAATTGCTGGGTTGAACAGTTCTGTTTTTAGGTCTTCGAGGAATCACCAGTGTTTTCCACAATGGCTGAAATAAAATTTACATTCCCACCAACAGTGTATAACGTTCCTTTTTCTCCACAACCTCGCTAACATCTGTTTTTTTTTGACTTTTAAATAATAGCCATTCTGATTGGTGTGAGATGGTATCTCAGTGTCGTTTTGATTTGCATTTCTCTAATGATCAGTGATGTTGAGCTTTTTTTCATATGCTTGTTGGCCGCATGTATGTCTTCTTTTGTAAAGTGTCTGACCATGTCCTTTGCCTACTTTTTAATAGGGTTGTTTTTTTCTTGTAAATTTGTTTAAGTTCCTTAGAAATGCTGGATATTAGAGCTTTGTCAGATGCATAGTTTGCAAAAATGTTCTCCCATTATGAAGGTTGTCTGTTTACTCTGTTGATGGTTTCTTTTGCTGTGCAGAAGCTCTTTAGTTTAATTGGATCCCATGTGTCAATTTTTGCTTTTATTGCAATTGCTTTTGGCATCTTTGTCATGAAATCTTTGCCCATTCATATGACCAGAATATTGCCTACGTTGTCTTCCAGGGTTTTTATAGTTTTGGGGTTTTATACTTAAGTCTTTAATCTATCTCGAGTTGATTTTTGTAAATGGTATAAGGAAGGGGTCCAATTTCAATCTTCTGCATATGGCTACCCAGTTTTCCCAGCATTATTTATTAAATAGGGAATCCTTTCCCCATTGCTTCTTTTGTCAAAGATCAGATGGTTATAGGTGTATGGCCTTTTTTCTGGGCTCTCTATTCTGTTCCATTGGTCTATGTGTCTGTTTTTGTACCAGTACCCATGTTGTTTTGGTTACCATAGCCCTGTAGTATAGTTTGAAGTTGGGTAGTACGATGCCTCCAGCTTTTTGTTCTTTTTGCTTAGGATTGCCTTGGCTACTAGGGCTCTTTTTTGGTTTCATATGAACTTTAAAATAGTTTATTTCTAATTCTTTGAAGAATGTCAATGGTAGTTTAATGGGAATAACACTGAATCTGTAAATTTCTTTGGGCAGTATGGCCATTTTCATGACATTGATTCTTCCTATCCAAAAGCATAAAATGTTTATTCATTTGTGTCCTCTCTGATTTCCTTGGGCAGTGGTTTGTAGTTCTCTTTGAAGAGGTCCTTCACTTCCCTTGTTAGCTGTATTCCTAGGCATTTTATTCTTTTTGTGACAATTGTGAATGGGAGTTCATGATTTGGCTCTCTGCTTGCCTATTGTTGGTGTATAGGAATACTAGTGATTTTTGCATGTTGATTTTATATCCTGAGACTTTGCTGAAGTTGCTCATCAGCTTAAGAAGCTTTTGAACTGAGACAATGGGGGTTTTCTAGATACAGGATCGTGTCATCTGCAAACAAAGATAATTTGACTTCCTCTCTTCCTATTTGAATACCCTTTCTTTCTTTTTTTTTTTCTTTTTTCTTGAGATGGAGTCTCGCTCTGTCACCCATGCTGGAGTGCACTGGCGTGATCTTGGCTCACTGCAACTGCCACTTCCTGGGTTCCAGAGATTCTCCTGCCTCAGCCTCCTGAGTAGCTGGGATTACAGGCACGTGCCACCATGCTTGACTGATTTTTTTTTTTTTTTGAGACAGAGTCTTGTTCTGTTGCCTAGGCTGGAGTGCAATGGCACAATCTTGGCTCGCTGCAACCTCTGCCTCCCGTGTTCAAGCGATTCTCCTGCCTCAGCCTCCTGACTAGCTGGGATTACAGGCGCGTGCCACCATGCCCAGTTAATTTTTGTTATTTTTAGTAGAGACGGGGTTTCACCATGTTGGCCAGGCTGGTCTCAAACTCCTGACCTCAGGTGATCTACCTGCCTCAGCCTCCCAAAGTGCTGGGACTACAGGTGTGAGCTACCGTGCTCAGCCTAATTTTTGTATTTTTAGTAGAGATGGGGTTTCACCATGTTGGCCAGGCTGGTCTCAAACTCTTGACCTCAAGTGATCCACCTGCCTCGGCCTCCCAAAGTGCTGGGATTACAAGTGTGAGCCACTGCACCCGGGCCCTTTATTTCTCTTGCCTGACTGCTCTGGCCAGAACTTCCAGTACTTTGTTGAATATGACTGCCTTTTGATCAGTTTTGACCCAGTACTGCTCTCACTAGGTTAATCAGCCATTTCAGTTAAGGCTTGGCCCTGAGTGACTTTTGTCAGTGAAGTCTCAGGATACAAACTCGACATACAAAAATCACTAGCATTCCTATATACCAACAATAGCTGAGCCGAGAGCCACATCAGGAATGCAATCTCATTCACAATTGTCACAGAAGAACAAAATACCTAGGAATATAGCTAACCAGGGAGGTGAAGGACCTCTACAATGAGAACTACAAAACACTGCTCAAAGCAATCAGAGATGATGCAATTCCTCTGTAGACCCGATTACATAGACCCTCCGACTGTACTGAGTGCAGCTTTCCTTTTTTAGAACAGGCAGGTAGGATGGTGTCTCAGTCGGTTTGGGCTGGCTATAACAAAATACCATAGACTGGGAGGTTTAAACAACAGACATTTATTTCTCACAATTCTGAAATCTTCAAATCCAAGATCAAGGTGCCAGTGGATTTGGTCCCATGGGGAGGCTCCTCGTCCCGGTGTGCGGATGGCCATCTTCTTGCTGTGTGCTCACATGACCTCTCCTTTGTGAGTGGTCTGGTCCCTCTTATTCTTCTTATAAGGGCTCTGATCCCATGATGGGATCCTACCCTTATGACCTCACCTAAATCTAATCACCCCCACCAAAGGCCCCACCTCCTAATACTATCACATTGGGGATTAGGGCTTCATTGTGTGAATTTTAAGAGAACGTGAACATTTAGTTCATAACAGGTGCTGAGATAGATAAGCTAGTGACAAGTACCATGTTTCACTATAGACCCCCTTCTGAGGGCTGCCTATGGGGGCAAGTGTCCCCACACCTCAGAAACACTAACATCATGGAAGGGTGAGCTCAGGAAGACCCACATTTCTTTTACGAGCTTTGCCTTTTCTAAGGTTTTAGCATCAAGACTTCCAGGAGATGCTCTTCATCGGAAAGCTCATGGCCAGAGGCAAAGATAACACTGGAAGCATGATGAGGATGCGCTGCATGAAGCTTGCAAAGGGGGAGGTTAACACGGAAATGTTAAATACTAACCACAGTGATGGCAGTGGTGTTAGAAAACATCAGTCTACAATAGCTACTGAACACCTGTCTCAGAATTAAAGACATGACTAGGATACAGTCTTTACTGCTTCCTCAATAAATTTACAACAAAAATAGAGATTAGGCCAGAGTGGGAAGGATTACAGTCCCAGGGAGAATCAACAGGCATGCTTTCACATGGTTGGGGTACAGCAAAGGGGCCCCTGCCTTGGTGGAAAGAGAGGGGCCAGGTATATTAGTTCATTTTCACAGTGCTATAAAGAAACTACCTGAGAGTGAGTAATTTATAAAGAAACAAATTTAATTGACTCACAGTTCCACATGGCTGGGGAGGCCTCAGGACACTTACAATCATGGCGGAAGGTGAAGGGGAAGCAAGGCACGTCTTACATGGTGGCAGGAGAGAGACAGAGAGTGAGCAAAGAGAAAGTGCCACCCTTTTAAAACCATCACCTTGAGTGAGAACTCACTCACAAGAACAGCATGGGGGAAACCACTCCCATAATCCAATCACCTCCCACCAGGTCCCTCTCTTGACATGTGGGGATGACAATTCCAGATGAGATTTGGGTGGTGACACAGAGCCAAACCATATCACCAGGCGTGTTCTGGGCTCACCTTGTAGAAGAAGTGACGTAGCAGAGAACACAGGGTTTCAATGGTCAGTGGAGCTGAGACAGAGGAGGGCATTTCAGAAGGAAGCAGCTACCAGCTAAGGCTGAAGACAGGGAAACACTGTGAGCTGCTGCAGGGAGGCAGGCAGAGCAGAACACGGAGTGGGGCTCAGGCAGGGCCTGGCTCCTGGGAGTGCCTGGACGTGTGATCCTTCCCCTCGGCCGCCAAAGTCCCAGGACTAGCACTCTAGAAATGCATGTGCTCTTCTTTCCCAAAGAACCCCAGCCCCAGGTCAATGAAATGGTTAAGCTGGACTTCTCTCCACAGGTGGCCTGATTCTTGTGTGAACTGCCACCTGTCATGACACCCAATCCAGACAATGTCCTTTAAATTTGTCCCCATCTGCCTATCAAGAGATTACCCATAGTAAAATACATACAATATAAAAATAACCATTTTAACCAATTTTAAGTGTTCAGTTCAGTAGTGTTAAAGTACATTCACACTGCTGTACAACCATCACCAACACCCATCTCCAGAACCCTTTTCATTTTCCCAAACTGAAACTCAATACCCCTTAAATGGCAACTCCCATCTTCCATCACCCCAAGCCCTGGCAACAACCATTCTACCTCCTGTCTCTATGAACTGGACTACTCCAGATACTGCATATAAGTGGAATCATACAATATCTGTCCTTTTGTGACCATCTTCTATCATTTAGCAAAATGTCCTCAAGATTCATCCGTGTTGCAGCATTGTGGTAGAATCTCCTTCTTTTGTAATGCTGAATGATATTCCAGTGTACAGATATGCCAGTTTTGTTTATCCAGTCATCTGCTGATGGACACTAGGATTGCTTCTACCTTTTGGCTATTGTGAATAATGCTGCTGTGGACAGGGTGTCCAGACATCTGTTCAAGTCTCTGCTTTCAATTCTTTTGGGTAATAACCAAAAGTGGAATTGCTTGATGATGTGGTAATTTTATTTTTAATCTTTTGAGGAACTGCCATACTGTTTTCCACGGTGTCTGCACCATTTTAGTTCCCATAAAAAATGCATAAGGTTCCAATTTATCCACAACCTTGCCAACACTTTTTTTTTTTTTTTTTTTTTTTTTTAGATAGAGTCTCGCTTTGTCACCCAGGCTGGAGTGCAATGGCGTGATCTCAGCTCACTGCAGCCTCCACCTCCCGGGTTCAAGCAATTCTCCCGCCTTAGCCTCCCGAGTAGCTGGGATTACAGGCACCCACCATCATGCCAGGCTAATTTCTGTATTTTTGTAGAGAAGGGGTTTCACCGTGTTGGCCAGGCTGGTCTTGAACTCCTGGCCTCAGGTGATCTGCCCGCTTCGGCCTCCCACAGTGCTGGGATTACAGAAGTGAGCCACTGCACCTGGCCTCAACACTTTTTAATTCTTATTTTAAGTAGCCGTCCTAATGGGTGTGATAAGGGGTACTGAGTTTCAGTTTGAGAAAATACGATATCTCACTGTGGTTTAAACCAGGACACTTTTAAGAGTGAAGGAGGCACCACCTGTAATTATACAGAGGCATGGGCGCAAGCTGGGGTGACGGCAGCTATGGTCCGTCCAGGGCATCACACGGGGAGTGGTGCCACTGGGGCCTTCTGAGCTCCCCGGGGCTGGGGTTTGGAAGACCAGAGCGCCAGGCTTCGTTGGAGAGCAGAATAGCCTTCTTAGGGGCCCAGCTCCTACCTATCATCTACCCAGCTGCCTGTCTACCTGAATTCCCCTAGTTGCTCACTGAAAGATAGAAGAAAATTTCCCAGACTATCTCCAGGTAATCAAGGTGGAGACAGTTTTAGAAGCTCAAGGAGGCTCCTGTGGAAACAGGATTTTAAATTAGTTGAAGTCTCACGTAATTAAAATGATTTTGATTGTAATGGTCACTTCAGTAATTCCTTGTCTATGAAAATATTTACCAGCATTACTATTGTACACCTTATCACATCAGTCACCATTTGAAAGAAGTCACCAGCCACCCTAACCATGGAGGTGAAGAGTTGAGAGTGAAGGAGGAAACGGAGTGTTTGACTTTATCCTTTATCACTCGTCAAGGCCAATGGCGAATCATGTCGCTTTTTGTTTTTTTAGTGCGACTGTACTACCTAGAGACACGGGCTATTTGGAATCAGCTTTTTGTTTTACACGCCTCTTTCCCCAAAATCATCTGCTAAGGCTTGACAACAGTGCTGAGAGGCGGACGGGTGACTATTACTCTCTCCACTTGACAGATGGGAAAAAAGACTCAGAGAAATAAAGTCAGTCAGTCAATAGTCAGGGGTACATCAGGCACCGTACACGTGCCGAGATTTGACAGGCACAAGCTGGGGTTTGCTGTCCATGGAAGGCAGGAAATGAGGTGTCTCAGCACAGCAGTGATGAGGGTCACCAAAAGGCAAGCAGATGGTGCTGTGTGGACGATGGCAATGCATGGAGGGCCTGCTGGGGGATAGGGTGTTTAAGCTGTAGCCTAACGTATGGGTAGAAGGTGGCCAGGTAAGCTGGAGGGGAGGAAAGAAAAGGAGCCAGGAAAGGAAAACAGCTCCAGGGAGAAGGTCCAGCATGTGTGCTATAGTTTGAATATGGTTTTTCTGTCCCCCAACAAAACCAGCATTGGAGTTTGAGCCTCACTGTGTGGTTTTGGGCCTGGTGGGAGGTGTTTGGGTCATGGCTGTGGTGGATCCCTCATGAAAGGCTCGGTGCCGTCCTCCCAGAAGGGAGTGAGTTCTCATCCTGGCAAGATGGGATTAGCTCTCATGGAATGGATTAGTCCATGAGGGTGGGTTCTTACAAAGCGAGTGGTTCCCCACTTCCTGGCCCCTCTTTGCACCTGCCCACTTCTCCTCTGACCTTCTCTACCATGTTTGGATGCAGCACAGAAGCCCTCACCAGAAGCCAAGCTGATGTCAGTGCCCCACTTCCTGTACAGCCTGCAGAACTGTGAGCCAAATAAACCTCTTTTCTTCCTTCCTTTTTTTTTTTTTTTTTTTTTTTGAGATGGAGTCTCGCTCTGTCACCCAGGCTGGAGTGCAGTGGCATGATCTCAGCTCGCTGCCTCCTCCGCCTCCTGGGTTCAAGTGATTCTCCTGCCTCAACCTCCCGAGTAGCTGGGATTACAGGCATGTGCCACCATGCCCAGCTAATTTTTGTATTTTTAGTAGAGACAGGGTTTCACCATGTTGGCCAGGCTAGCTTCTGACCTCAGGTGATCCACCTGCTTCGGCCTTCCAAAGTGCTGGGATTACAGGCGTGAGCCACTGTCCCAGGCCACATCTTTTCTTTCTAAATCACCCAGTCTCAGGTATCCCTTTATAGCAAGAGAAAACAGACAAGACAATGTGCATGCACAGGTGAGGGAGAATGAAACCTCTGTGACTGTCTGTAGTCACATGAGGCTATGGCAGAGCTAAGCTGTGGCTTGGCAGAGCCAAGGCTTGAAGGGGACCCAGGAAATCACTGGTGAGCCCTTCCGATTATTCAGGGAATCTGCATGGTCTCCACAGCCCTGGAGTTTCACTTCCTCATTGAGGCAAGGGAGTTAGATGACTGAAGGCCGGTGCCCAGAGAAACAATATATGGGCAGGGTTCACATTTTAAAAACCCATGGCATACAAAGTTGGTGTAGAGAAGGGAGCAAAATTTGTCCTTCATTTTCAAATGCTAGTGAATAGGTAATAGTTCTCCAGTCAGCTGGAATGAAGGGGAAAAGCTTCAAGAAATATGTCTTAGGAAATAACGTTGGCTTGGCACTCCCCTCCTTCATTATATGTCTAAACACAACCATTGCACTTTTCAAGTTTTTTTTTTTTGTCATCTTCTATATTTAAGTGCAGAACACAGAAGGATGGTTGAAGTCCCCAGATCCACTTCCTTGGATAGAACAGAACTAGACGAGGTGTGTTCTTGCAAGCAGCCCCCAGCAGAATCCAGCCATCTGGGCAGGAGAACAGAGCAGCCCCTGGCCCCATGTGCAGTGCTCAGACTTGTGCTGTGAGCACGACTTGAGGCAGAGCTGGATTCTGTCATACACACACACACACACACACACACACACACACACACACATATGGTTGCTGTATATCATGTATATGATATATATCTCTATGTACGTGATATATACACAACATATCTATGAATATGATATATACACATATCTCTATGTATATGATATATACACATATCTCTAGGTATATGATATATACACATATCTCTAGGTATATGATATATACACATATCTCTATATATGATATATACACATCTCTATGTATATGATATATACACATATCTATGTATATGATATATATACGTATCACATCTATGTATATGATATATATCATATATACATATCATACATATACACATATCATATATGTATATGACACAGGGTCTTGCTGCATCACTCAGGCTGGAGTGCAGTAGCACAATCATGGATCACTGTAACCTCTGCCTCCTGGGCTCAAGCAATCTTTCCACTTCAGCCTCCCAAGTAGCTGAGACTACAGGTGTGTGCCACCATGCTAATTTGTGTGTGTGTGTGTGTTTCTGCAGAGATGAGGTCTTGCCATGGCACCCAGGCTGGTCTCAAACTCCTAGACTCAAGCGATCCTCCCACCTTGGCCTTCCAAAGTACAGGGATTACAGGTGTGAGCTACCACATCTGGCCAATTTTGTTCTATTTCAAGGGCACTCAGGTTGATGGAAGAGGGATCTCTCAGGCATCTAGCTCCATCTGCCAGGCCCTCCCTGCTGAAGGCCACAATGCCACCCCTAAACCTGGCTCTACCCCCTACTGTGTTCATTAACCTTGGGCAAGTGGCTCCATCTCTCTAGGCTTCAGTTTCCCCACATGTAAAATAAGGATACTGACATTTGTCCCCTGGGCTGTCTGGGGATGAAATGGGATGATGGCAGCAAGTCCCCAGCACAGGGCCTGGGGCAGCAAGCATGCAACCCTGAGAGACTACGAGGTCACATACGCCCCCCACATCTGCCAGGACCACATGCCTTTGCCAGAGAGGGGCAGGTTATCATCTGGCTTGGTGGGAACCTTCCAACAACAGCGAAGGCCATGACCACAGTCCTTCTGTAATTCCATTAAATAGTTTAGTGGCTGGGGCCATGATTCAAAGAGAACCTGGACCTCCTTCACGTAGTCCCTCAGATGACTACACCTTAATTTGCTGTGCTTGCATTGGGTCCATGGTTATTTTTCTTGGCTTCTTAGCACCAGCATTAGCCAGGCTGAATAGGGGTTTCTGTCTCCAAAGTAAGATGAGGAACTGTGGCCTAATGTGGCTCCCTGACTCACTGGCTGGGAACAGGGTGAACAGGGCCACAGGGAGGCCATGTGGGGAGCTGCCAGGGCTTCAGACTCTTGGCCTGGGCTGGGCTTCATCGAGGCCCTGTCCAGTCGGCTGGATTGGGGCCAGTGAGCAGGCTTACTTTGTCTGTGAAATAGAAAAAGGGGCCATGGACTCACCCTTCACAAGCAGTTGGTTCACTTCAACATTTTAATGGAACCGACCTGAAATTAATGAGCACTGTCACACTGAGTAAATACTGCCTCTCGGGATGAGAGCGGCAATGGGTAGAAGGCAGTGTGACAATTCAAACCCAAGGCCACGGACAATTACATAGAGGAAGTCTGTTCAGAATTTGGCGGATCGAATGGCTGTCCCCAAATAACAGGCATGCAGATGGCTGGAGTCTGATGCTGCCTGGCGAGGGCAGAGGCAGATGCTGCATTCTGAGGGCCAGCAAGAGGACACGACGTGGCAGTGGGCCAGCCAGCCACAGCCGGGAGCCAGCACAGGAAAGGGAGTTGGACGGAGTCAGAAGGTCAGGCCGCCCCAGTGAACAGGGAGCACATTAACCTTTCCAAAGCCACGGGGGAGCTTATCAGGCTCCAAAATGCAGTCATCAAAGGCCAGCCAGCCCAGTGCAGCCAAGGCTGGCCCGGGGCTACCTCTGGGAGCAGGTCACGGGGCGGCAGCCTGTGAGCGGAGGTGAGGGCAGGCCCTGTGCCCAGAGTGAGCAGCTGCAGGGTGGTGTGCTCCAGCTGGCTCTGGGAGTCCCAGGCTGGAGAGTGGAATGGTCAGGGTGGGACTGTTCCAGGGGTGGGAAAAGGGGGGAAATGGAGAGGACGGGAGTGGGTAGAGGGTGCTGGCCTGAAGGGCTCTTAAAGCCAGAGAGAACAGACTCCATGGGCTTTGGCCAGTTTTCTTTACTAAAAGGAGATGAAAAACAGAACAAAACAAAACAGATTTGATATCATGACTTTAACTCCCATGAAAAGTAGTTAAGTAGTTTGGTTTTAAACAAAGCAAAACAAAGCAAAACACCTCAGTCTATCTATTGGCTTTAAAACCACCCACTCATCACAGATGCTTTTGCGGCACGGCCTCCGCCCACTGCAGGCACAGGCATGAGTGATGAAGACAGTGGCACCTGTGTTCAGAAACACATACGGGCACTGAAATGCATCTTTTTTGAATCTTTTTTTCTCCCTGTCACATATATCATTTGTTGCGTTTGGATTGCTTTTGAGGTCAGATCTGGCTCAATGAGAATGGGGACGACATATGCAAAATTAAAAAGGGGGGACTACCAGGTGTACCTTCACATGGCATCAGTGTAAACATTCTAACAGAACCGACCACCAATTAACCAATCACCAACCAACACATTCCATGCAGACAGCAAGTGCTTAATTTAATCTAAGTACATTCAAGAAGGAACAGGTGTACTTCTACTTCAGAAATAGATATTTTAAAAAAAGAAGTAGGGTAGACAGCAGTGACAAACACTGAAAACTATGCTAATTAAGTCTTCTCTCTCTTAATTCCAACTATGAGACGTCATGCGTATTGGATACTTAAAATTTTTTTGGATGTAAATTTAAATATAAGTTAAATGAACCATTATGCATTAGATACACAGTGTTATGTTGTCCTTGGTCTAGAAGGGACAGCTACATTGGCATTCAAAAGGAGTGTGACATAGTGACAAAGACTCAAGTAAAAATAATTTATAGCTTAGTGATTTCAATATTTTACCCCTGGTAACTTAATATACTTAGTCTGAGGATGAGTTCAGAAGAGAGGTAGCACAAAGTGGGATGACAACGGGCCAGAACCAGTATTTTTTTTTTTTTGAGATGGAGTCTTGCTCTGTTGCCTAGGCTGTAGTGCAGTGGCATGCTCTTGGCTCACTGCAACCTCCGTCTTCCAGGTTCAAGTAATTCAACTACCTCAGCCTCCTGCAGGTGCACACCACCACACCCGACTAATTTTTGTATTTTTAGTAGAGATGAAGTTTTACCATGTTGGCCAGGCTGGTCTCAAACTCCTGACCTCAGGTGATATGCCCACCTCGACCTCCCAAAGTGCTGGGATTACAGGCATGAGCCACTGGCCAGAACCAGTTGTCTTTTCACTGCCTCTAGGGACAGTCTGGTTCCCTTTGGCCCTTTCCTGTGTTCGCAGACTGCAGCGAGGCTGGGGGACTCCGGTGGTGGGGGTGGGGGACTCTGGTGGTGCGGGTTAGTTTTTCTCGTCTGTGGTCACAGACACCTGGCTAAGGAGCAGGGGAGGGGTGGTGGGTGGGGCTGTGCCCAGCTGTCCCCCCGCCCACAGAGGATCTAAGTAACTTGCAGGAAGTCTTCTCCACTAGCAGAGAAGGAAAGGACGCATGTCCAGGCTAAAACTCCAGCACCTCAAACCCAGGAAAGAGAACATGGGATTCCCAGCCCAGGCCTATGAGAAAGGGGGCATCTGGAAGAACCTGGGAAACTGGCATCTGCAGGATGTTTGCTCTTACCCCCCACCGCCTGTTTTTCCTGTTTTTAATTCTGGAAACATACACATAACATCAAATTGGCCAAGGGTGTCCAGTTAGGTGGCATTAAGTACATGTATGTTGTTGTGCAGCCTAGACCACTATCATTCTTTCTGAAAGAGATCAAAACTCTTCTAACTGTGCCCCAGATCAAGTCACCCCATGTGTTTCTGCAGGCTCGTGGGAATTGTGAACATTGACTTGAATGGGTTAAAACTGAATTTCACCCGGAGGAGCCTTGGGCTGTGGCCTCCTTACCAGACATCAGGCAGCGAGTCTGTATTAGTCCTCAGGAATCCCTGGCCACTAAACCATCTTAAAGGGCAATTAGTGGCTTTATACAACTCGTTATTTATTTACTCAAAAGACTGTATCCTCAGCCTGCTCTCTTCTTCTATTGTGTAAAATACATATTTGGGACCTTTTAAAATGTGTGTTATGTACCTGATAGAACTCAATGGCTTCTCTGGAGCCATTCTGTTTTATTGTGGAAATTAGTACTAGGGGGGCTTTTAAAAGCTGATTTTTAGACCCGACAGCCTGCGTTTGTTCACGTTAATGCAGTGGATTGAGCTAACAGCCACCAAAGGGCTGTGAGGGACACCTCTGTGGCCTCTCTGTTGGAGCAGTGAGGCCAAGGGGCTCCACTTTTGTGACTATAGATGGTACTTGCTGGGCCTGTTAGAGAGGAGAGGACTGCATGGAGACTCAGTTGGCACTTATCTCTCTTCACACTGCCCCCGACAGTTCTCTGCCAGGGCTCCCCCACGTTATTGAACATTACTGTTTGCTTTTGAAATAATAAGTATTATTTACTTTGAAATTATAAAATGAGACCAATTCTTTGGAGATTAGCTGGAAAGGTGTCAGGATATGACCCAGGGTGACTTTTTTATGTATTTATTTTTTTAATTAATTTTTTTTTTTTTTTGAGACAGAATCTCACTCTCACCCAGGTTGGAGTGCAATGGAGTGCAATCTCGGCTCACTGCAACCTCTGTTTCCTGGGTTCAAGTGATTCTCCTGCCTCAGCCTCTCGAGTAGCTGTGATTACAAGGGTGTGCCACCGCACCCAGCTAATTTTTGTATTTTTTTTTTAGTAGAGGTAGGGTTTCACCATGTTGGCCAGGCTGGTCTTGAACTCCTGGCCTCGAGTGAGGGGAATCCTAAAGTGCTGGGATTACAGGCGTTAGCCACTGCACCCGGCCCAGGATGACTTTTTTCCGTGAGTAAAGTAAAAAGACAATGTGGCAGAAACAGGTGGTAGCCTCCTCGGAGGCATGCAGGAGCCTCACCTGGGACCCAAAGACCCACAGTTTGGCTTTTAGGAGAAAACAGGCTCTAGTAAAACATATTTCAAAATAGGGATGGCGTGAGTAATAGAAGGGATATTTCTTAGGATTTGTTGATACTTGTTTTTCTATAATATCAATGTAAAAACATGCCCCATACTACTAGTTATGAATTGCTTCAGACATTAAACCCATACTCTGTTATCTTCTTCTCTTGGTTTTTAAGCCTCTTGGTAGGACTTAAATCAAAGAACATCTTATGATACCTCATGCGTGATTTTTCTTGGTGGTGCGATGAGGTAATTACTATCATATGGAGGGAGAAAGGAAGCGCCTCTTCTATTCATCACCTCTTTTAATCTGTACATAAACCTAACAAGGAGGGCATTAGTAGCATCCTGCTTCTGCAACTGGGAAAGCTGAGACTTGGATGTGTAAATGCTTTGCCCAAAGTAAATTCCAGACCAAGTTCAAGGACTCAAAGTCCTGTGCTTGCTTCACGATGTCTTGTAAAAAGAGGAGAGAGTAGGGAAAGCTGGGCCAGAGGGTTTTTTTTTTTCTTTTGCTTTCTTGTCTCCTTAATCATGACAGCATAAATGAGTGGCATAATTTGTATTCTTGGTCTTACTGCATTCAATAAGTCATGATTGAGCAGTCATTTTGTATAAAGTACTACTAATAGTCAAGATGTGGTTCTTGCTCTCAGTAGTTAAGACCAGACATAAATAAAGGAGGCAGAGACTGTAAGCTGGGCCTATGCCAGGAATTACATGAGGTGCTGATGGAATAGGAGCTGTGGGCGCTGGGGCAGTTGGCTATTTAAGGTTTCCGTAGAAGATGAGGCTTGACCCCATGCTTGAGGGATGCACTGCGTAACCGAAGATCCCTCCCATGAGTTCTTGCACTGGCAGCTGTCTAGAGCTGGCTTCAGACACTTTCTACTCAGATGCCCACAGCCACAGAGGGGAGGCCTGCCACTCCCTGTCCACCCTGCAGCCTGGCCCTGCCCAGGCCATTCCTTCTGTGTTCTCCTCCCTTCTCCACTCCTGGGTCACCCGATGCTTCCTGTCCTCCACATGACACCTCATATGTGTCCTCCCCCTTCTCCTTCCCCTGTCAGAGAGTAGGGTAATATTGTACCTGTGTCCCTCCAGTGACACTGATTTCTTCATAGTCTGATGCAGAGGGCTGCTACTGAAGTAGCTAAGAGCACCAACTCTGGAGCTGCACAGACCACTCTGTGGCTTTCCAGACTGGGGGTGAATTACCTGAGTTTGGAAAGCAAGACTCACTAGGATTTTAGGGAGAGTACTTTAGAAGATGAAATGAGGCCAGGTGTGGTGGCTCACGCCTGTAATTTCAGCACTTTGGGAGGCTGGGGTGGGTGGATCACCTGAGGTCAGGAGTTGGAGACCAGCCTGGCCAACATGGTGAAACCCCATCTCTACTAAAAATAGAAAAATCAGCTGGGTGTGGAGGTTTATGCCTATAATTCCAGATACTTGGGAGGCTGAGGCATGAGAATCATTTGAACCCAGGAGGTGGAGGTTGCAGTGAACTGAGATCATACCACTGTACTCCAGCCTGGGCAACAGAGCAAGACTCTGTCTCAAAACAAAAACAAAAAAGAACACGAAATGAAATGAAATGGAGTTTCATGGAAAATATCTCTTTAAGGCCCTCACATTGCATTCTTCCTTC
The DNA here is from genome assembly GCF_000001405.40 of Homo sapiens. NCBI lineage: Eukaryota > Metazoa > Chordata > Mammalia > Primates > Hominidae > Homo > Homo sapiens. The sequence continues at coordinate 99,641,768 of NC_000002.12, forward strand.
CTCACCAAGAGAGTCGTCGCGAGGACTAAATGAAGTAAGGTATGTGAGATGCTCAGTACACTACCGGACCTGCGACTGTTCTAAGGAGATCTATGACTACTTATGTGTATGCCAGCGTTGTGGTATACTCAGTATTTATGCACAAGCCTACATGTCCTCTACCACACTGTAGATTCCCTGCGAGTGGAATCCTTGGGTAATGAATTTTTGTGTCTTCTATAGAGACCAGCAGAATCCCTAACATTTTAGGGATTCAGTACTGTAAATATTCACTGAATGAATGAAGAAGTACAAATGCAAAACATAAGTATGAATAGTTGGTGAAGACAGCACACTTTAAGTCATGTCAACGGTACGAAGCACAAAAATGAGGGGGCAGGAGAGGGAGGGAGGAGCCAGAGGCTATCTGGCCCAATCCCCACTCGCTACAAGAGACTTCTCGATAGCATCATATAGTTCTCTTTTGTTATTGAGTTCTAATCTAATTCCACTCTAATTTAATTATACTGAGTGGTTTTGATCTTTTTTTTTTTTTGAGACTTTCTTGCCTACTTTTGGACTGAGTTTTTTTCTCATTTTTCCATTTCTTCCCCCTGTGTGTTTGGATTCTATAACATCCATACAAGCAGGCATGAACACCTCTTTGAGCCACTAAGCGATGAGCCCCTCATCATCTACCTGTGATTCCTGAGGCATCTGTTGCAAGGATGGATAGCCACAGTTGCAAAGAATTATTTCCTCTTTTAAGCCCAAAGTTGCCATTATTTTAACCACAAAGCATTGGTCTAGCTCATCCATTCATTTATCAAATGACTTACGGTGTCTGCTAATTGCCAGGTACTGTGCTAGGTGCTAGAGATAAAAAGGTTACCAAGCCAGAAATATTGTTACGATGCAAAACGTGGCCCAAACCTCCTATCTCCGACCCCAGCCAAGCTGCTCTATTGGTGCTTGATGGGAGGCAAGAGAATCATACTGACCAGGAGTCCAGGGACCTGGGATCTAGTCCTGGCTCTGCCACTTGTGGCCCTGGGTGAGTTGCATCACCTGTTCGCGGCTCAGTTTTCTCATCTGTAAAATGGGCCCCATCTATCTTTCAGGGTTGTTGTGAGGATCATAAAATGAGACAGTAAATGTGATAGTGATTCTAAACTCTAAAGCTCTCAAAGTTTTTATTCACAACTTAATTGTACATTTAAAAATAACTAAAAGAGTATAACACAAGGGATAAATGCTTGAGGTAATGGATTTTTTAAAAGTTTTTTATTCATATGGCATACTTAAAAGATTTTTTTTTTTTTTTTTTTTTTGAGACAGAGTCTCGCTCTGTCATCCAGGCTGGAGTGCAATGGTGTGATCTCGGCTCACTGCAACCCCCGCCTCCTGGGTTCAAGCGATTCTCCTGCCTCAGCCTCCTGAGTAGCTGGGATTACAGGTGCACGCCACCACGCCCAGCTAATTTTTGAATTTTTAGTAAAGATGGGATTTCACCATATTGATCATGCTGGTCTTGAACTCCTGACCTTGTGATCCGCCCGCCTTGGCCTCCCAAAGTGCTGGGATTACAGGCATGAGCTACCGAGCCCAGCCCTAAAAGACTTCTTTATAAGGAGCCATATTGCTTTGGGGAGACCGAAGGCTGCTGAGGGCCTCAGGGCAGGGTTGATATGCACCTGCCAGCACGCCACCATAACATCTTCATGGAACCTTAACACTTTCTTAAAAGTGCTCCACCTCCTTTTTTTTGACCCTTAAAGAAGAGACCAACTATTAGTACTGTGTGGCAACTGTGCCTGTCCTCTCACATGGCCAGGGGACTGGGTGACACATTACCCAGAAAGGTACACTTCTGTGCTGGTGGCCACTCCAACACACTTCCTTTGTTTGGCTGGAGCTCGTCCACTTGACAAGGGGTCAGGAAGATGAAGCTGAATCCAACCCCCTACACTGCCAGGTGGGTACCCGCTGCCCTCCCCACCTTGCTATGGACCATTTCTGATCTGGCTTCTGGACACAGACCATTTCACATTCTTCTACCTACATGGAGGTGAAACTCCCTTAGTTTTAGGCAATTCCTCATTTACTTAATTTCATTATATACTCCCTAATGGGCAACAAGGAGATTGGATGTGTGAGATTTATTTGAGAAAGGGCAAAACTGAGGGCAGCAAATGTGTAAGCCTTGTGAGTCCTTTCTCCTTGCAAAGGCAACACTCGTCTGGCTGGTGAAGCCAAGAGCACAGCCACACGGCTGTTTCTCATCCTGGCACCCCCAGCCCCAGCACAGCACCCCACAGAGCATGCTGGATGCGTTCAGTAAATATTTGTGAAATAAATGAATAAATCAATGGCAGTTGTTTGGATTTCAATATAAATGGATCTTGGGCCTGAGATACTGCCAGATGGGCAGACAGGTTACAGTCTGGTGATGCATCTCCAAGGCTATAAAAATGTAGCCGTTGCTGGAGTCGCAGGCTGACATTTCAGATGATTATATGCACAATTTAACCACATGGCTATCTGTGCCCTCCAAGTGCCATCGCTTCAACAACTGTTTTCATGTTGGCTTTTTTGCTCGTTCCTCTCTCTTTTTTTTTAAGTCAAGCATAATTTTTTGCAGCCTCTCGTATTTCTAGCTGAACGTGATTTATTCATATAAAATTATGTTCCATTTTTATAAAACCCAAGTTACTGCAAATGATGCTTGAGGTTTCACAGAAAATATTAATTCCTGATCTGCTGCTATAAAGCATGCCTGCTCGCTGAGAGCAGCGCTGTCACTCTGAGACAGATGGAAGCAGTCCAAGGGTATGATTAACTTCTTAGTCCTGGCAATTGCCTAGTGCTCCTCTTGCCCTAGATTTCAAGATTGACCTCCAGCTTCTCTGCAGACGCGCAGTTGCTCAGCTTGATAAATCACATGAATCCCTTTTTTGATCAGAGTTATCTACTATTTACTACTCATGAAGGGAAGTTAATCGTATTCAAGGCACTTCATATGCTGCACACATATCCTTCCTTCTTCCTAACGGCACTTTGCATATTTTCCACATTGGCGGTGATGTGGCTTCTTTCGCAGTGCAGAGGGTCCACACCAAAGATCCACCTTTATCCTGTTTGTCCTTCTTCTTTGTCTCTACTAACCAGCATCAAATACACCGACCCACAAGAAGAAAAAACACGAGAGGCACACAATAAGCAGTGAATAAGTGAGACGAATTCTGTCCCTTTGCAAACTGAGATTTTCTTGTAATTGGCTTCTTTACTTTGTCAAGAACTTTGCTGGGCCGAGTGTGGTGGCTAACACCTGTAATCCCAGCACTTTGGGAGGCCAAGGCAGGCAGATCACTTGAGCCCAGGAGTTCGAGACCTGCCTGGGCAACATGGTGAAGCCCCCCCTCTACGAAAAGTCCAAAGATTAGCCAGGCATGGTGGCTACCATGGCACTGGGCAGGGCACGGGGAGAGCTGAGATGGCTTGAGCCTGGGAGGTCGAGGCTGCAGTGAGCTGTGATCACACCACTGCACTCCAGCCTGGGTGACAGAGTGAGACCCTGTCTCAAAAAACAAACAAACAAACAAAACCAGAAAAGAAAAAAGAATTTTGCCATCTCTTCTTGCCCTGTTTGTCTGCTTTTTTCATTTCTGGGGGACATAAATGGGCCTCTGGTAGGCCAGTTGACTCTCAGTGGTATAAAATAGATAAAAAAATTCTACTGTCCAGAGTAGAAAAGAACAGACAACACACCATCCCACTCTCACACACCCCTTCTTGTCACTGCTGGGCGGGAGGCGCAAGTGAGTGGGGCTGAAGCCCAAACTCCCCTTCTGCTTGCCATGGTGATCCAGTTTCAACCTGAAGCACATTTTGCCTATTTGGGGTGAACCATAAATTAAGTCCATTGGTCAGGCAAAACCAAGCAAGGGAAAAGGTTTTTTGGGGATGATCACAGTTGATTTTTAAAATTTATGTAACGGAAATATCACAGTTTTAATTTATCAAGATGTTATATTGATTACAGAAGATTCTCTGAACTTTAAAGCATACAGTCTAAACTGTCAGATATTGGATTTGTGCTGAAATGCCAATTTAGAAAATAAATCAGGCGACTGGAGAAATGGAAAGACAAGACTGACTTTCCAAAGACATCTGGACATTCTCTAACCTCCAACAACCCAGAGGGATGAGACTTCTACCCACTCCTTAGGAAGGGAAAGGGAAACACACCCCTTTCTTTTTCTTATAACTGGTCTCATCAGGTCAGATCTCAAGGCTTTGAAGTTGGGCTTCCTTATAGGGAAACAGATAACAAAAACTGGCTTCCTACAGTGTAAACTCATGTCCTTCCACCAACCCCAAGTCAATGAAATCCTGTTTCATCATCGATTTGTGTATCTTGGAACAAAATAGCTCCGGCCTTGTCTAAATGTCCTTGTGTTCACTGGACACTCAAGGTTGAGGCTCAGTGGAAGTGAAATGAGCCCATGGATGAGCAAACTTATAGGACACTGAGGTTCTGAAGGAGGATAAGACCCAGAGTGTGTCACAGACATGCTCCTCCATGAGGAACCAGTGTGCATGGCCAGAGCCAGTACGGGCTTTTCTGTCCTGTCCCAGAATTATAGAACTCAGGAAGCACCTTTTGAGGTCTGAAAAGTGCTTCTCCCCCAAGAACAAAGATGAAGGCATGAGCTAATCATTATGAAATTTTATATAAAGAGGTGATAACAGGCTGAAAGCAAAAGGTTTAGGGAACCAGGATGGTTTGTGTAAATGAATGTATAATAGGTTAATACCAGGCTCCAAGTAGCCAGAGATATTGGGCCTAGAACCCCACTTTGGGATATTCAGGACCTGGGGAGATCTTTACTCAATTCCTTTCCCACCCTGAGGTTCCTCTGGCAGCCAGAACATTAGGCAAGTCATACAGTGGTCTGACTTGAGGCACTCGGGTCATTTTTCTAGAAAATATTGGTTTATTCAAAAGAATAAGTAATGTGAGAGAAAATGACATCTGTCACTTGATAAGTTATTCTCTACTTAAAAACTAGAAAATATGAATGCAATTAATTCAGCAAGTGTTTTAAAATCATTATTTTGAAGAAGGGTTTTAATTTCCATCTTGAAATGGTTACAAATGCTTATCACTTATGGGGATTACGTCTGTGGCCCTGAATTAGTAGAGAATAGACAATAGAAAAAGAATGGCTGTTATTGAAAAGTCAAAAAACAACAGATGCTGGAGAGCCTGTGGAGAAAAACGAATGCTTGTACACTGTTGGTGGGAGTGTAAATTAGTTCAGTCATTGTGGAAGACATTGTGGTGATTCTTCAAAGACCTAGAGGCAGAAATACCATTTGATCCAGCAATCCCATTAATGGGTATATACCCAAATGAATATAAATCATTCTATTATAAAGACACATGCACGTGTACGTTCACTGCAGCACTGTTCACAGTAGCAAAGACATGGAATCAACCCAAATGCCCATTAACGATAGACTGGGTAAAGAAAATATGGTACACATATGCCATGAAATACTATACAGCCATAAAAAGGAACAAGATCACGTCCTTTGCAGAGACATGGATGGAGCCATTATCCTCAGCAAACTAATGCAGGAGCAGAAAAACAAACACCACATGTTTTCACTTGTTAAGTGGGAGCTGAATGATGAGACCCATGACGGGGAAACACACACTGGGTCCTGCCGGTGAGGTGTCAGGGGAGGGATAACATCAAGAAGAACAGCTAATAGATGCTGGGCTTAATACCTAGGTGATGGGTTGATGGGTGCAGCAAATCACCATTGCACATGTTTACCCATGTAACAAACCTGCATATCCTGCACATGTGCCCCTGAACTTAAAATACAAGTTGAAGAAAAAAAAAGAAAGAAAGAAAAAAGAAAACACACAGAGAAGGTAGCTTTACACAACTGCACTGCTAGAATAGCAAAGTCAGCTCGTCACTTTGAAATGACCAATTCTGAATAGAAAAAGTGCTACAGTAAAGTAAGGGAAATGCCCTATTACATTTGAGGATAAAGAAATTTGTAAGAAGAGTGGTGACAATGAAAACCTCTGTTTTTGGGTGGGGAATGGGCTTGACAAGGGATTTTTTGTGAAAATATCAGAAAAAAAGGAAATGGCATTGTTCATCATTAACATCCATGGACATTTTCTCTTTAGGACAAAGTTGTATATGTTTTGGGAAGAAATCTTCGAATGTATCAGTCCTAGTTTCTGATGAATTGTCTTTGTATTTGTGACCATGTCTTCAAAATAAATCCTTATTTTCCTAAAATAGGTTTTGATTCATTCTACTAAAGGTCATAATGACCTTTTTTTTCCTGTATTTATATGTGTAGCTTTACTAAAATATAATTTACATTCCAAAAAGTTCACCCATTTAAAGCATACAATTCAGTGGTCTGGTATACTTACAAGGTTGTGCAACCATCACCATAATCTATTTTTACAACATCATCATCTCCAAAAGAAATCTTGTACTCATTAACAATGACCAAGTTTCCCTTGCGTCTCAGTGCATTTTGTTGAAGGAACTGCTTACTTAAGAAGAAAAGTCAAAGACAGAAAAGAAATATGTATAGGAAAGAAATGACTATGTTATATTCTACATGTGTTTTGATCTAGACTCTTTCCTCCTCCTACTGACACATTCAGAAGCAGAGCAGTCATCAGCTTTTGTGAAAATCCCAAAAGCAATTCCAGAAGATCATGTGCCAGCCACTCAGGACACGCAGGCTTGTGTGGTTGTCATGGGGAAGGTTTTGTAATTGAAATAAAAATACTCATGCTCAGTCTGCCACCACACAGAAAATGCTTTTCACTCATGCACACCAGATAATTCGCCTAAGTGACAGGTTTTACTTTGGAGGAAGCACCGAGCTAAGCTGGTTTACACAGTCAATGATGGCTCATTCCATGAAAAAGGAACTGGGAAGGAAGGCAGGGTGGTGAAGGTTAGCTAGACAATGTGGAGGTGGCTGCCAGCCAGTCAGCCAAGGGCACAGCTCCTCCTGCTGCTTCTAATGCTGTGGAGACACACAGGGATTTCATCTTTACCTCCTGACAGTTCCTCAAAACACGCGCGCACACACACACACACACACACACACACACACACTCTCTCTCTCTCTCTCTCTCCAATCTTAGTAAGTGAAAAAACAAAAACCAAAACCAACCAAACCAAACCAAGGGTCTGGTCTATTCTAGAAAGTGACTTTACATACCCACATTCAACTATCTGTCTACAGCCTTTCAGACAAAGCAGGATATAAAATACAGCCTGTGTGTGTTTCTTGATGAGGTTTACACATCTCATTCAGTAACACGCGCCAGGAGAAAGACGCCAAAGCAAGGAGTAAAAAGTCAAGCACGTGGGACCGTGAGTTGTTGGGTTATGTGCATAAAATATTTCAAGAGAGAGAATCTTATCAAAAGATAGATAGCTCCCGGTGAAATGATATGGAAAAAGTCTGAAGAAAACATCTCAAAATAAATGAAGTATTTATTGCTGAAAAATGAGCTTAGATCTCAGCCAGTTCCAAAGTTCAGAATTTACCGCACCACTCAGGCCTTTCTCTCTAAGTTTCTTGTCTCTTGTTTCATTGCACAACAAGGGATTCTTCATACTTGCTATGAAATACAACAAGGCGATTTTTGCAGTGATAAACTCCACACATGCATGATAAATCCAAGCATGCAAAATGTTTAACATCCCAGTTCAGAGATACTTTAGGGACAAAATCCGATTATGAATTATATGCCACAATAAATAGGGCTCAATGTTTCATAAAGCAATTTATAGTTCATAAAAATGACAAAATGTACCTGTCAGAGAGAGCGCGGAGAGCCGTTCTCTGAGCTGCCTGCTGGAAGAAAGAAAGGGCAGAGATGTTTATTTAATATTCTGACTTTTGAATTACGTGCTCAATGAACACTTAAAAAAAAGACCCCTGCATTACACACATTTTTGCCATGTGGCCAAATTTTAAACGACTAGCAATGAAGTAGAGAGCACTGTTGTAAAATGTGAAATGTGTGTGATGAAATGAACCTTCACGGACAGTTAACTGAAGCCCGGCAATGCACACCTGCAACTAGGGGATGAGTTTGTCGGGGGGGCAAAGGACTGTACCCAGGTAAGCTTGGACAGGCCTCTGGAAATTGGCAAAGACCAGAGCTACTTCTCTGAAATCACTTTCCCATTGCTTTATTGTCCTTTCCTATAAGAAAACAAAAAGGTCTGTTTTGGTTTCTTTGTAGCTTCTTTCCCAATGAAGGTGTAATTTTTCACTCGGATTTCAGATTGAAAGTTTCCACAGTTGGAATATGGAATGCCACTAGAAATCTCAAGGGATTATTGATTTGCTTTAGGCATAGTTAATGATATTATGACAATGGTTTTTAAAATTCACATTGAAATGTTAATGGATACAATTATCTGCTGTTGGGATATGCTTTAAGATAATACAGTGGGAGGGCTGGGTGCGGTGGCTCACACCTGTAATCCCAGCACTTTGGGAGGCTGAGGCAGGTGGATCACCTGAGGTCAGGAGTTCAAGACCAGCCTGGCCAACATGGTGAAATCCTGTCTCTACTAAAAATACAAAAATTAGCTGGGTGTGGTGGCATGCGCCTGTAGTCCCAGTGACTCAGGAGGCTGAGGCAAGAGAATCGCTTGAAACCAGAAGGCAGAGGTTGCAGTGAGCCAAGATCATGCCACTGCACTCCAGCCTGGGCAACAAGAGTAAAACTCCATCTCAAAAATAAATAAATAAAATAAAAAAATTTAAAAAATACAGTGGGAGAAGGGCAGAGTGGGTGGGCACATACATAAGACAAGATGGCCTTGGGCTGAGAACTGCTGACGTTAGGCGATGAGCACAGGGCAGGTTCTTATATTATTCTGGCCATTTCCCTACATGAAATGAACAAAACTTTCATTTTGTATTGAAAATGTATTGATTTGTTTTTTGTTTTTTTCTTCTACTAAAATTAATGTGTGTGTGTGTGTGTGTGTGTGTGTGTGTGTATGCTGAAATTTCCCATAATAAAAAAACTAAAAGAAAAAAATCATAAAAAAGGCTCTATTTTGGCCGGGCATGGTGGCTCACGCCTGTAATCCCAGCACTTTGGGAGGCCCAGGCAGGTGGATCACCTGAGGTCAGGAGTTCGAGACCAGCCTGACCAACAGGGAGAAACCCCGTCTCTACTAAAAATACAAAATTAGATGGGCATGGTGGCACATGTCTGTAATTCCAGCTACTCGGGAGGCCAAGGCAGGAGAATTGCTTGAACTTGGGGGGCGGAGGTTGCAGTGAGCTGAGATCGCGCCATTGTACTCCAGCCTGGGCAACAACAGCAAAAGTCTGTCTCAAAAAAAAAAAAAAAAAAGGGCTCCATTTCTCCATCGGATTCTCCCAAGTTTTGTACTTGCTTTCCTTTTCTCTGGCTATTCTATTTTTCACCCATTTGCCTTCTATCTCTGGGCCCAATGAGGCCAAGGAAGGCAGATGGCACACGATGCTCTCTGTCTCAGAAGTCATGACTGGGGAGGTCAGTAGACCAGGCCTACTCAGCATGCACCGGGAAACAAGGAGTGTGCAATGGTCCTTTCCTCTTTGCATGATACACAGGTCATGGTTACTGTTTTTTTTTTTCTGAGACAGAGTATCTCTTTGTCACCCAGGCTGGAGTGTAGTGGCCTGATTTCAGCTCACTGCAACCTCTGCCTCCCAGGTTCAAGCGATTCTCCTGCCTCAGCCTCCCAAGTAGCTGAGATTACAGGTGTATGCCACCACACCCAGCTAATTTTTGTATTTTTAGTAGAGACAGGGTCTCATCATGTTGGCCAAGCTGGTCTCGAACTCCTGACCTCAAATGATCCACCCGCCTCTGCCCCTCAAAGTGTTGGGATTACAGGTGTGAGCCACCACGCCTGGCCTATGTTTACTGTTGACCAAGGACCTCACAATACTTCTCATGCTGATAGCCCATCACATTTAGATATCAGGAAAAATAGAATCTTCAGGTTAGAAAAAAAAGTCACCTCAGAACCATTTTCTCTGTTATGGAAATAAAATACACCCTTGGTGACAGTTCCACATCTTGGGATAAAAATAAAAGTAGAAGCAGTTATCGTCCCAGAAAAGCTCCTTCCTAAGGTAGGAGCTGGATGACCTCGGTACACTTTTAGAATAACATGGACATGAAAGATTAAGGCAGGGCAGTGTCAGGAAGGTGCAGGGATGGGCGGCCACTCCTCAAATGGTGCCTGGAACCATGAGCCGGTGTCAGTACATATCTGCTGAGTAAATGTTAGAGGGATGAATCAGTCAGGAAAGCCTTCCCTCTGAAATCTGAGCATAATTTTAAAGACAAGGAAGGATGTGGTCAGGAGAGAGAAGGCATTGATAGCACTGGGCTAGACGGCACAGCAGGGGCCTGTCCCAGCCTCTGGCAGCAGCTCTCAACCGGGGCACCCATGACTCCCAAACCCTGGGTGTCTGGAATTGATGAGGGTGTTTCTGTGCATTACATTCATGAGGGGGATCAATAATGGCAGTAGTGTCTGGGGCCAGGGATACTAAAGCCCTTCAAAGAGCAGGAAGGTCCCTTGTATAATGAAGAATTGTCCCCTTAAAATGACAAAGGGTGCCTGCAGAGAAACACTGCGGCAGAGTAGGAATGAAAGGAGAGCAGAAAGAAGGGCTGTAGGGAACATGAGCTCCAGGGCCTGGCAAAGATAAGGGGAATTGAGACAACTTCCATAAGTAATGCAGCAACACTGAATTAGGAAAACCATCTAGTGTGTTGAGCCGGGGTTGGAGAGTCCGACATTCTGGGACAGGTTTTGCCATTCATTTGCTATGGACCTTGCGTCTGGCCTTCAACCTCCGGCTTAGTTTCCAAACCACCCTTTCCTTCTCTGAATAGGGTGCTGAAAGAGACAGTCAGTCCGTGTCCAGGCTACTATGGACAATCCAAGGGGTTACTGTCCCCTCCTCATTCCCTAGATTCTGAATGAAGACCCCATGTCCTGGTATTCCATTGTCATAGGATTACCACAACAGATAAAAGAATACAGATCTACTGATCTTCTTGATAAGGAGAGCTGAGGGAGCAGCGAGAGGCAGGGGAAGAGGACCGGAGCCTGAGGAACCCACGCAGACACCTCCAGGGATGGGTGCTTCCCTCTCCCCTCAGTCCCTCTCCTGTGCTCTTCCATGGAGCCAGCGCAGAGCATGCTGATAAAACGCACCCAGCAGGCAACAGGTGGCATCACTGCTGGCAGGTTTGTCTCCTGGAGAGTTTCCCTCTCACTCAGCAAGATGGCTTTCGCTTTAGGCCGCGATACTTGAACTTAATTTAACTCCCTACTCCTGACTGTTTGGCTGAATATACAAGAAGTATTTTTGAACTGCCCCAAAGAAAGGTGGAATGTATTATTAGTATTGTCTCTTAACATCATCTCAGCAGGAGCCATGAGAGACTGGCTCCTCCTGGAGTAACAGAAATCATAAGAGGTGTAACTAAAAGTTCAATAGAAACCTTCAACATGGCATCTGAATTTCTCCCTAGTCATGGAAATAGACCAAGGCTGTCAATATTTTAAAAGGCTATTGACTCTTTTCTCTCCCACCTCCAAACAATTCCTGCTGACTTCTGTGATACGGAAACAGCGCTTGCTGATGTGCAGCTGGTCAGAAAATGATTTAAAAAGCGAAAGGAAAACAAACAAACAAAAAGAAGAAACACTGCTGTCTGGCCGCCAATGGAGTGCCTAGGAATTGAGGCATCCCAGTGGCGGCACCTGTTGGCAATGCCACAGGACTGATGTTAGCCCCGTCTTCTAATACAAGCTGAGTTGGAAGCTTAGAGCAAGGGCTGCTTTCCTTTAGCAGACTGGTGTGATGCTGGGAACAAAAGGTCCTTCTGGGCCGAGAGACAGGGCACCCTACGAGGCACTAAGCAGTGTTCTCTGTTGATTCTTCACTCTTCCAATCTGTCACATGATGTATGCTACCACGCATGCAACAGCATGGTACTTAGCACCATCAATTGCCTGCACTGCTTTTTTTCTTTTTTTTTTTTTTTTTGAGATGTTGTTTCACTCTTGTTGCCCAGGCTGGAGTGCAGTGATGCGGTCTCAGCTTACTGCAACCTCTGCCTCCCTGGTTCAAGCGATTCTCCTGCTTCAACCTCCAGAGTAGCTGGGATTACAGGCATGCGCCACCAAACCCAGCTAATTTTTTTGTATTTAGTAGAGACGGGGTTTCACTGTGTTAGTCAGGCTGGTCTCGAATTCCTGACCTCAAGTGATCTGCCTGCGTCAGCCTCCCAAAGTGCTGGGGTTACAGGTGTGCGCCACTGCGCCTGGCCTGCTCTGCTATTTTTTAATGACTAATTTTCATTGTGCTATTTAATTTGCAGTCACTCTACATCATTAAAAATTTTACAAAAACTCACCATCTATTATGAAAGAAGAGGAGTATATGTCAGATGTTTTAAATAATTTGAGGAAAAAACCCTTCATGGCATTATATTAATTGTATATATACCAGAGCAAAGGCCACCAAGATGTTTTTACTGACTCCTCTCTTTAAAAAAACCTTCAGCTTTTGCACACTATTTTATTTTACTACTGGAAAATAATGAAACGAATAAATATTGGAATTAAATGGCAAAGAAAAAATTAGGTGACTCATGATTGAAACTTGAAAAAGTACTCATAGTAAACTAGATGAATTGCCCAATTTCATTCCTTCAAGAGTTATACATTACAGCAACTATATTTTTCTCTTCCTAAATCTCACATCATCTCTTCCTTGCGACTTGCCTTTTATTCAGTTCTCAGCAAAATAGGTTGAGAGGGTTAAGAGAACACGTCATTGATCCTTCCTGAGTTCATTATTCATTACGAATGATTCTAAACTCCAGTCTATGAGACAAAACATGTTCTTTTTTTTCTGCCAGAAATTGCCATTTTCAGGTTCTCCTCAAGAGATGACATATTTTCTCTGTCTTTATTATAGCAAGCTTGTTGCTTGGGAACACAATCAGTAGATATTCAGGTTTCAATGTATGCTAAATGAATTACAAGTCACATTCTGTTATTGAAGGGAAATCAAAGAGGAAATTAAATGCCCTTATTGTAATTGGGTCAAGCACTGAACAAGCTCATGGATCCTGGAGTGGGGAGGAAAACAAAGGGAGAGGCTGAAATTCAGAGGGCTCTCAGAATGATCTCATTTCTTACTTGATAGAAACAGAACTTACGCCTGGAGAGGTTTGTAATTCAGTCTGAAGTACCTACTATGTGCAAGCACTGGACTTGGCTTAGGTGGCAGTCACAACAAGCAAAGCCCTTGCAATATTGTGCTTAGTGTCTAGAGGTGGGGCAGACATGAAAAGCTACACACACACACACACACACACACACACACACACACACACACACACACACACAGCAGTCTACATTCCAAGGGGCATGGCTGAAGAGGACAGGGTGCTCTGAAACCAACTAATGAAGGAAACCTTGTTTGGAATGAGTGTCAAGGAAGGCTTACTAAGTAAGAAATAACAAAGCTGAGGCTTAAAGGATAAAGAAAAATGATCACATCAGAGAAATGGGGGTGGGTGGCGAGGGGAGTGCTCTAGGCAGGGAAGCTCTAGTTTGGGAGCAAAGGCCAGGAGCTGGCCTAGATCCTGGCTCAGCTGAAGAACTACAAGATGTCACTGTGCTGCGGTTCGGCAAGTGGTAGGGACAGCAGCAGAGCAAGATGAGGCCAATCCCAAGGGTTTTAGACATCAAGTGAAGTATGTTAGGTATTAACACAGGACAATAGAAAGTCATCGAAGGGTTTACATTAGGGGAAGCTGGGTGAAGCATGCATGGGGCTTGCTTATATGTTCTTTGCACTTCCTGTGAATCTATTATATAATTAAAAAAAATAGTACGGAGGGAGGCAATAAGATTTTTCAAACATCTTGCTGGCTTCTGCATGATGAATGGAATTGGGTAGGAAGCGACAAAGTTTGAGGTTATTGCAGTGATGTGGGCAAGAGAAGAGCATGGTAGTAGTGAAGATGGAGAGAGCTAGTGTTACATTGTGAAGGTCTGATTGAGGGAACAGGTGACTGATTGGATGTGGCAGGCCAGGGAGAGGCATCAGGTGTGAGGTCCAGGTTTCTGGCTTGGGCACCTGGTATGGATGGAGATCCACTTGTTAAGTGGATTAAACTGGGGGCATAAGAGCAGGGGGCAAAGGCAGAATTGAGTGTTGGGTGTGTGAAGTTAAAGTTGCCTACAAGATGTTTCAGTGGAGACTCTGAGTAGCTAGCTGGATGCATGCGACTGAAGTTATTAAATGCCAATTAAGTAAGAAACATCAATAACAGTCATAAAAAATGGATTGAGGTTTCTGGATCTACATTTTGCTACTGTTCTAAGAGAAAAAGATTTAGGTTTCAACTGGTTGGGATATATCTTTGTGTTTTCATTATGGATGTCAGTAACCTCCATTTTTGCTATCAACAGTATCAGATTTATTCTGCTGACAATAAAGGAGGTATCTCTGCACAGGGATTTTAATCAGCTTGTTGCACCTGTGATAGGACATTGTATCCATATTCAAATACTTGAATAAACGCCCTTGCAGCCAATCTTAGTTTGTGTTTTGCTGTTACTGAAGCACACTGTAAAATTTAGACCCAATCACATATTTTTATAGAAGTTCTATTTGTAAAGCCTTACATTTTTGCTGTTCTTTTTCAAGTTGAGACTTGTACTTATTAATTTATTTCACGGTTTAATTTCCTTCCACATCTATAAGCAATTTTATGTTTCATTATCTGAACTTTTATGCCATTGTTTTCCACTTCAGTCCTAGTTAATGGGTCTCTTAACTTTTTATGTTGTGGGCTTCCATTTAGTATTTTTCAACCCGTTTAGTAATATCTGCAAGACAAAGGAAAAATTCTTACTCCTCTCTATTTTTTCCTCAGCAATAATGAGTCTTTTGCATTTTCGGATTCCTAGAAATAAATGCTGCCTAGGAAGCATTTTGTTCGGTCAACTTTGACCTCATCCCATTCTCTATAGGGGTCAGGCAGTCAGGGATGATAATATAATTTATCATCCAAATAAGAACAAATTTGAGAGAGAAAGGGGATGCTAACCAGACTGGAGTCAGAGACAAAACGAGAAAACCTGGCTGTTCTGGGCACATGGGGCTGTACAGTCGCTCTAATGAGGACTGCTCTGTGCAAATATGACTTGCTGCTTATAAACCCTGTTAAATAAGATCATGATAAGAAGGCAGACCTCAGGGCCTGAGGAGCATGCCAATAACGAAAGCACAGAGCTGAACGGGGTCAGCAGAGGACGAATCCTTCTAATTCCTAATGTTGAGTCCAACTGATGCTTGTGTGATTTTCTGGCTCTCTGTCTATCAGCTCCTCCCTCTGTTCACAGCAGACACTCTGAGGTCTAGCTCACCCTTTGTGTTAAGTGTTAACTCTTTTGTAAAAGTTCTCAAGCTCCTCTCCATGCACTCCTAGTCTGTAACATGAAGTAGCCCTGGATTCTAGTCATTTTTGGGGAGTATGCCGTCTGCCTCATGACAATTTTATTTTTGGCTTCCCAAGTTCCTTAAAAGAACATTGATGGCAGAGATCCTAGCTCATTTTCCCTCCACCTAAAAGAGCTCTCTCTCAACCCATAACACTTACAAGATGTGAGCAGGTAACCTCGGGGATGACAAATACTACTGTTTGCCACGATCTCCAATCTAAGAGGTTTGTGGAAATACATTTTTTTCACATCTGTGTATTATTTCCCTATTTGCTTTATTTAAATACTTGGACACATTTTCCTCTTTGAAAAATATTTGACTATCTTCTGCTTCCCCACATTACTTAGGTTTGTTTATGTCTACTAGAAATTTGATAGACAATAAAAAACATTTATTGAGCACCTAGTATATCCTGAGAAAAATGCTGATTAGGGTTGACCATACCAGATGAAGTTTGCACAGGCAACATTATCTCATAAGGTGGATTCTGTTATCAACAGAGTGATCTGGGGGCCTTACGTGAGGCCAGATTGTCAGGGACGGCTCTAATTTGGCAAGTCAAATCCGAGAGGACTGAGAGAGACATACTTATTTTTTTGAGCATTTCTAGGACATTTCACTCCCTAGAGATAAACCCACGTGTGACATCCACTTCCTGGTTCTCCTTGCTCCAAAGCACGTGGCTCTTCTAGACTCTGGAGGCTTTTGCCATCACAAATGAAAACGAAGGCAGATGCTATCAGTCAGAAGCAAGAAGAGAAAGGTGTGAGGACAACATGAGAGGGTGCCGCAGGGACTGTCCCTGTCCAGGTAAAGGCTCTATGGAGGGCATAGAAGATACATGGCACCCTGCAGGGCAGGACATTCTGAACACCATGAAAGCAACATTATAGGTGAGAGGGGCCCTGAAGGATGCCTGGAGGAGGGCTGGGGGACACATGCCTGGTGTGGGGGTGGTAAGAGGTCACTCTGAAGTGGGAGGATGATGGCAAGAAGACCATGACCATGTGTGAGGTTATTAGTGTTCACCATGATGTGGGGTGGGTGATATCTAGCCCTAAGCCAGATTCTCGGGGCAACTCAGCCTCAGCCTCCTGAGTAGCTGGGATTACAGGTGCCTGTTACCACGCCTGGCTAATTTTTGTAGTTGTTTTTTAGTAGAGATGGGGTTTCACCACGTTGGCCAGGCTTGTTTTCATAATTTTATACTAACATTTATTTATATTCATAGAAAATATTTTATATTAATCTACTTTAATATTTTTGTCCAGTGCATTTAAGATATTGAAACAGAGGTCCAGGAAGATTAGCTTGCCTGTGGTCTCAGAGCCAGTAAGTAAAGGAACCAGGCCAGTGAGGGCTCCACAGAGCAGCCCCATTCTGTCTTGGCCTCACCATGGACTCCTGTGGCTGGAGGTTGAAAGCAAAGGGGACTAGGTGAATTCTGAACTGTGGCAGTTTCAGTGAGAAGAGGACTGCTGGGACACTGGGTGGATGCTAACAGACACTGGGGGAAACCTTTATCTGGGGATGCCAGTGAAGGGGAATAATAGGAGTCACCTCTTAGACAAGTGTTGGCAAAGGAGATGGGAGGATTTCAGGTTTCTGAGACTAACTTCTCTTCTCAAGAGGGTTATATCCTTATTGTTGATCTTGGCCCTTGTCAAAATCTTCTGGGGAAGAATTCTTTTTACCTCCAGGGCTCACCATGACAGAACTATGTAAAGGAAGTAGCTGTCTGGGTTAGGTCTGGGTAGGAGCGAACATCGCTGAAGATTCGCCTGGCAGAGCGGGCAAACCTACTGGTGCTGTTGGATGCTGGTGGAAGATCCAAGCTCAGCTGCCTGTTCTCAGAATCAGGTGGCTGAAATGTGGTTCCTGGGACTGAGTTTTGGCAAGGCAACTGTGCCTTCTGGATGTGCACACATGCATACATGTGCCTGTCTAGCTACAATTTCAAAGTGACAGCAAACAAACAAGAGTAGCCATCAGACCCAACGCTGGCTGAGCTGCTAGGAGATACAATGCAGGTAGTATATGCATCTAAACTTCTGGTTCTTAGGAATGGAAGTTTAAATGTGGAGTGCAGATGGTGATGCTGGTCAAAGTGAGGAAGTGATTTATCTTCTGGACAGCTGCCTTGGCTTCCAGATCTCACTAGAATGGGCAGGTCTTTTCTAGAGGTCTGTGACATACAATTTTAGGGGAAAAAATAGAAAGTAAATCGCCACTAATAAGTGCTAAGTTCGAAAAGTGCCAGTTGACTTGTCTTTCCAGATAGTTCCAGCCTTGGTGGAATTTAATGCAGAAGAGATGACATGTCAGAGTGACTGGAGCATGAGGCGATCGTATGCACACGATGAAGCTTTGCATAAAGGTGATACTGACGTAGCTCCTTATCACAGCCTAGACTATTTAGGTTCTGCTTGGACAATGGATCAAGTTTCCTAGCACAAAAAAGACCTGTGTGCGCAGAAACCGCTGCTTCGTGGTCCAATCCCTCCACCAGATGAAAGCACTAAGTACTGCAGGTTCCATCATGACTCTGTGGCCTGCTCATCTGGGCTTTGGTCATTCACATGTTCCTGGAACTCATCTCACAGGGCAATTTCAATGCAGGCCAGACCTTGAGCAAGGCCAAGATGGCGATGTCCATTAATGGCTTTCATCTTTGGCTCAGCAGGTGGATACTGGGATTAGTCATTTCCTATTTTGTTCAGTTTGCCAAATACATTCTGGACCTTTAAAAAGTCCTTATGCTATCGCAATATGATGCTTTGGTAGAGTCCTGTCCACTTTCCACTGGCCTTGGCAGGTGGTTGAGTAATATGAAAGCAACTAGCGCCTAAATTGTGAAATACAAATGTTACTTTGTTTTTGTAGAAAGACCAGATGAAAATAACACAAAATGTTTTGGTATTTTTGTTAAAAATGCAATCTGGGCTTGAAGAACTTAAATCTAAGTCTGGCTTTATGTTTCATTTAAACCTTTTTTTACTTAGGCAAAATAGCAATATTTGAAGGTAAAAACAGGTTTGTAATGATTAGGAAAGATTCTCCTAATTTCTTAATTGCACTTTGCAAACCAATTATACAAGAGAAAGCTGAACCAGTTCTGAATGTGTTATTATTGTTATCAGGATTTTTACCTCTCAAGTGAACAGTGCTTTACGATTTATATGTGAAAGTGCTTTCGCATGTAATGTATAATAATCACACAGTCTTCTTTGAAATGCCTTGAACTTTAAGAACAAATCCAGGTTGAAAGAAGAGGTACTCAGAGAAATAATGTGAATCAGATCTCTCCAGAGAATCAGATCTCTCTACTGGAATCCTTGCGTGCAGGGTTTTCTAGCGTGCAGATGACCATATCTGGGGGCCTAACATTCTAGCCACTATCTGGTCTGCTTCTTAAACATGGTCTTGTTTTAATTAACACAACCTTTTGGCTGCAGATCTGGTGGGGATGGAATTGGGAAGTGCCAAGGGACCTTGAATGATCACACATGATTTTTCTCCGTGTAGAAACAACAGGCTAAGAGAGTCTCCTGAGAAAAGCTGGGCTTGTGAGATAACCAGCCCTACTCGGAGAAGCTTTGGAAAAAGAAAAACAAAAACTCAACTTTACAACTGTATATCTGGACCAAACACCTGAGGGACTGTCGGTAAATCCTTTACTATATGACACTGCCCATGCCTGGAAATGAGGGATAGCGTATACTCCAAGGAACAACATCTCTTGTAGGGTTTCACTTCCTGAAAAGCTACTGAAGAAAAAAACCATTGAAGTCATGGGACAAAGGGCTATTCCTCTGAGTTAAATAACAATGTCCCCTGGAGGGAGAATTCCACTTCTTCTGCCAACCAGCAACCCTGCTGGCAGCTGTGTTTGAGAAAAGCGTGCCTATCAACTAATGATGCCTAACCCCTCTCCTGGCTCCTGAATGGAGAGTCTGTGTTGGTGGTATTGATACCCACCATTAACAAAAACTTCGCTTACTTTCAAAAATGTAGATCCTTTTATGAATTCTTCATCATAACAAAGGCAATGGTTTCCCATTTTTGTCTTAATTGTATGTTTGCCCAAATTTGATGGATCATGTTTTGGTTTTTATATAATTTTCTTTTTCCAGATTTCCATTTAGGGTCCTCAGGCTGAAACTAGGCATATCCCATGGCCCAGGCTGGTTGGACACAACTAAATCTACATAAATCTCCATTGAGTCTCCGAGGAGATTCGATGAGAAAATATTTTAGGAAACAGCGTTATGAGTCTCTGTGCTCAGTGATATTTAAGTTGGCTGACCATTTCAATTTTGGAAATTATAGTCCATTAACATGAAAAAAAGGCAATTACATGTTTGTATATTTCTACCTATGCTTGTGCTTTTTGCAAATGTTTATAAAGAGTGGCATGATAAAATAAAATAATTTTGTGTTTGCTTCTGGTGACAGTAAAATTTTATTTATAAAATACAATTACTGGCCAGGCTCGCTGGCTTATGCCTATAATGCTAACACTTTGGAAGGCCAAGGCAGGGGGATCACCTGAGGTCAGAAGTTTGAGACCATCCTGGCCAACGCGGTGAAACCCCGTCTCTACTAAAAATGCAAAAAATAGCTGGGCATGGTGGCACACACTTGTAGTCCCAACTACTCAGGAGGCTGAGGCAGGAGAATCGCTTGAACCCGGGAGGCGGAGGTTGCAGTGGGCCAAGATCGCGCCACTGAACTTCAGCCTGGCAACAGAACAAGACTCTGTCTCAAAAAAAAAAAAGGCAATTACTTAACTAAAAGCTTTAGGATGGTTAAACAAACAAACCAACCCTTCTGCTGAACATTTGAGTTTCACTGATTATGATGGGAGGTTCAAATATATGATTACTTCATATACGGATATGAAAAAGGTCTGATAGGCAGTTTTCAATTAGAGTTATTGTTCTGTTTCCATATTAATAGAAACCAATTAGTTATTATGAACAGATTGGGTATTTAGCTCAGGTACAACATAAAATGCAAGACTAAAAAGAAAAACGAACATACAGTATTCTTTTTTTCTGTGTTGCTATGAGGTTTAATATATTTAATATATACTTTTTGTATGGTCCATTGGGGCAAGGGATTTCCTGGCATTGAAAATTTACTCAAAATATCTGTGGTTAAGTTATCATAACGAATATTACTAATGTCTAATTCATTAAGACCAACAAGCCAGCATCTTACATGATGTTTGGTACTTAGTAGGTATTTGAGACTATACTCAGTTTTTTGCAAAAACTGTCTAGCTCTTGTTTGCCTACAAATAACATTGACAATACAGTTCATTTCTAATGTAGGAGAAACTTCATTTTGGAGCCTTGCCCCTCAAACCTGGTCCTGATTACTGCTTCAACTCCTGTTTATATAATTCTACACAATTTTGGCAGGATTCAAGAGCACATACCAGGGTGTTGGCTTTTATGAATCTCCTGGGATGTGAATGTCACGCTGACTGGATGAACCCTGGCCACAAATCCCAGACAAGCACAATGATTCTATTTATTCAGACTTGGCTGCCTGAATGCAGATTGACTCTGTGGGTAATAAATTTTCACAGGCCAAGAGCGTCAGGATCAACCAAGCTGATCCTGAGAAGAAAAATGCAACTAAGGAAGTAGAGTTGGGCTGCAAAAACCTCCTATGTTTTTATTCCATGTCTGCATATCATTCAGCTAATTCATTTAGTTACTGATTGACATGTACTGTCAATGCTTTCAGACATTTTAAAAGCTCTGCTTTGTGTTATGCAATTGTCATATTAAAAAGAAACAAGGGAAAAAATGAAGAGCTTCCATTACAATTGGCAATCTGCTTTTAAGAGTACACCCAAAACTGATGTGAGTCATCCAGTAATCTCTGTGGTAAAGAGCACAGAATTGAGATGGGAATGTTTCTTGTGCTGCTCCATAGGAAACCAAAGGAAACAGCAATAAGAACTGCAATTTTGTGCTCAGAGCAACCTCACCTACAATCTTGGTATCTTGATGAAGCAAGGCTTTACATTATTTCTAAGAGACACGACTATTACTCTATGCATTATAAATAAGAAAATAATTGGCTCTTTAATTTGCAGATTTATGTTAATGATCTAGATATCTATTAAATTAATTGCATGCTCTCCAAATATTGATTGGGGATTAAAAGGCAGCTTTTCATTGTGCAAGAAGTAAATTAACGCCAATGGGGAAATTTCCCTCTACAGATTAGATCCAATGATTGTTGTCTGTAAAATTAAAATAGTCAGTTAAAGGGGATAAACCATGTTCATTTAAAGAGAAAAATGTGGCAACAGAGTTAAAATAAAAAGACTGCCCAATATGTTTGGATAACGTAATTACTGGAAGCTGCAGGCATGTACATAGCCATTCAATTTAGATCCCTGGTCCCTTCCTCTCCCTAAGCTATGTATTTGTCATCTCCGAAACACTTGTCTGCAGTTGACACTATCTCAGCTGCTCCTTGCTGAAAGTCTTAATCATGTGTCCCTGTCCTCATGCCTTAGCTATAGTAATGCCATCTACTTATTTGCTTGTGTCCAACCTCCCAAGCTTACCCTGACTTGAGAGGCAGAGCTCATCTTTTTGCCAAATGGGAAGACATGCAATATAATTAATCAGTCCCTTCCTAATCTATTAAATTTTTTTAATACTTACTGTCTTAAGTCTTCTAATTCCTTCACATTGTTTCACAAAAACATTGGTCTTTGGAATTGTTAAAACCAACAGTTACAGAAAGGAGATCAAACAAATTACTCCAGGTATCACATACCTTTCATTTACTCAGATTAAATAAGAAAGCTGATTCTCAGATATTTTGTGCTATTTCCAGTTGGAACCTCATCCAGTGTGAAAATCATAGGTGCAACCATAAGGCTATGCTTCCATTTCATTTATGTTTGTAAACTTTCTAAGGAAACCTGGTCACAACCCCAGCACTAGAGGCTACAGCCAAAATTTGGTTATTCTTGAAAGGGAAGGCTGTGGAGAAACTCAGTCTCTTGGTTTTGAAGACTTCTGTTTGAGATAACTTATGAAAACTTGTAGTTTCAATATAGCTTGATGTAAGCATCCTTAAGAAGGGGCTATAGACATTTCCATGGAGATCGGATAAATGCCTTTTTTCTCAAATAGGTTATTTGTGTATTAATCTATAGCCAATTTAAGATATTGGGCCTTATATTTTTGTCATCTCTGTCAATACTTTTGATGTTTGGACAGAACTCATTTGAAAAATCATAGAGTTCAGGAAAAGGAACAAAGGCAGAGCAAAGGTCATCTTTGATATTGTACAATGGACAGTGGGAAATACTCTCAATTGAAGGCATCACTATGCATTTATCCACGCATTCGTTCAACAAATATTTAGCAGTTCTGCTGTGCCAGACACAGTCCCTGCCCTCAGGAAACTTCCAGTTTAGCTGGTGTAGACAGATCTTAGAAAAAGTAAACATAACATATAACTAAAATTACGATGAGATTCAGGTAAAAAGATGAAGGATACTGTGAGACGGACTAACTGGGAGTTGATTAGATAAGAGGGAGGTCTCCCTGAGGAAGTGAAAGTTATGCTGTGCCTCCAACATGAGTAGGTGTTAGCAAGGCAAAAGTGAGGGAGTAGAGGCCTATGGAGGCCCTAAGGCAGCAGAGCTCAGCTTCCTGCAGGAGCTGGGAGAAGGGCCGGGCCACAAATGAGCTCAGTGTGAAGATGAGACGTGGACAAAGCCAGATGGTGCAGGGTAGTGTCGGCCATGCTGAGGGCTCCGAATTTGATCCCGGGTGGGATGGGAAACCTATTTAAGATTTTAGACCAAGGAATTACTTGATCTGATTTTTAAAAGATCACTGTGGGGAGGCTGTATTACAGAGGGCAGGAAATAGAAATACAATAGTTTATACCAGACTGGTTTTGACTAGCTGGGAATGGAAAGAGGTAGATGGACCAATATTTAATTTTGGAGGCTGAGTTTATAGGACTTAGAGATGAAGTGACTACCTGAGTGAGGAACAGGGAATCATCAAGGATGAGTCTGAAGTTTCTAGGCTGGAACAGCTGGGCATCTGGCAGTGCTAGTTTTGGAAATGGGAACAATAACAAGACGAACATGTTTGTGTGTCTGGGTAGTGATGGCAAAGGCCAGAAGTCCAGTTGGGCACAGACTGAATCTGAAATGTCTGTGAGACATCCAAGTGGAAAAGTAAAGTAGGTTTGCGGTTCAGAAGAGAGTTCTGAGCTGGGGATATAACTTTAGAAATTGTCAGTATATAAAAATTGAAGGTCATAGGAATGGGTGAGATCACCCAGAGAGCAGACATGGAGAAGAAAAGTCAGGAATAAACATGGAAAGTTTCCAACATTGGGCAGAAAATCAGAGTCAGCAAAAGAGCCTGAGAAGAGAAGCCAGAGGGGCAGGACCCAAACCAGGAGAGTGTGGTGTTAGACTCCTACAGAGAAGTGGGTGATGAACAGTGTTCAATGCTGTAAGTCTTCTAGTAAGACAGGGGACTGAAAAGAGCCCAGTATAATTGGCTCTACAGAGGTCATTGGGGGCCCAATGAGGAGCATTTCTGGTAAAGAGATGGGGTCATAATGAGATCAAAAGAACAAGTCTCTATGTAGCTCTGAGGAAATGGATGAACTTTGGATAGGAGCAGGGCAGTGTCCTCTCACAACAGGAGGACACAGGATGAGTGAAGATGGAAGCAGTGGTGCAGATGTGGTATTGAGAAGTTTAGGTTTCTCTGCTAGAAGCCAGTCAGCCATGGTATGAGGTAGGGAAATAAAGATGAATAAGATACACGGTGAAATTCAGGTTGTTTACTTATGAAGTTGGGAAGACAGAAAACTACATTTGTATCACCTATTATTATTCATTCTGTAACAAAGGTAATTATAGGATATTAAGGGAGAAAGCATGCAAAATGACAGTACCAGCGAACTGTTATAAGTTATGTATATATAGTGTAATACCTAGAATAGCCACTAAAAAAGCTGTACAAAGAGATACACATAAAAATGTTACAGACAAATCAAAACAGAATTCAAAAGGTTTAAGGAATACACAGAAAGGCAGGAAAAAGAAAATTAAAACCAGGAAGAAACTAAACAAAAAATAGAGTGGTAGACTTAAGCTTTAACAAATCAATAATTACATTAAATGTAAATGGTCTAAATGTATCAATTAAAACACAGAAATTGGCAAAGTGAATAAAAATATGACAACTATTAATTTATGCTGTATATAAGAAACTCATTTCAAATATAACCATATTGGTAGGCTGAAAGTAAAAGAATGGAAAAAAGTTACATTATGAAAGCATTAATCAAAATAAAGCAGGAGTAGCTGTGCTGTTATCAGAAAAAGTAGACCTCAGAGCAAAGAAAATGACCAGAGACAGAGTGGGACATTACATAATGATAGAAGGGTCAATCTAAGAAAATATAGCAATCCTAAATGTACACACACCAACTAACAGAGCTGTGAAATATGTGAAAACAACCCGATTGAATAGAAAGAAGAAATAAACAAATCCACAATGACAGCCAGAGACTTCAACACCTCTCTCTCAACATTAGATAGAGCAATGAGACAGAAAGTCCAGAAAAGATACAAAAGAACATCAAATAAGATTAATTGATATTAATAGAACACCCTACCCAACAACAGCAGAATACACATTCTTTTAAGTGCCTATAAAACATATACCAATACAAACCATATCTTGGGTCATAAAAAATCCTCAACAAATGTATAAGAATTGAAGTCATACAGACTATGTTCTCTGACCATAAAGGAACCAAACTAGAAACCAATAAAAGTTAAGATTAAGGGCGATCTCTGAGCACTTAAAAATTAAACAACACATTTCTAAATAATCCATGAGTCAAAGAAGTCTTACTGAACTGAATGACGATGAAATACAACACATCAATATTTGTGGGATAAAGTTTATAGCATTGCTGAGAGTCAAATGTATAGCACTAAATACTTATATCATAAAAAAGAACGAATCTCAAATCAATAATCTAATCTCCCTCAAGAAACTAGAAAATGGGCAAAAATGTACCCAAAGCAAGCAAGAGGAGGGAAATAAAGATAAGAAATCAGTGAAACTGAAACAGAAAAAACAAATAGATAATATTAATGAAACAACAAGCTAGTTCTTTCAAAAGATCAATACAGTTAATAAACCTCTAGCAAGACTGATATAAAAAAGAAAGAAGACAAATGATGAGTATCACTAATGAAACGGGCTGACACTATAGATCTTGCAGTCATCAAAAGGATAATAAAGGAATATTATAAACAACCCTATCCACATAAACATGACAACTTAAGTGACACGGATAGACTTATTACTGAAGAACAGTGTACCACTTATACCCAGTATGAAACAGATAATCTAATAGCCCTATGACTATTAGATAATCTGAGTAGCTCTATAACTATTAATATTTTTTTTTTGGCTGGGCGTGGTGGCTCACACCTGTAATCCCAGCACTTTGGGAGGCCGAGGCGGGTAGATCATGAGGTCAGGAGATCGAGACCATCCTGGCTAACACAGTGAAACCCCGTCTCTACTAAAAAAATATAAAAAATTAGCCAGGCATGGTGGTGGGCGCCTGTAGTCCCAGCTACTCAGGAGGCTGAGGCAGGCGAATGGCGTGAACCCAGGAGGCAGAGCTTGCAGTGAGCCAAGACTGCGCCACTGCACTCCAGCCTGGGTGACACAGTGAGACTCCATCTCCCAAAAAAAAAAATTTGTTTTTGTTTTTCTCCCCGAGATGGAGTCATGCTGTCACCCGGGCTGGAGTGCAGTGGCTTGATCATAGCTCACGGCAATCTCAGCCTCTTGGGTTCAAGCAATACTCCCGTCTCAGCCTCCCGAGTAGCTGGGATTACACGTGCACACCACTATGCCCAACTAATTTTTGTATTTTTAGTAGAGACTGGTTTTCACTATGTTGGCCAGGCTGGTCTCGAACTCCTGACCTCATGATCTGCTCTCCTCAGCCTCCCAAAGTGCTGGGATTACAGGCATGAGCCACCACACCCCGCCGGGAAATAGAATTTTTAAGTTTAAAAATCTCCAGGCCCATATGGTTTTACTAGAGAATTCTGCTAAATAATTATCATCTTTTTGTTTTTGTTTTTGTTTTGTTTTTTTTTCGAGAAGGAATCTCACTCTGTCACCCAGGCTGGAGTGTAGTGGCACAATTTTGGCTCACTGCAACCTCCGCCTCCCAGGTTCAAGCGATTCTCCTGCCTCAGCATCCTAAGTAGCTAGGATTACAGGCACATGCACCACGCCTGGCTAATTTTTGTATTTTTGGTAGAGAGGGGGTTTCTTCATGTTGGTCAGGCTGGTCTTGAACTCCTGACCTCAGATGATCCACCTGCCTTGGCCTCCCAAAGTGCTGGGATTACAGGCCTGAGCCACTGTGGCCGACCTAACATCATTTTTTAAAAGCATAATCTTTTTGAGAAAAGGGCAGGGGACCCTTCTTAATTCATTTTATAAGATCAGTATTACCCTGATATCAAAACTAGCCAAAGACAGTATAAAACAGAAAACTTCCAACTAATATCCCTCATGAACATTAAAAAGACAAATGTGTGGTGAGGATGTAGAGCAACTGAAATTCTCTTACACTGCTGGTGGGACTTTCGACTGGTACAACCATTTTGGAAAATGGTTTGAGATAATTTACTAAAGTTGAACATGCACATACCCTACTGCTCAGCATTTATACTTCTGGGCATAGATCCAACAAAAATGTTCCCATGTGCTCAACAAAAGACCTGTACAAGGATGAAAAGACCTGTACAAGGATAAAAAGACCTGTACAAGGATGCTGATAAGAGCACACTATTCTACTCCCCGACCCCTGCCAAAATATCCACATGCCCATTAGCAGTGGAATGAATAAGTAAATTATGGCATACACACATAATGAAATAGGATACAGCAATGAAAATGAACAAACTTCAATTACAGGTAACAACATGGGTGACTCTCATAAACAATGTTGAATGAAAGAAGCAAGACACAAAGAGTACATGCCGAATAATTCCATTGATACAAAGTGCAAAAATAAGCAAAATTACACTATGGTGTTAGAAAACAGGAAAGTGGTTATTCTTCTGCAGAGTGGTGACTGGTGGGAGCATGGGGGCACCTGGGTCATGTCTGTATTTTCATCTGGATATTGGTTATGTCATACACATATAAAATCATTTTTAAAGACATATCATTTTTATAAATCATATACAAACAGGCTGGGCACAGTTGCTCACACCTGTAATCCCAGCACTTTGGGAGGCCGAGGCGGGTGGATCACTTGAGGTCAGAATTTTGAGACCACTCTGGCCAACATGGTGAAACCCCGTCTCTAGTGAAAATACAAAAATTACCTGTAATCCCAGCTACTTAGGAGGCCGAGGCAGCAGAATCACTTGAACCTGGGAGGCGGAGGTTGCAGTGAGCCAAGGTCATGCCACTGCACTCCAGCCTGGGCGACAAGAGTGAAACTCCGTACACACACAAAATATGCCTATTGGATCTGGTGACACGAAGATGATGGGTGACCTCAAATTTCGATGAAGTGGCAGCTTGGGGATCTAGCATTAATTCCAATTTTACAAACAGAGACACTGAAGCAGAGAACAGTTCAGAGGCTGGGCCAAGGTTGCAAAACTAAGTAGCAGAGTGGGGATTTGAACCCTTGAAGTGGGGCCGCTGTGCTCTTAACCACTAAACTAGACTGTCTTTTGACCTTCAGGATCACAAAGGCAATGGGGAGAAAAGGAAACCTCAGATAGGAGTGTTCAAAAGCATGGAGTCTGAGGCGATCTGAGGAAGGGCAGGCAGGTATAGCAACTTGAAGCTCTTGTAGACACCTCTTTATTACAGTGGCACATGGGCTGGTTGAACCAATATTCACAAAGACAGCCAGATATAATGTCAGAAAAGGTTAAGGATTTTTCATACACTGTAGTGTTTACTGAGGCAAGGGATTTTTAAAATATTTTGGGTTTACGGTGCAAACTCTGATTACATCTAGAAAAATCATTTATGTTAAATGTTCAATTATCTCAGAATGCCAGGGAATGAGTGTATGTGTCTGTGTGTGTGTGTGTGTGTGTTCGTGCACCGGCTATGCTGCTTCCGGGATAAAGCATAGTTTGGTCTTGAAGAGAAAAAAATACCATATCATTAGTCTTGTTTAAAAGTATGGGAATTACAACTTTGTGATTAGACCAGGTTATAATTATAGGCCAAAGCAGGACAACTTAATGCAATTACTGTTGAAGCAATAACTTAAACTATCATACGCAAAACCACTGTCTGGAGTCTTAATTAGGAAAAAGGGATTAATGTATAAAAATTATTCATTCTGTCAGTTCCTTTTATTGCAAAAATAGGAAGGTATATTCACATAGGAATTAAATGCAAGAATAAAGGATCTGACCTGTACATTCATAACACAATATTATCAATGAGTACAGAATGGAAGGGGGTAGCTTAAAAAGCAAAATGAGTCAACTAAAAGCTCTTACTGCCTTAGAGAACATGTATAGTACGTCATTAGTAATGTTTATTAAAATTGAGTTTTCATTGGAAATACTTCCTGGAAATAGCTCAGGAAATTATTTCCAAATTTAAAAAGGTTTGCAGATTGAAATAGTCTGTGAACCCTTTTTCTAATAAAAAGCATACACAATTTACATGTTTGATATGATTTAATCCATAATCTATGTATCCAGGCCACTTAATGGGAAAAAACACAAAGAGTTGAAATCATTTGCTTATCATCATGTAGATAAGAAGCCAAAATTAGGAGTGAAGTCATTCTAC
The DNA here is from genome assembly GCF_000001405.40 of Homo sapiens. Taxonomy (NCBI): domain Eukaryota; kingdom Metazoa; phylum Chordata; class Mammalia; order Primates; family Hominidae; genus Homo; species Homo sapiens. Next base: position 99,671,269 of record NC_000002.12, read on the forward strand.
ATTTCTGCTAAGATTGCTGTGTGGCAGATATCTGGCTGCCCTGGAAACAAATCAACAGATCTGTAAAACACTCGAAGCCTGAGTGGCCTTCTTTGCCCAGTTAACCTTCTTCCACTGGGTATTCTCCACCTGCCAATCTGGTTTCCAGACTCCTCAAGCTCTTCTCCCTTTTTCGTGCCTCAGTTTCTCCCATGACATGAGTAACCTCTTCTGTGACCTCATAGCTATGCTCTGCTCACTCTTCCTCGAAATTCTCCTTTGACTTTTATTTAACCTCTGCTTGTTCTCTCTGTAAGTTATTTGTATTTGCATGTCTAGACAGCAAATCATCTGCATAGCATTTCATGATACCTTTCTATTAATTCACTATTCCAAAACCAACAGAACAGCATTATTATTTTGTACTGCATACAAAAATGACTTATTAAAAAAAGCCTCTCTGAATTGTCTTTCTACCCATCACATGTATCTAAACTTGACAAAATACAACATAGGGGATGAGAAAAAGAAAACAGAAGTGTAGAAAAATCTGTCTTTAGTGTTTTTAAACTTGCTTTGAAATACAAACATTTCTTGAAATGCAGAAGTGAAAGTGATGAATGTTAAGTGGATATTTTTTCACCTTAACTGACTGATCAGAAGAGTATTTATAACCCCCTAACTGATGTCTCGAGCTGATAAATCAACACCAGGGGAGAATATTTCAAGCACATTTATCATTTAAGACAAACAGCCTATACTGAGCATAATTACTTTTTATTCATCATTTTGGCTCACCTCTACATTTGCTCCTTCTCAATGTTAATAATATCTGTGTAAGACTTCTCAATATTTAATGTTACGGATTGCCTGTTGCATGCTGATGAGGTTAAGGTCATATGTTTGATCTCCAGAAGGCCAGTTAGCTTCTCACACACACACACACACACACACACACACACACACACACACACACACACACACATGAATAAATAAAAAAGAAAAAAAAAAGGCTCTGTCTACTTCTGAGGGAAGCCTGATCTTAGCTTCCTTGTAATACCCATTGCTGGTCTCAATATCATAAAAAATTACAGAATTCAAGGCTTAAGGGAAATTATGGGCAAGCTATTTTAATATACTGACCCAACTGCATAGAAGCTCACACTTAGCAGACAAAAGACCAGCAGCCTGGAGTGCCACCATTCAGCTTGGTTAACACCCGGCACAGTCCACCAGGTAACTGTTACCAGTGTCACCTCCAAAGGATGATGACATAAAAGAGAATCTTACCTGTTCATTCTCCTCTTCATCACTGCTTAGCTTAAGGTCATCTTCCAGCATTCTGAAAGAAGGAACAAAGAGGTACAAAGAGGTACAGATAGTTAGTGGATTCAGAATAATTCAGCACCAAAATATCACCTTAATGTTGTTATTAGAGCAACATTTTGGAAATAAGTCTATTTGATTTCCTATTTTTTTTCTTTCCTTCTTATGCACTTTTCCTCTGGTGCACTTAGGAAATAGTAGACAGCCCCATCATAAAAATTAACCCTCACAACAGTCATCAGCTAAGACGGGCAGCTTTCAGAAGATGCTGTGTTAGCAGGGAAATAATACTTAACAATAACGTATTGTATATTTCGAAATAGCTAGAAGGGAAGAATTGGAATGTTCCCAACAGGAAGAAAAGATAAATATTTGAGGTGACGAATATCCTAGTTACCCTGATTTGATCATTACACATTGAATCCCTGTATCAAAATATCACACGTACCTGAAAATAGCAATAAAAAAGAAGATGCTTTTTTTTTTTTTCTCTCAAATACATAGGGGCTTTTCCCCTGGGCAGTTTGCATTCCACAATTACTTGTTTAGTGTTTTCCAAGCTCCCAGTGCTGGGCTGTGTCTCCGTGCCTGCCCCAGGGGCTTTCATGGTAAAGAGAGATGAGAAAAAGAGCCATAAAGCCATAAACTTGAGTTGTGAGCGAAGCTTCTTAGGCCATCCATCAGTCAAAGAGCTGGAAAAGATGTTGTCCCCAAGATCCTACCTAGTGGGGAAAACCAAGCAGGAGGGCGCTTTCTGAAAAGCCTGTGAAGGTGATTCCCCAGCCCACCCAGGTCCCCCCATTCATCCTGAGGAGACAGCGGGGAAGCACGAGGTTAAAAGTGAAAAAAAGAAACAGAACTTCAGACTCTGTTATTTGTTATGATAACACTGTATTCTTTTCAGCATGGCTAAATTTTTCTTTATAGTAGTTTTCAGATTAATTCATTTCAAAAGAAATCTTACTCAGAAGTGCACTGTATAAAAGCGTGCTCTCCACGCAGAGACGCTCTGAGGGAGCAGGGGAGAGCCCACTTCTGAGGGACCCTGGGGCTCCATACATCAGTGTGAAGCCCGCTGAGCCCTTGTGCTCAAAGGCCTCATTGAAGCCAGCTTCCAAAGGCTGTCCCCTAAAATGTACCTAGTGTCCTTTAAAAGCCGGTTGTAGGCCTATCACTGATACATGCCTCTGAACATTCGTAGGAGTCATTTCAGTCACTTTTGGGGCGAACTGGGGGGTAAAGAACTGGCAGGATAAGGCATGGCCCAGGCTCTGCCCCACCTGTCTATGCATGTGGGGTGAGTCGCTTCACGCACCCTGACCCCATTTCCCTATTTGTGCAGTGACGTGTTATAGAGGGCAATCCTAAGGTTGAATCCTGCTTTAGATTCCGTTGTGAGTCTACAAAATAAATATGCTCCCCAGTTTCGTCAAGGAGAAAAACCCTTCTATTTGCTCTAGAGAATACAACGGAGAAACTTCTAAGTAGTTTTTAGGGTACTATTTAAGGCATTGCCATCAGGGCACCAAATCTGCTTCCTCACAGGCTCCTGCTCATCTCCCAGTGCCGAGAGGTGTCGTTCTTCTATTATTTAAACCACAAGTGAACAAATGAACACGTCAGCAGAGGCTGTAAAGCGGCACCCCCAATTCCTCTGCATGTCTGGCACGCCATTCATTTCCTTCACCTCACAGACACATACGCTTGGCTTCAAAGAGAAGAGACCTCTTGGTGATTTATTAGAGCACTGTTTGGGAGTAGCCTAGGGAAGTGGGCTGTGTTTCCTTTGTCCTTGAGTCCCCAGTGACCAGCACAGTGCGGCACAGAACACAACGCCAGTTTGCTGGCTGGGATGAGGCCCCTTCCCCAAGACTGTTTTCCTACCCAAAGGCACAGATTTCTTCCTAATGAAAAAGACCAGAGAAGGGGACAGGTCCTTGCCTCCACTCCCATGCCCTCTTTTGGGTAAACCACCACTGCAGTGTGGTTTAATCTCTAGGACTGCCCAGCAAGCACTGGGTCTTTAAAGGGTGGGTGGTCCTGCTGGTGGGGGTGGAAAGAGTGGGGAGGACTCACACAATCATGGTTAACAACCCCCTTGCTGTCAGATGGAGGCTGTGTGGCTGGGAAATTTAATGTTTAAATGGACAATACTGTGCGTGGATTGGAAGGCCATCATCCCCCAGAGCAGGAAAGCCCAACATGGCCCGAAGTGAGGGAGCTTGGGTTGGCTGCAAACTAGCCGTGCAACTCAGTCACCACATGAGCCTGGCATGGCTGAAAGTCACCACAACGGTCAAAATGCTGCTGTGTGAGGCTCTCTTTCAAGGTAGGGAATGCAGCTTACTTCTGTTTATTTCAAACATGTGCTAAACGCGTCCACACGTAAACACGCATCTGTTTGAATCTCAGAGCCCCTTGCACCACAATCTTGTGTGAGGTGCACCTCTGGGGCTGAGCATTTGTGCTTCTATAATGAGACTCATCTATCTCATCATCATTTCCAGAAGAAAAGCAGTCAGAGTTCAACCTTGCTTTGTGAATAATCATCACTCTGTCACTGACTTTACCTCTCTTATATTAAAAAAATGAATTTATTGTGTTTCCGGCTGGGTTCTAAATACAACAAATCACATGTAAAAATACACTGCCTTCAAGAGAGACTTCAAGAGAAGTTCAAATCTAACTAAACTTCAGAATATTTCGAAATATGAGAAAGTGGCCATGGAAACACAAACTCACACAGCTTATACAACATTCCCGGAGCAATCCTGGGTGATGCTATTCCCAAAACATGAAATCACAGACCTGGGAGAGACGACCACGGCCATACCGCATCCCAGCCCCGACAGGCACAGAGGTACACCCTGAGGAGACCCAGGCTCCCCGCGGTCTGAGAGCAGGAACCCTTTGCTTTATTCTGATGGTCATGAGCAGGCCCTTGGCTCAACTCCCTAGCAAACGGCGCTTGTTCTTGTCTGTGACCACTGCATCTTCAAGTCCGGTTTAACATTCACAAACAACTCCATGTTGAATGCTGAACATATCCAAGTGGCCTCTTAGAGAGCCTAAGGAGGGGCTGAAGTTTATAGCTGAACAATGAAACATGGTTAGGAGAAGAGAAAACCCGTGACACTCACAGGATCATAGGAACTGTCTGTACTTGGTGTATGGCCAGCAGACAGCAGGCATGGCCGCCTTCACCAAACACACAAATGGCACCGTGGTGGTCATGGGCCCAACCCACTCCCAAACCCTGGGGAACATTTTTATCATTTGTCTGTTTCCCTGTGGAAACATAGGTATATCAAACAATAAATAAACAAACAAAAGTGTTCAACCAAGAGTAAAAGGAAGATGCAAATTAAGTGCTGATTAGGCTACTGGGGAGGGGTGGAGATCTCCTACTGTTTTTTTTTTTTTTTAAAGGGAAGGCAAAGACCCTGCTGCTCTAAGGGGCTCCTGAGGGCTAAGTCATCTGCACGGAAGGACTAGCCATCTGCATGGAAGCACAGGGCCTGTGCATCCATCCACAGCACCCTGGTTACACCCCTACTCCTGGGTTCCTCCAGGCCCTACCCCAGCTGATGGGGCCCCCAACCAGGGCCACCCCTTTCACGTTCCCTTAGCCCCTCCCCTTCATAGCTCTTCAGATCCCTCCCAGGGGATGAAGCCCTCAACTCACAGCAGCAGCTCTCATTGTTTAAGGGATGTCCGTCCGTAGCAGACCAGCTAAGTACTTTCTAGATGTTACTTTGTCAATCCCTGCAGCAACTCCTCCAAGGTGGGAGGTGGGTGCTACAGGGGGCTGTGGACCGTGGTAGTCAGAGCAGGGACTCCAGCGTCACACTGCCCAGGAAGAATGCTAGCTCTGCCTTTCATCTAGCCCAGGGCCCTGGGACCTGCCTCAGAGGGCTTCCTGGAGAACTTACTCCACAATCCTTGGATAGTGCTAAGCACGGGACCTTACGCCAGGGAGCCTCCAATCAATGCTCATTTTTATCAATGCTCATTTTTACCAATATTCCCTTTTCCCTAGGAGGGAAGTGGGCCTCAGAGCATTTAAGAAACTCATGTGGATAAACAAGTTGAGACTTTGAGATGTCTTTGTAATGATGCCTTAAAACAGGGCCATTTGCTCTATTTTCAGGCCATTTTGAAAAGAAAGGGTCATGTTCCTGAGAGATGGTGGAGGGGAATATATTTTGGCCTGTAACTGCTGTCAGCTGGTCTGAGTGGCTTTATGTCGACAGGACAGTAAACACGCCTATCAGCCCCAGTGCACGGAGAGGTCTGCCCTGGGAGCTAGCGGGTGGCCACGAGGCCAGGAGTCCCTCCACGAGGAGCCAAGGGGGTGTTGCCAGATGACAATGGGGAAGTTGAAATAAAATAGGTACTAAAATTGAACTTTTTGGCTGCACGCGGTGGCTTGTTCCTGTAATCCCAGTATTTTGGGAGGCCAAGGCTGGCGGATCATTGAGCCCAAGAGTTCGAGATCAGCCCGGGCAATATAGCAAAATACTGTCTCTATAAAAAATATATAAAAATTAGACAGACATGGTGGTATGGACCTGTAAACCCAGCTACTAGGGAGGCTGAGGTAGGAGGATCACCTGAGCCCTGGAGGTCAAGGCTAGAGTGAGCCGAGGTTGTACCACTGCACTCCAGCCTGGGCATAAGACCCTGTCTCAAAAAAAAAAAAAAAAAAAAATTGAACTTTTTGAATTGAGAACAGACCTGGACTTCATGGCCTTAACACTTGAAGAGTTATCAAACTACTGTCAGGGATACTCCACGTTAGCACCTCATGGTGACTTTACAGTAGAGTCTGAACCAGCTACATGAGAACTGTGACACTTTAAGGACAGAAGCAAGATTTTTTTTAACGTGCGATTAAGCGATTGAGATTCCACCTATTTTTACTTGGGAACTTGTCCTTACAATGATTGTTGGGCATGTTGTAACACCCTTCCTGACACGCAGACAAGGAGTCGAAGGGTTATGAGCCCCCAGCTGCACTCGCTCACGCTTTCATGCAGGGAGAGCGGGCCTTGCAGGAGCTCCGTAGAGGAAAGGACACAATGGGACTTTCATTCAGAACTCTAAAGAGGGAGCCAAAGATAAACAGGCCCATTTGCAGTTTGCCGAGCACTACCCTGGAGGACCTTTTTCTTTCTGAAAGGGAAAGATGAATGGAAACATGCCTCATCACCACCAGCGGAACCAGTATCCAAACTCCCAATTGTTGTTTTGTTTTGTTTTAGAGACAGGGTCTTGCTCTGTCATCTAGGCTGGAGTGCAGTGGCCCAATCATAGCTCACTGCAGCCTTGAACTCCTAGGCTCAAGCAATCGTCCCACCTCAGCCTCCCATGTATCTGGGACTACAGACGCCGGCTACCACGCCTGGCCAAACCCCCAACTGTTGACTCATTCAATTACTTCTGTGTCCACTGTGTGGCAGGCACCTATCCACAGAAGGTGTACTGTCTCCCAGGGGTGGTTCCCCTCACACACGACATTCAAATCAGCATTGTCATTTTACGTATTTTTAAATGCCTTCGAATTGTGAAGCTCTGGCAAATACAACTTTTGCAGAACCCAACTGTGTCATTTGAAGGTAAACTCAGTACTTTTCAGAAAAGGGAGTAATTCAGTACAACCTTTGCAATTTTAACATTTGATTACCATAACTTCCCTGTGTGTATTGTTTTCTTAATTGAGCAAGTGATAAATTTATGTTGTAGCTGGCGCCTGCATTTTTGAGGCCTAAAATTTCTTGGGAAGCAGAAATAGCAGCCTACACTTAACAGATGGCCAACTGCTTCCAAAGCTCATCTATATCTTCCACAGGTATTGCAAACGGGCACGTTAACTACCTGCAAATGTAATGGCAGCCATTTCACAGAGTAGTGGTTTTTAATTAATAGGATTTTCCCTGAATTAGTTGTCATTTGGGGCCCTTAACAGATCGGAATCCTTTAGTCCTTTAAAGTCATTTCATTTTGCTTTGTTTTAATGGTTTTTTAAAAAATCTGAGTTTTAATTGGGCTGTTTGATTTTCAGATTTGTTTCTATAGCTGGTGCTGCTACTATCTCCACCTACGTGAGATTTAAAGCCTAAGACAAATGTTTATGAATCTCCATTAAACATATTCATATATGCAAATGTCTATTCTAACAATTAGCATTGCCTGAGAGCCTATTCATTATGCAAGTGCATCTCTCTGCAGTTATTCCCCAAGCCATCATCTCCACTGCTTGGAACACGGGAGGGAAAGTTATACAACTCATTTCATTCTTTCTGAAGTCTACTGCTTTGTCAGGGTCAGTGCTACCATCTGCCTGTGGTTATTTTCATTAACAAGTAACCACCTTCTTCTCAGCGTTTGTTCGGAAGAACTTAGCTCATGCCATCCCAGCTAACTGGGAACAGGGAAGGCTAGCATGGGCTCACTCTAGGGGTTGGCAATTTAGTGCATCCAAGGCACAGGTGAACTCACTTAGTCTGGAGGCAAATGGAGAAATCAGGAACAAGATGAAGGGGTGCTCTACTTGACCTAAGTGTTTCCAACTCTGATGTTTTAAAACCCAGGGATCTCTACATCTTTTGAAGCAATTTTGGTCCATAGCAAGGTGGTATTTGCTCACACATATCTCCTTCCTGGACTCCCTCCCTCCCGGGGAGGGATTGTCAGTGAAATCATCCATGATCCTGTAACTCTGCCATGTTGAACCTGGGGTGAAGGTGCACTGTCTCGCTTAAGTTTATGACCTTATTTTTAGTTAGGGACAGCAACTTCTGATGGTCCTTTTCTCCACTGACATGCTGAATCCACTTGCCACCTTCTCTGCAGGCCCATCTTCCCTGGGGGACGGCATCTCATCTCCTACCCTAGAAGAACCTCACAAAAGCCAGTCTCATTTGGGAAACCTGCCAAATCCTGGTGAGATGCTGGATGATGTGTGTCTTCAAAATCTCAATCAGTCAACTGTCTTTCCCAACAGTAAGCATATCTATAGTAATAGAAAATAAGCAGAAATAAAAGGAAAATGGAAATCAACAGTCATAAGAAGAAACAGTCAGTGGTACAGAGTCTGGGGTGGTGAAATAAATTTTGAAATGGCAGCTTGGAGGCTAGCCAGCATTAGCCTGAATTCTGTCCCTAACTAGCTCTGTGAACTTAGGCAAATCACCCACTTCCCCTAGACATTGTTTCCACATCTCCAAAGTGAGAGTTGGATAAAACAACCACTATATATCCTCTTATTGGTCTGAATTCCTTGGTTCTGTGCCTTTACCAATGGGTAGAATGTCCAGGAAGACTGCTGGAGAATGAGATGATCTGATACTACTCAGCACATTCTAGGTGCTAGAGATATAAAACTGGAGAAGTCTTCCTTTTCAAGTGTCTCACTGTTTACTGGGAGCAGCAGCAGTTCCTTGAACATCCCATGATGCTTTCCAGCTAGAAATATGTAAGTGCCACACACGGTTTGTGTGATTGTGAAAATATAAAAATGCTCCATCTTTTCCACTTAGGGCAATCTAGGCCACAGTTATGAAGTAGCATTCTCCAAATATATTAGACTTTAAAATTGCTTCCTCCTAAAAGAATTACAGGGAAAGAGGGCTGGATATACTCTATCATTTCTATCAAAAAACTGAGGCTTTAGAAAGAGCACTTTAACCCGGAGTGCTTTCTCCCTGAAGATGGGTTTAAATCCTGTCTTTGTCTGTTTTAAGGACTTCTAGAAAATTAGTTTCTGAGCTCGATGTTCTCAGTATTAAAGAATTGAGTTTCTAAGGCTAAATGAATGCAAGTAGTGTGTGAAAGAACATGATCCTTTCCCGGGCAGACAGCAGAGGACAGGTCAGAGGATTCTGACTGGGAACATAAAGTTTCTGTGGCTGTACAGATTTGGTGGTGGACATTACTTAAACCTCTTTGAAGGGGGATGTGCACCTAACCAGAGGGGAAATGAGATATGTACGTATTTATATGGCTCAAATCTGATGTTGAATATTGATAATCAGTAAATAAGTAAGTTAGCTGCCTATTCTGTTTGCTAGCTAATGGTGTGCTTATTTAATAACTTCTGACAATAAGAATGCATTGAATCTGTAAGGGTCATAACATACATCAGGTTAAGATTTGTTCTTTGGTTGGAAACATCAGTTTTTGCATTTTTATGGCTGCTGTTATTGATAAGTTAATTGCTAAAAGAGTCCCTAATTAAGAGATTTGAACAGATAAACTGTTAGAATTAGAAAAGAGAACCAAGCATAATCTCCTAATTAGCAAATCCATGCACTTTAAGCTATACCAGCGTTCACACATTACCTGAGGATGGCATAACACAGTGGTTTCCAAACTTTATTGCACATTGGCATCACTTGGGAATCTTTAAAAATTATTGATGCCCAGCTCCACTCCAACCCCATATTCTGACGGGATAGGTTTGGGGTGCAATCTGGGCATCAGGTTTTTTTTTCTTTTCTTTTTTTAAAGCTCCCTAGGGAGCTGATTCATGGGCCTCAGCCCCAGATATTCTGATTCACAGCAATGTTGGGACCCACTATATAACACAGAGCTGGACTGACTCATAAGAGCTGAAGGTCATGAATAGCTCTGCACCTTGGATCAAGTCCCATACTCTAAGTTTTAGTTTGTTCATTAATATAAGGGGATGATAGTTGAGATTCAAATGAGACAATAAAGGTGAAAGCCCATTGTAAACTGTAAAGCTTCATAGGAGTTTTCAGTAATGGGTTTAGCATTACCTGGGATGTTTTGAAAGATACTGGTCTATGGGCCTTACCCCCTGGGATTCTGATTTAATTGGTTTTGGATTGGCCACAGGCATCAGGACTTCTGACAAGCTGCTATGGTCTGAATGTTCCGTGTTCCCTCAAAATTCACATATTGAAACCTAACCTTAAATGTGATAGTATTCAGAGATGGGGCCTTTGGGAGGTGATTAGCTCATGATGGCAGAGCTTTCATGAATGGGATTAGTGCCCCTGTAAGAGAGACCTCAAAGAGCTCTTTCGACTTTGTGTCCTTTCCACCGTATGAGGACCCAGCTCGTAGGTGCTGTTGATGAACCAGAAAGCAGTTTCTCAACAGACACCACATCTCGTTCCTTGATCTTGGACTCCCCGTCCCCCAGAACTGTGAGGAATAAATTACTGTCATTCAGCAGCTTCCCAATTTATTTTGTTACTTTAGCCTGAGGTATTTTTTTTTTTACAGTAGCCTGAATAAACTAAGACATGAACATCCTAAGTGAATCTTCTATTCAGCCAGGGTTGAGAACCACTGCCTTAATTCTATTTTTTTTTTTTTTTTGAGACGGAGTCTCGTTCTGTCATCCAGGCTGGAGTGCAATGGTGCATCTTGGCTCACTGCAACCTCTGCCTCCCGGGTTCAAGCAATGCTCCCTACCTCAGCCTCCTGAGTAGTTGGGACTACAGGTGCCTGCCACCACACCCGGCTCATTTTTGTATTTTTAGTAGAGACAGGGTTTTGCCATGTTGACCAGGCTGGTCTCGAACTCCTGACCTCAGGTGATCTGCCCGCCTTGGCCTCCCAAAGTGCTGGGATTACAGGTGTGAGCCACCACACCTGGCCACTGCCTTAATTCTAACGGAACTATCACCTTCCTATTAAAATCATCTCCAATCCATAGGACAGAATTAGTCACTTCTTATCTAAGTGAATAATTTGTACATAACTAATGCATTATGTTGGAATTTTCTAACTTATCTGGCTTCACTCTCCCCCCATCTTCCATTGGAATAAGAATGCTTGAAGGGAAGGGGTGTGTTTCCTCAACGCCTAGGATAAGGCATAAGCCCATCATTACTAAGGAATTACCACGAGGCATTTTAGAATTCTTCAGTAGTTGTTTTGAGAAACCACAAGGCAGCGCTGGGGAATCTGAGATTCCAGCTTGTTCTTCAGCCTTGGGGAGGAAACAGAAAATTTTATGAATGCCACACCTTTCAAGCTCCCTGGAGAAGTCCCCACACTTTCGTCAAGACTGCATAGGATAGTGTGCTGGGTTTTCTGTCTAGTGGCAACTTGGCATCATCTCCCCTTTGAAGCACTCCTTTCTATCACAGGGGCTGGAGGCCTGGGAACTACATTTCCCCAGAATCCCTGCCGATAGGGTTTTTGGTTAAATGTTGCCAGTGAGAGGCACCTGAATAGGGCTTGGAAAATCAAAGATTAACAGAAGCCTTTACTACTCCCAGGACAGTGAAGCAGGTGCAGAAGCTTCAGCAGATGGCAGATACGAGGTTCTGTGAGTGGCTTCCAGGCACCCTTCTGTGAATAATGCCTGCTGGAGACATCTGAGATTACTGTTAGCAGTTTTCTGTTATTCTTGCATTTATTGATTTCTTGAAATGACTTTCTGAACTGATGGCTGATTTCCTGTTGGTCCCCCTTCCCTGGCCCTCCTGATGGGTTTGGAAGGCACTAATTCCCTATGTTAAGTGTCTACTTGAAATACCTAGAGTGGTTTCTCTTCTCCAGATCAAACTGACTGATGTGTATAGTAATTAAGAGCATGAGCTCTGCAGTCAGAAAGCCTGGTTTATTGATTTCTATCCAGATGCTGTACCTCATGCTAGTTGTGTCCTTATGCAAAGAACTTAAAGTTGCTCTGCCTTCTGTTTCCTCATCTGTAAAATGGAAAAACGAGAGTGTTTACCTCCTAGGAATGTTGTAGAAAATGTAGAAAACATTTTATACAGTGTCTGGTATGTAGTAATTAATAAATATTCAGTATTCTAACTGGAATTTTATTACCCATTCCATCTCGTGACAACAACTATGTTACAATTTAAGTCCATTTTTCCTTTTCTTTTTCTTTCTTTTTTTTTGAGACAGAGTCTCACTTTGTTGCCCACGCTGGAGTGCAGTGGTGTGATATCACAGCTCACTGCAGCCTTGACCTCCCAGGCTCAAGTGATCCTCCTGCCTCAGCCCCCCAAGTAGCTGGAACTATAGGTGGCCCACCATGCCTGGCTAATTTTTGTAGGGACGAGAGGTTTTGTTATGTTGCCCAGGCTGGTCTCAAACCCCTGGGCTCAAGTGATCCACCTGCCTCAGCCTCCCAAAGTGCTGGGATTATAGCCATTTACTTTCTCTAACAGAGAAGATAAACTTCTTAATTTCTCGACCACCTCCGACGAGCACATTCTAGGTGCCAGAGATATAAAACTGAAGAAGTCTTCCTTTTCAAGTGTCTCACTGCTTATTGGGAGCAGAAGCAGAAAAGAAAGCCAGCGAGGTGATAAATACTATGGGAGCACAGATGACCATCTTTTTTCCTTGTCAGACAATCCCGGCCCTTTTATTTTTCCTTGTAGTTTTATTCTTCAGTCTGTAGTTCTCTTCTGTATCTCCTACAAGTTCCCCAGTGTCCTTCCAAATTTATAGTCACGTGTGGGACACAGTCCACTCTACAGGCTCTATCGGCATGGACTGTAGGGGGAGAATGACCCGCTTTATGTTGGAAGTCAACAGCTCTGAGAATTAAGGCCTAAGACTCATAACTTAAAGCTTTCTCCACCTAAGCTCATTTAGTCTCTCCTTCCCCAAATGTCTTGAGGAAAAAAGCCATCTGCCTCCTTGTTCAGGACAGCCATGGGGTCATTTAAGACTCATCATGGAATTTTAACAACCTTATCCTACGCTGTGTGGACCAAGATGACCATCTGGCTCCTGTGATTGCAGTGGGGACCACATTGTACCTGGGTATTACAGAGGTGCAGCCATCTCCCCTCCCCCTGCAGCTGTCCAGTTCCTGGAAAACGTGCTCCCAGGACCTTCAGCTGCTTGTGACTAGATGGAGGCTTTCACACTAATCCACTAATCCTCTCTGCCACAAACATCATAAGCAGATCGTATAAACGTGAAGAGGAGAAAAAGACTTCAATGTTCCATATTAAAGAAAAAGCATCCTATGAGCTATTTATTGGCTGGAGATTGGTAGATGATCCTCACACTAAGGCATTTCCATGAATTCATTTTTTTTTTTTTTTGAGACAGGATCTCACTTTGTCATCCAGGCTGGAGTGCAGTGGTGTGATCACAGCTCACTGTAGCCTCAACCTCCTGGTTTCCAGTGATCCTCCCACCTCGGCCTCCCAAAGTGCTGCGATTACAGGCCTGAGCCACCGTGCCCAGCCCATGAATTCAGCTTTAATACTACCACTTTTGCAGCACTTTGCATATTTTCTCTGATACTTCCAGAATTTTTCATTATAAAATGAATCCAGGTGGTTTGAATATAGAAATCAAATAACTCTAATCTCAAAAAAACTCACTATATACCAGGACTTTTTCTTTCTTTCTTTTTTTTTTTTTTGGAGACTGAGTCTTGCTTTATTGCCCAGGCTGAGGTGCAGTGGTGCTATCTTGGCTCACCACAACCTCCGCCTCCCATGTTCAAGTGACTCTCGTGCTTCAGCCTCCCAAGTAGCTGGGATTACAGGTGCCCGCCACCACACCTGGCTAATTTTTGTAATTTTAATAGAGACCGGTTTTCACCATGGTGTGGCCAGGCTGGTCTCAAACTACTGACCTCAAGTGATCTGCCTGCCTCAGACTCCCAAAGTGCTGGGATTACAGGCCTGAGCCACCCCCCTGGCCTTTCTTTTTTAAAAATAGAGTTGAAAATTAGGCCAAGTATATTGAGAGTTCTAAATCCATTGTCAGGTACATACAACTGGCTTTTGCAATGAGAAACCTGATTACCCTGCCAACATGCCTCTCTATACACCAATTACATTCTACTGGGAGTTGTTCAACTCATGGTGACACAGAATGTGTCAAATAATCCATGTAAATTAAGCCTTGCCATATCCATTGCAGAAGAGGGGTGCATTTACTGGGTTGGAAGTGGTGTCACCAGGACCAGTCAAGGCCACTCCTTAAGAAAGGTTCAGCATTTCGTCATGGTTTTATATCAGGTATATTTCGAGTTTATATAAAAAAAGAGTAAAACTGCAGAATCAAGTCCTTTGTTGCCTTCCTAACTTTTTAAACATATTCATCTATTTCTCTTTCAGCTGGAAGAAACGAATCTTAAGTGCAAGAAAAAAAATTCCTGTGAAAAACTCTAAGTGGGAATGTACACTTCTGAGATAGGATCAGACTACAGAATCGTGTTGCTTCTGCTTAGTGCTTAAGAAAATAACCAGGAAAATAACGATCTATTTAGTTACTATCCTGGAAGTCATGGTGTCCATACTGCTAAAGTGGGTCTATTCACTGATGGAGGACAGGAGAGTAGGGATAAAAACAGACAGGATCCAGGCCGGGCATGGTGGCTCAAACCTGTAATCCCAGTAGGCTGTGGGAGGCGGAGGCGGGCGGATCATGAGGTCAGGAGATCGAGACCATCCTGGCTAACACAGTGAAACCCTGTCTCCACTAAAAATACAAAAAAAATTAGCCGGGCTTGGTGGTGGGTGCCTGTGGTCCCAGCTACTCAGGAGGCTGAAGCAGGAGAATGGCATGAACCCAGGAGGTGGAGGTTGCTATGAGCCGAGATTGCGCCACTGCACTCCAGCCTGGGCGACACAGCGAGACTCCATCTAAAAAAGAAAGCAGACAGGATCCCAGTCCAATGCAGACTTTCTGACTTTCCTATTTTAGATGAGTCAAGAGTCCTGATCCACAGTTTCAATTAAAATGACAGAAAGTCAACTGATTTCAGAGCCAACACCAAATAACACTGTGAAGGAAGTTGAGTTTACCTTTGAAAACCCCTACCACTTCAGGTGCACACTCCCTCTCCAGGACTCATACTCCCATGTAGACTATTCCTTTCTGACCAAGGAACTGGAGCTATTCTCATGGTCTGGAATGGGTCTCCTTTCCTGCCTACTTGCTAAAGTGTTTCTCTTCTCAGTCCCATACCCTTTGGATTAGTTGTGAGCCAGCCATATTGCATATTGAAGAGTTGGTAAGATTTGACTCCTTCTAACAGGTTCCCAAGCTCTATTGACCTGTAATTGCAAAAAAATACAAATAAACAAAACCCCAACAGCAACAAAGATCCTGAGGGAGTGACATTAATGGTAGAATTTTTAAGGTACAGCGGTAGCCCCCAAATGGGCCATTTTTCCTTCGTCTAATCTTATTGCATGGCAAATATAGACAGCAGCAGGCATTCCTGACTGAGAACCCTGGTGATGGCCTGATGGAAGCAGAGATGAGACTGTCTGATCCACTCCAGGCAGCATGGTCCCTAAAGGGCCCTCTACAGCTGGGAGCCTACCCTGTTCTGTAATAACAGCACATCAGCAACCTCTATCATTGTGGCAATGGTAATCAATTATTTAAGTCATATTTCATTGATTGCCTTTATGTGCCAGGCATGTTGCCAGCCAATGCAAACCAATGATGAATAAGAAATGGTTCCTCCCTTAGGGAGCTCCAGTCTGGAAGGGAACTCAGGCTCACTGAATTTTCTTATCCAGGCAACAAACTGTCCCAGGATCTTTTAAACAGTTTCCTGAGTGCAATGAGTATGTAACATTAAACTCAGAACAAAGAGAAGGATCTAGGAATGCAATTTCCTATGTGGCCAAGAGATGTGTTCCTACCACAAACGTATTCCTGGCTTCTGAGGCACTTTGATCATTGTCACCCATGCAGCCATTTTTAATAGTAAATAGCTAAATATTCAGAAATAGGCACTTCACAATTATTTATTTGATTTGGGTAGTGTCAGGCTAGGGAAACACTACCAGGACACCAAGACAAGAAGAGAAATGTCCCGGTATGGCAGGGGCCAGATGCGGGAGAAGGAGGACCAGTTTTATCAAATGAGCCAGGTGGGTAATGGGAGTGAGTGGGAGCTTCAAGTCATGGAGAACAGACGGAGTGTTCTAAGAACTCAGCGAGGACACTCTTCAAGCCACGAGGCTGAGCTCCTAGAACTCTAGGAGACAGGAGCTAGAGGAGAGGTGGGCTCTCACTGGCCTGTGGAATAAAGAGGCTGATGAACCTTCCCAAGCGAGGGTCTCATAAGCAGGGAGGAAAGTATGGGGCTTAGAGGGAGAATCAGGCTGGTGGCCAGTCAGCTGTTGTTATTTATAAATATGCTTTTATAGTAGTTTTAGATTTACAGAAAAGTTACCAAGAGAACACAGAGGGTTCTCGAATACTCCGTGTCCAGTTTTCCTTGTCCTTAGGATCTCACAGCAGAATGATACCTTTGTCACAATGAATACACCTATATTGCTATGATAACGTAAGTCCATTTGAAATGGAGTCTTGCTGTCACCCAGGCTGGAGTGCAGCGGCGTGATCTCAGCTTACTGCGACCTCCGCCTCCCAGGTTCAAGCTGTTCTCCTGCCTCAGCTTCCTGAGTAGCTGGAACTACAGGTGCCCGCCACCACGCCCGGCTAATTTTTTGTATTTTTAGTAGAGACAGGGTTTCACCATGTTAGCCAGGATGGTCTTGATCTCCTGACCTCGTGATCCGCCCGCCTCGGCCTCCCAAAATGCTGGGATTACAGGTGTGAGCCACTGCGCCCGGCCCCAGTCATTTATTTCTATCAGTATGGACTCTTGCATGCTTTCTTGCTTTGGATTATAATCCAATACTAGTCAACTGTTCCTGAATCACATATAAGGTACTACACTATAGTGGTGCAGGCACTCTGTACATACAGCAAAGGGGCAGAATTACCATGTGCTGCCCATGGTAGTGATGGACACAAATCAAAGGCTTATCATTACCTGTGCAAAGTGGTTAAAATTCTGGCCAAAAAGACATTTTCAGTCCCAACAATGCAATCAGATGCTTGACCAGCAAAAGCAGTATACTTTCCAAATTATAGGTATCTGCATATCCACACATATACCTTAAAACTACTGGGGGCATTCAATTGCCAAATCAAATGGACACCTTGGTCTCCTTGTCTTGCTTGGTCACTCTGATTTATGTGACATTTCGTGTATTCCTTCATTGAGCTGTTCTTGTGCAGCTTCTCTGATTCTCGAGGCGCTCTTTCTTTTCCTTTGATGATTCTACCCCTTTCTGGCCACCCTTCAGAGCTGCTGTCACCCTAGGATCCAGCCTCAGTTTTCTTCTGAGGTCTCTCATGTCCTCATCCACTCCCAACCATGACATCCATGACTGCTTCCTCCAAGTGCCACCCCCTCAGGCCACTGCGCCTGGGCATCTCTGCACTGTGGCTTCCTGGAGGCTCGAGCTCATATTTTATCTCACGGGCATCTTCAGCATCTAGGAAAATGCCCGGCATGCAATCACCACACAATACATGTTTGTTGAGCCAATAAGTTAATCCCTACTTGGATGTGCCTCCACCTTGACTGGCCTCAAACCAGAACCTATTACCTCCCCACCTGGAATCCAACGAGCACCCACCTGGTCCTCTGCACGTGGGTTTTGACTTCCTCTCTCTCCTCCCTACAGACAACAAAACTCCTAGCAGTGTCCATCTTATTTCTCAAGCTTTTCTTGGAATTCCTCCCTTTCTCCATCCCTTGTGACGCTGCTTCGGTTTACATTTCATTTCTCACTGGCATAACTAACTCCTCTCTTCAGTCCCTTCTCCAGGCTCTATTTCCCACCTTGCTGCAGTCCCCCTATGATTTAAATTCCTAACACTGGCTGCTTCTTAGGGTAGACAAGGCTCTTCATGGTTGGCCTCAGCTGACTGCAGCTGCTGCCTGGTCCCAGCCCTGTAACTCAATACTGGAATGATGCAAAGTCTTTATAGTTCCACTTCTCTGAGTCTCGGCCTGGGCTGCCCTTCCTGCCTGATGCCCTTCTCCCTGTTCTCATTTATTACTCACTCCTCAAAGACCACCCCAAAGGGCACAGCTTTTTGGTGCTCAGTGACCTTATTGAATTACCCTCTGCTGTACCCATGTCTATTAGTGCACTTGCCACTCCACACTGGAATGATTAGTCTTCATGTCTGTCTCATCTGCCTACTCATGTGCTTCTCAGTTGACAGTACTGTCTGAGCCTTACTCCTTTCTGTATCTCCAGTGCCTTGGAGACACAGGTATTTATTTAATTGCAAAAAAAAAAAAAAAAAAAAAAAAAAAGAGCATTCACCCCTTCAAAATAGGAGACAAGACCTGCAAAGAGCACAGTCGATCCACGACTCCAAATGGAATGGAATACATTTAAAATACATCTGGAGTGGGCAGAAAAAGAAAAATGAGCTCAAAATAAGTTATAAAAGCTTACTTTAAAAAACAACACTTAGAGGCCAAGGCAGGTGGATCACCTGAGGTCAGGAGTTCGAGACCAGCATGACCAATATGGTGAGACCCCATCTCTACCAAAAATACAAAAATTAGCTGGGCATGATGGTATGTGCCTGTAGTCCCAGCTACTTGGGAGGCTGGGACAGGAGAATTGCTTGAACCTGGGAGGTGGAGGTTGCAGTGAGCCGAGATCACACGACTGCACTCCAGCCTGGGTGACAGAGCGAGACTCTGTCTCAGAAAACAAACAAACCCCCCCACCCCCAAAAAAACCCCACAACACCTAAATTTATAATAACCACAATCTTTATTATTATTATTATTATTATTATTATTATTATTATTATTATTTGAGACAGTCTCGCTCTGTCGCCCAGGCTGGAGTGCAGTGGCGCGATCTCGGCTCACTGCAAGCTCCGCCTCCCGGGTTCACGCCATTTTCCTGCCTCAGCCTCCCGAGTAGCTGGGACTACAGGCACCCGCCACCACGCCCGGCTAATTTTTTTGTATTTTTAGTAGAGATGGGGTTTCACCGTGTTAGCCAGGATGGTCTCGATCTCCTGACCTCGTGATCCGCCCGCCTCGGCCTCCCAAAGTGCTGGGATTACAGGCGTGAGCCACCACGCTCGGCCAATAACCACAATCTTTAAAGTTCATTGTCTATTAACTTTAAAAACAAAGGAATGGTTGGGCAGATTTGTCTATTATGGAATCAGACCAGCAGCAGGAAGGGCTCAATTGGAAAGTGCTGAGAATCCCACGGCTTCGATCGGTTGTATGGGTGCTTATGAAATAAAAGTTGCAAGAATGAGTGAACATGTACTCCTGTTAGAATCCATGTACGACTTTTTAGCCAGAGCTTCTCCCAGAAAAAATCAGACTTTTCACAAATATATTTTGGTTAAAAGTATACTAACCCAAGGTAAGAATTTTTTTTTTTTCAAAAAAAGAAAATCTAATGTGTATTTTGAAGAGTTTATACTCAGGCATAGTGGAGATCCCTTCTTTCTGTTTTCTTGGTGGGAAAGGCAGAAGCAGAGAGGTCAGGAGAAAGGAGATGGGGACGGATAACAGCATGGTGGGCAGTGCCAGGCATGCTGGGTGTGTTTCTGTTTGAATGTCCAGGCTGTGACAAAGGGAAGTAAGGAATGCATGTTGGAGGGACCCATTTCTCATTTGCCCTCATGTCTAGGGCCCAGAGGACCAGTCACTTAGGACAGCTGAAGCCAAGCAACTGTTGACATTTCTGGCCTTGTCTCCTCTTCTCCCTCACCAAAATGATATTAGCTGGGACTTCCTCACCTCCTATCCACAATGCATTCCCTGTTCCAGAAACATCTCAGGCTGCTGGATTACCAAGGCTGGACCCAAACCAGGCTGTGCTCAGTCACTGCTCATTCCGCCCATGTGGAGGAAAAGGTTCAAGGGGATACTTAGAGTCTCATTTGTTCACTGAGGGCTCCATAATAAAGTTCTGCTAAAAATGCATGTTGCTCCTGAACTCCTGCAGCCTGCGGTTTGGGACAGAGTGTTATTTTGGAGCATTCAGAGTTGCTGATGCTATTGTGCCCTTGTCCCCGCTTGGTGTCCAAACTGGAGCATTTCCTTGCTTTCTTAGAGCTGCCTTCACTTGAGGCCACAAAGGACTCGCACTATTAATGAGCTTGTGCACCAGACCAACTGCTGCCTCATAATCCTCAAAACAACCTAGAGAATTTTTTAGAGGTGAAGAGGCTTTAGTGATTATCAAGACCAGCAGTTTATCAACTTTGGTCTTGTTTTTGGCACCGCAACCTTTTCTTCAAAAGAGTCTTAAGTAAAGTTGTATCACTTATCCTTCCTGTGGGGATAGAGTTGCAAAAATGCAAGTGTCACTCTGATGTCTCTTGAGTCAACTGCTCACCTGCTGTCAGTGACAGGGTGTGGGGTAATGGGATGAGCCCTGCAGAGCCCATGATCATAGGATTAGGTCAGGAGGAAGACGAACTCCAGGAAAAAGCTCCCACAATAGTAGGGCTCTTAGCTAGAAGGTGGAAATTCATTCTAACAGAGGTCTTGTTCACAAGCATATTTAATTAGTGGCAAGAGCCCAGGAAAGGACTAAATTCTTGTAATTTAGGATGGTCTAAAGTATGGAAGGCTTTATGTACATTTCTGAACAGCCTTCTCCCCCTTCTTGGAGGCAGCTGTTTCAAGTAGCGACTGGTGCTCAGCCTCTGGAGCTGGCAGCGGAGCCCGTGGGTGTGGCGAGGTCAGAAGAGCTTTGCTCAAAGCCAGGGTGGGTGTGGCTGCCTCTGCAGCCCTGGCCCACACCCTTCCTCTGTGGACTGAGGCCTCCTCCTGCCCAAATCCAGAGAGGACTCTTAACTCTTCCTCCTGCAAGACTCAGTCCCAAGGCCCAGGAAAGCCCCAGTTGCTAACTCTGATTTGGCCCTTGTTGAGCTCTCCATGGACATGGTGGCCCCTGTGGACAGGGAGACAGGAGAGTGGATTCTGCTCTCCCCCTTCTTCAGCATCACGTTCCTCATTCTCACTCTCTCATCTTATTAATGGCGGCAAGAGTTGGGAAGATGTCACAGCATATGGGGGCAGGAGGCAGGGGCTATGCTTCAGACAGGTGAGTGATTGCAAAGGACAGGCTGATGAAGGGCCTGGAAGAAGGTTAGGAGGGGAGTGGGGAGGGAGCAGTGAGCCTCATCCCATGGTGCTGCATGCTGGGCTCCCACCTGCAATGCCTGGCCTCCTTCCTCTGCCAATTCAAATCCTACACACTTTTGAGAGTCCATCCCAAGTATCACTCCTCTAGAAGTCCACCAGACATTCCTGCCTTCCCCGACCTTCCCTCTTCTCTGAACCCTATGGAGGATATGTTGTCTTGGACTGAGCCCTGGCAGATCTTCCTTCACCAGACTTCTGGACTGAGATGATGCATTAAACTCCTCTGTATCCTCCAGAGAGCCAGGTTATCAGGCACTAACCTAATGCAGAAGGAGGTGACTTAGTCTTAAGCTGTATCAGCTTCCTGAAGGCTCAAGTGCCTTCCTGGGACAGGTGGCTCTGTAGGGCTCTGAGACTCTCTGAACAGGTACCTCTATCACAGCTCCTGTCACCTTATATTGAAGTGACCATTCTCACTCCAGCCTCGCCCTCTGCAGGGCAAACTGCTGCAGTCACCAATCCATACTCCCATATGCATTTTGTTATTTCCAGGGCATTGCATAGAATTAACAGGGCAGGAACTCAACAAATGGACAGATTCCCAACAAACCAAATGGAAATTAAGAGACTACTGTGAAGACACAGAAAAAAGAACTGGCTGATGAATAAGGAGAAGTGGGATTTTAAAAAGTTGTGATGCAAATTCCATTATAAACTGGAATCAAAGTCAGCATTAACTAATAGTAACATTAAAATTATTGCCCCAAAATGGGTAATTTTAAATGTGACTGTACAAGAAAAATCTTATTTTTTCTTGTGTACGTTTAATCAGATTCTTGGAAATAAACTTTCTTTCTACTCTTGGATACTGCAAAAACTGGATATGCCCAAATCTAATTTTCATATGGAAATAGTTGATATACTATTAGGATTTTTAATCTAGTATCACCATTTATAGAAATTTTAAATTTTTTTCTATTAAAGAAAAATGCATAATTTTTTGAGAAGTCTAGATGATTTCAGCCAAAGAAAAATGAAAGAGTTGATGAGTATTAATATAGAAATGGCCTCCTGGATACTGCAATTTGTAAGTCTTAGATTTATGGCCGGTTCCTTAAGAGCAGGGAAATGGCTATTGCATGCTCCCAGGCATGATTCTTTTTATCCAATGATTCTAATACTTTTTCTATCTTTCCCTTATTACCAAAAAATAATGTCATTAAAATCTTTTTTAAGGAATAAAAGTGAAAGCCAGTAGGTTTTGGTTCCTTATTCATACACTCAGGTTTGTAAATAAGAAAAACACCCCAAACACTTCTTTTATTTCCCACTGCATCATTATTTCCAATGTTAAGTTATCCCATCTAAAATCTAGCCTTTTCACTGTAGAAATCCACATTTCTCATTCCTTAATACTTTTTTTTTTTTTGAGACAGAGTCTCACTCTGTCACCCAGGGTGCAGTGCAGCGGCACCATCTCGGCTCACTGCAACCGCTGCCTCCCGGGTTCAAGTGATCCTCCTGCCTCAGCCTCCCGAGTAGCTGGGATTACAGGCATGCACCACCACACTCGGCTAATTTTTGTATTTTTAGTAGTGGCCAGCTGGTCTCGAACTCTTGCTCTCAGGTGATCCGCCTGCCTCGGCCTCCCAAAGTACTGGAATTACAAGTGTGAGCCACCGCGTCTGGCCTCATTCCTTAATCCTTTGTTAGAACTTTCTAGTCAATACATTAGAGATAGGTGCTTTAGACGTTCAAAGGATTTTATGCACATTAAGGTCAAATTCTGACTGAAGGGAAGACCCACTGGGCACTCTTGACCCACTAGCCAGACAACAGGTGTAAAGACAGGGGCACATTTGGTGTGAGCTATGAGCAGTAGGCCACAGTGGCAGGCAGAGGAAGCTGGGTGCCCTAGACATGAGTGAGGGTGCTGGGTGTGTGCTGAGGTCACCCAGGCGCCAGGGAGAAGCCAGGGTGGCTGAGGGCTTTTAAGAACATGGACGCCTACTAATCAGTGTGACATTTTTTGCATTGCTCTCCGTAAGTCCTTTCCCTGTCCCACCCCACACGCTGAATCATTCTCTAGAACAATGTTCTCTAACAGAAATATGTGAGTCGCTATGTAGTTTTAAATTTTCTAGGAGCTATGTTAAAAAAGCCAACAAAAACAAAAACAAAAACAAAAACCCAACGAATTTTTTTGTTTGTTTGTTTTGAGACGGAGTCTTGCTCTGTCACTCAGGCTGGAGTACAGCGGTACATTCTTGGCTCACTGAAACCTCAGCCTCCTGGGTTCAAGCGACTCTCCTGACTCAGCCTCCTAAGTAGCTGGGATTACAGGCGCGTGCCACATCCTGGCTAATTTTTGTATTTTTAGTAGAGACAGGGTTTCACTATGTTCGTCGGGCTAGTCTCAAAATCCTGACCTCGTGATCCACCCATATTGGCCTCCCAGAGTGCTGAGATTACAGGTGTGAGCCACTGTGCCTGGAGTTAATTTTAATAATGATTTAATTATTAATTTAAATAATATAATTAGTAAATTTTAATAATATATTTCACTCAATCCAATATGTTGTCCAAATACTGCCATTTAAACATATGAAAATTACTTATGATACTGCTTACATTATTTTAGTGCAAAGTGTTCACAATCATCTGTGTATTTCATACTTAAGCCTACCTCAGCTCAGACTCCCCATTTCAAGTGTTTGACAGCCGCGTGTGCCTGGTAGTTCCTGGAGTGGACAGCACCAGTGGCCCTGGCTGGGCCAGTCCTTCGTATCTTGGGTGTTTCTGGCCCCACGCTCAGTTCTTCACTGGGCGAGTCTCCCAGGGTGGGACCCTCATATACTCAAGGACTTCACTGCTGACAGCTTGATTCATTTAATTCATTAGCTTCCCAACAACCAGGGGATATACTGCTGGCTCCTACATCTATGGGCACACGTGTATTCTTTTTAGTCGGGTCTCTTGAAATAGCCTGGAAATGTGCCCTTAAACTGCAGGGGAAAAAAATCTGGGAAATGCCTTTTCCTGTAAAAGCTCTGATTTTACATGCATGCCCACAGCCACCACAGTCAGGGCTGCCACACAGGACAGACAGGGAGGGGCCGCCCTTCCCTACTTTGCTGTGTTATAAATGAACATGTTCAGTTCCAACAACCTTAATAAGCAGAAGATTTCTCAAATGCACAACACAGTACTCCATTTCTACTTTTTTATTGGTAAGCGATGGGATTTCATTTGTAATGTATAATTCTGAGAACTCGTGGGCACTTACAAGCACTTTAATGCTCTAAGATGATTGAGGTGATGAAGAGACTGCAATAAAATATCTCTGAAACCAAAGATGATCAATCACAGGGTCGTTTTCCCTAGCCAGAGAGCTCTCTAGAATCTATGAAAAGATTACTTACTGGAAAAATGAAAAAAAAAAAAAAAAAAAAAACCAAAAGAAAAAACCAAAAAAAAAAAAACTAAAAACAAAGCCCCAACCACTCCAACAGGGCTCTTTAACTGAACATTAGTCATCCCTTTCCCAAGAAAGACATTCACTCCTCACAGCCTGACAGCCTCAGACAACAGTTAGCTGTCCAAACCCATTCAGACAAAATTGATTATTTTTTTTTTTCATGAGGGGTGCAGATAAAATTCTCAAATGAATTGCCTGAGAAGTCAGTTTGACATAATATCCCATAAAATCTTTGCTGCTTGGAAGAACTATAAAAAGTTTCATTAACATAGAGCTTCATTCCACTCCAACTCTTTGCACCAACTTCATGGCACGTTAGAGCATCAAGGCTCAGGTGATTTACACACAGGGAGCAGAAATCATTGCATCTCAGCCAAAGAGTGTGCAATTTTAAGTCGGTTTATCTAACACTTCTATTACTCAAACTCTGCATTTAATATTTGCAAAAGGTCTAATGCAGGGTGTGCATCGGCATCCTACACAGTTATATCTGCACCCATGTGGTTTTCTACGAAGAGAAGAGAATCAGGTCAAACTTATTATTACACTTGTATTGCTCTTTCTTCCTTCTGTATTAGACATGGTCTCTGGAAGCCCAGAGCATGGACTAACAAGCTCTGCCACATCTTATAGCACAGCATGTGCTTTCTAACTATGTAATAATGAAATTCTTTTTTTTTTTTCTTCTTTGAGTCAGGCTCTTAATTTGTTGCCCAGGCTGGAGTGCAGTGGCTCACTGCAGCCTCAAACTCCTGGGCTAAAGCGATCCTCCCGCCATAGCCTAGTGTAGCTAGGACTACAGGCACGCGCCACCATGCCCAGCTAATTTTAAAATTTTTTTTGTAGAGATGGAGTCTTGCTATGTTGCCCAGCTTGGTCACCAACTCCTGGCTTCAAGTGATCCTGCTACCTTGGCGTCCCAAAGCACTGAGGTTACAGATGTGAACCAGCATGCCTGGCCTGATGAAATTCTTGATGGCTATAGGCAGGGACCTGCCAGCCTTGCAGTTTCCTTTGCTTTCCTCTTCTATCACCCATTTCTTTCTAAGGGAGTGAGGCCCTTGTCATACCCTGAACGTTTTGAAGGCATCAAGTCTCTTAATCCAACTTCTCTTCCCACCTCGGAATCTCAGTCCAGGGCAAAAAGTCCACCTAGCTCTTGATAAGCAGAGACTAGAAGAAGTAGGAGAAAGCTGGCGAGGGCGTGTTTTACAAGAGTTCCATTCAGTTTCCTGCAGCTTTGAGAATCCTAAATGCCACATGGAGTCCTGCCGCCCATTCAGCTGGGCAGCACGGCAGGTGGGGCGAGATGGCCTTCCTGCCCAAATTCTGCCCAACTTCTGCCCATCACTGTCCTGGGTGTGGGAGATTGGGAGGGTGTGTATGTATGGTTGAGATTGTAGATATCTTACTTTGAAAAGGACTTTCCAACCCAAAGAGCAACTGTGAAGAGTCCAGAGTTTTTACAGAGAAAAAAATGCAAGTTTCAGGACTACAGAGCAAATATAGTGAGGAAGAGCAATTTGTAAAATACTAAACTAGGTTTCTGGACATACCTCTACTGTTAACAGTAATTCTTTATTTAAATAGGCAAGACATTCTGCTCTTGCAGAAAGGCCCTTGCGATCAGAATAAGAGGAAAATAGATCCTGGTAAGGACCCAGGTTCTGAGAACACCTTTTAGGGTCTGACATCTCTGCCAGGTGTGAAGAGCTGAGAATCAGTGGATCTGAGTTCTAGCCCTAGTTCTGGTGTTAACTCCTCAGCCATAACTTCCTTGTGCTTTCTTTACAATGAGGATAATAAAACCAGCTTTGTCTTCTTCACAGGCTATTGCTGAAGACAACATGATATAACAGAATTGGAAGTGCTTTCACAAACATTGTTTTATGAACACAAGGTAAGGTAGTGAACAAATACCTGACTTTGTGAATTTGCATGCTGCCAATATATGCACACCTGCATCATAAGGTCTCATTTATGATGCTCTATGTTTGTTTTTTTTCCTTTAAAAATTTTCTGTGTATTCCCAGCTGTTCAAAATATAATTCCAAGTGTGTATCATCTGTAGAATTGGGCCACTGCAGAGCACTATGTTGTTCCTGAACCTAATCCAAAGTTTCAAGAGCTAGCCCATCTCTGAACTTCCCACCAGCATGAAAACCCTAATCTAATCTGTGCAACAATAATCTCTAGATAGGCATCTCTCACACTTGCTTTTGGAGTACTGTTTTAGTAGCTTACTTGTGTTTTTTAAAGTTCATTTCTCCACCCACAGGATAGCTCCATATCTTCCAGCACCACTAATGAGTAAGTATTAGGGCCAAGCTGGTATCTGCAGAGTGCTGACTGGCCAAGAGTCTGCCTGTGACTCATGCCTTAGGCTGTCCAGCATTGGGGTGCTGGGGGGCTGTAGCCATAACATTTGCAGGATTTGGAAATTCCACCTCAAGCTCCAATCCCAGGGTGTTGATTCTGGCTAACCATGTTTATGCAAAGCAATCCAAGCACTTTGACTCACTTTGGGAATCTGGCATTCTTGGGCTTTTGATATTGAGACAGTGGAACACTTTTGTATCAGTTTAGGTTCTGCCAATAATTGCTATCCATTTAAGCACTTGATTTTTTACATATTTACCAGCAATTTCCAAGGCTTTAATGGATAGAGTTAGCACTCTTCTGCAAGGAGAAATTGCTCCACAGTGCTAATAGTCGTGGATTCACAGGCACTCAGTGAGAATATTTTAGGCATAAGCTTAGTTTTATTATTGTACCTTAGAGAAACCTTGTATTTTTAACTAGGTGGTAACTTTTTACTGTATTAGTTAATCAAAAGAAACATAAATATAACCAAAATGTTATTTTTAGTTTGTACTGGATTCTATAAAAATATGATTACCCATTCTAGCTTTATTTTGATGTTAATATTTACATTTAAATAGAAGAAAAACAGTAAAGGGAGCACATCAATGTAAGAAGTGTATGGCTTTAGTAAAATATATAAGAAACTTTGGTAAACAGGGATTTAAAAAACTCTAATCCCTTCACCAACTCAGAATGCCAGTTCCTTACAAAGCTGCATACCTGAGCAACCACACATGTGGTTTCTGTGGATGAGACATTTAAATGATGCAATCATTTTGGGATAACAGTTATATAATATAAAGGTTTCACATGAGTGTCTAGCTGAAAAACCACTGCGTTTTCCTATGAATGCAAAGAAACCTCTGCTCAGGTGTTGGAAGCTGTGCCTCTCCAGCTGCCTGCCACCTTCCACCCCTTCACCTGTGGCTTCCGCTGGTTTCTGATGGGCACCCTTTGATCACTGGGGTCAGTTCAATTTCCTGGGCCACTGGGTCATGGGCAGGACATGAAAATGTAAGAAGAGGGACCATGCGGTTCACCTAAATGACACTCATTTAATAACAACATCAAAATCCTTGATGTGACAGGACCTATCGCCTGGCATACTAAAAGTGGGGAGAGCAATTCTCTCATCTTCTGCTGTAGTTAATGATATCTTCCTAAACCTGCATTAATCATCAAGTGAACTTCTAGGGATAACGTAACTTCTGGGAGAATTTAAACTGAGATTGAATTTGTATCTCAGACGGTAGTGCCCACAGAGGTGGGCAGTGGCACAGGCTTCCTTCAGCTTGTGTCCCAGGTTTATGGGAGAACTCTTCTCCCTGTCCCTCAATTCACACACAAAAGTGCAAAACAGGATTATGGGCATAGGGCATGGGCAATTTCATCTACAGCAGTGCCGATCTCTGCCTCACTCTTTGAGGTCACCACAATGCTTTCCTTCTGTTCAGAACCATAATGGTTTCTGTGTATCAATTGTTTGTGGGCAACTGCTGAAAGGGAATCGAGGGATAAACATGATTCTAACCAATCGCATTCTGTGGTGTCTATGGGCTTCCACCTGTTAACATGGGAAACTTTCTGAATTTAGGTTCATCCCCATCTTGTGGAATTGGATTTCCACCAAGGGTTCCTGCTCCTCATTTAGCGTGGAAGAAAGTGGATTTTGCAAATAACATTCATGATGTTTTGGGCAGTATCTACTCTGCCTGCAAGGTAAGAATGAGTCTGTGGGAGAACATCCAGCTGCTGCAACTTGCTTCAAAGCCTCCTTTTTTTTTTTTTTTGAGACGAAGTCTCGCTCTGTCGCCCAGGCTGGAGTGCAGTGGTGCGATCTCAGCTCAATGCAACCTCCGCCTGCCGGGTTCATGCGATTCTCCTGCCTCAGCCTCCCAAATAGCTGGGATTATAGGCGTGTGCCACCATGCCCGGCTAATTTTTGTATTTTTGATAGAGACAGGGTTTCACCATCTTGGCCAGGCTGGTCTTGAACTCCTGGCCTTGTGATCCACCTGCCTTGGCCTCCTACAGTGCTGGGATTACAGGCGTGAGCCACCGTGCCTGGCCAAAGCCTCTGTTTTATTGGCTTCTCTTTGGTGCTCAAAATTCCCACGTTCACATTACCTTGTTTATTTGAGGTAAAGGCTTTCATCAAAATCTTCAGTTAAGATAAAAATGGCAGGAAGATAAAGGTGGGGACTTACAAATTACATTCTTAAAAGCCACCCACATTTTGGTTTATATCTCTTATTAAATCTGCAGTACAAATTGGTTTGTCAGCTCTGTTTACCTGAAAGTGTCCTGAGGGAACAGAACACATGGCAGAGAAGCCTGTCTGGCAGAATTAAGGACTAGGAGCTGGGAAGTTCCAGAGCTTAGAACAACGTCCAGAAGACAGACTTGCAATTGTGCTGCAGAAGGACAAACTGTTGCCTGTTGGCAGAAGATGGGGACAGGGGGAAGGAGGAAGCACAGAAGGAGGAACAGAAAGGGCCAAAGACAATGTCTGTCTGTTGTGAGGTCCACTGGGGCTGGCCTTGGTCACCTGCCTGACCTCCTCGGAGTGAGCGTGAGACGGTCACGTGTACTCAGGGATTGAGGAGGCCCAATGCTTTCACACTTCGTAAATTCCCGGGGAACACTCCACACTCATACTGAAAGGGACAGTGTGGCCCTGACTGACAGCATGTCCAGGACCAGAGTACTAGGCATGCTGGACTCCATAGGATTTAGAATGCCACAGTGGCCGGAGCAGCAAGCTGGCACACTGGGTTAGATGGCAAAGTGAGGATGTGTGGGTGTGGACGTGGGTGTGTGCGCAAGGTGGCGGCAGGATAGACTGGTAACACTCACTCCCATGCATTTTCAGCTTAGGCTACAAATGACAAATGGCACACCAAAGTGAGGTGTGGTCGTGCAGACAGAAAAAGCAAGGGCCTCCTAATGCCCAGGAAGCAAAAAGGAAAGAACGTCTCTTCGGTACCTCATGACTTCCTGCTAGAGGCCTGAAGTCACTGGCACACTGGAGGATTCTGTTAGTATTCTCATCAGGTATGCTGTTTATTAGACAGATTAAGACTAAAAGAAAATACACAAAAATAGAAAGCTGCTTCTTTGAGAATGATGAGTATGTTTTCAAAAACTTTAAATTTTAAATATTTATAGATTCACATGAAGGTGTCACAAAATGTACAGGGAAGTCCTGAACACTCTTCACCCAGCCTCTGCCAAGGTTAGTGTCATGAGTAACTGTAGTAAAATGTCGAAACCAGGAAACTGACATTAGAACAATCCACAGAGCTTATTCAGATTTCAACAGTTATGCATGGACTCATTTGTGCATGTGTGTGCACGTAGCTATATGTAATTTTATCACACGTGTAGCTACACGTAACAGTCTACCACAATCAAAGTATTTAACCACACCATCACCACAAACGTCTTTCATGCCAGCCCTGTATAGCCACCCCTCAACCCCAACCCTAACCACAGGTAACCACTGATCTGTTCTCCGTCTCTATAGTTATGCTATTTCACAAAGGTTACATACGTGGAATGTGAAGTATCTATCCTTTTGAAATTGGCTTTTTTTCCACTCAGCATAAATTCCCTGAGATCCATCCAAGTTGTATGTATTAACCGTTCATTCCTTTTATTGCTGGGTAGCATTCAATGGACTTTTAGGTAGTTTCTGGTTCTTGGCTATTGCAAATAAAGCTGCTATGAGCCTTCACGTACAAGTTGCTGTGTGAAAATATATTTTTATTTCTCTGGGATATATGCCCAAGAGTGCAACCGCTGGGTCCATTTTCAGCTATAAAAGGAACTACCAAATTATTTTCTGGAGTGTCTATACCATTTTACATTTTCACCAGCAATATGTTAGTGAGCCAGTTACTCCACATCCTTGCCAGTGTTTGGTGTTATCATTATTTTAGACATTCTGGTAGGTATGTACTGGTATCTCATCTCATTGTGGTTTTAATATGCATTTTCTTTTCTTTTTTGAGACAGAGTCTCACTCTGTCACTCAGCTGGAGTGCAGTGGCGCCATCCCAGCTCACCACAACCTCCGCCTCCCAGGTTCAAGTGATTCTCCTGCCTCAGCCTCCTGAGTAGCTGGGATTACAGGTGTGGGCCACCACACTCAGCTAATTTTTGTATTTTTAGTAGAGACAGGGTTTCACCATGTTAGCCAGGCTGGTCTCGAACCCCTGACTCAAGTGATCTGCCTGCCTCAGCCTCCTGAAGTGCTGGGATTACAGGTGTGAGCCACCATGCCTGGCCTTAAGTTGTATTTGCTAATGGCTAATGAAGTTCAGTATCTTTTCATGTGCTTATTTGCCATCTGTATATTCACTTCAATGAAATGTCTGTGTATGTCTTTCATCCATTGTTGTAACTGGATGGTTTCTTTAATGCTAAGGTCTGGGAGTTCTTTATATATTCCACATACAAGCCCTTTGTTGAATATGTGGTTTACAAATAGTTTCTCCCAGGCCATAATTTCTCTTGACATCCTCTTAGTAGGTCTTTCACAGAGCAAAAGGTTTTTAATATTGATGAAGTCCAATTTACCAGTTTTTCCTTTTATGGATCAAGCTTTTTGTGTCAAGTCAGAGAACTCTTCATCCATTTCCAGGTCCCAAAGATATTTTCTTATGTTTTCATATTAGTTTCCTATTGCTGCTATAAGAAATTACACAAATTTGGTAGCTTAAAACACCACAAGTATATTTACCATTCTGCAGGTGAGAAGTCCAAAATCAGTATCACTGGGCTAACATTAAGATGATGCAGGGCTGTGTTCCTTCTGAGGCCTCTAGGAGAGAATCCATTTCCCTGTTTTTTCCAGTTTCTAGAGGCGGCCTGCCTTTCTGGACTCATGGCCCCTTTTTCCATCTTCAAAGCCAGCAGCATTTCCAAATCTGTCACTGGCTCTGCAAAGTTCCTTCTGCCACGTAAGGTAACACAATCACAGGTTTTGGGGATGAGCATGTGAATGATACGGTGGGGGGCATTATTCTATCACAGTTTTTTTCTAGAAGTTCGAATGCATTTTGAGTTAATTTTTGGATACGATGTGAAGTTTGGATTGAAGTTCATTTTATTTTAGCCTATGAATGTCCGATTGTTTCAACACCATTCATTGAAAACGTTCCACTCCACCAATCTCCGTCTTTTAATTGATGTATTTAGACCATTTACATTAAAAGTAATTATTGACGTGTTAGGATTGAAGTCTGCCATTTTCTTCGTTTACTGTTTTATTCCTTTTGTTTCTCATTTCTCTCTTTTTTTTTTTCTTTTCTTGCCTTCATGTGGGTACTTGAACATTTTTCTTCTTTTTTCTTTTTGTTTAGAGACAGAGTCTCACTCTGTCACCCAGGCTGGAGTGCAGTGGCATGATCATAGCTCACTACATCCTCACACATCTGGCCTCAAGCAATGCTTTTGCCTTGGCCTCCCAGAGCACTGGGATTACAGGCATGAGTCACTGCAACTGGCCTTGAACATTTCTTAGAGTTGCATTTTGATTTACTTATAATGTTTCTGAGTACACTGCTTTGTACACAGTTTCCTTAGGGGTTGTTCTAAGTATTGCCATACACATAGGTAACTTATCACAGCTTACTGGTGTCAATGTTTTACCACTTCCAGTGAGGTGTAGAGACCTTACCTCCATTTAGATCTCTGTATCCCCTCCAGTTTTAAAATACAATTATCTTAAGTATTTCTTCCACATGCACTGACCAGCACCATCAGATGTCATTATAACTTCTGCATCACCATTTCTTTCATATGATGAAAGAAGCTCATGAGATAAAGAATAGTCTAGTATGTTTACTTCTATTTTTACTCATCCTGTTCTCCCTGCTCTGAAAATCTCAGCTTTGGGCTTTTACCATTTTCTTTCTGGTGGAGAAGTTCCTTTAGCTATTCTTTAAGGGTAGATCTACTAGAAACAAGTTCTCTTAGTTTTCCTGCAGCCATGCTGGAGACCTGCATGCCTTAAAGTCATCAGTGGCTGAGCCTCCTGGAAGACCTAGCACTACCCACGTGGCACTCTGTAGACACTAACATGTGCCACTTCAGCTCCTGGCACCCTGATAATGGCCAACACCAGGTGGCAAGGTGCAGGCTAGGCTCCCCTTGCCCACTCTTGGTCTTGGGCCCAAGGAAATTAGAGTTGAGGCCTATTCTCAAGAGAGACAGATCCCTTAGGAGGTCAATCAAGGATAGCAGTGCCGTGAAAACTATCTTCAATAGCTCAGCTGGGTCAGAACAGTGTTCTAGAAGTTTGAGTCTAAAATATGTGAGCCCTGAAATCCTTCAACTTCTAGGGTGACCTTGAGGTGTCAGAGCTATTCCTATATCCAGTAATACTCTATTGGCACAGGCCCCAGGCCTGAAGGTACCACATATAACACACCCTCATTCATGACCAGGGGTGTACCTTACAGGAACAAGAATATAACCATTCATTAGGGCTCAGACCTCAGATGTCAAAAACTCTTAGCAGAAGGATTGGCTAAGAGCTCCAGGAAGACATCAGAGTTAGAGATCTCGATCTGGGAGGCATCTGGACAGAGATGAAAATTGCAGCTATAGGAATGCATGAGATCACCATGAGAAGAAGGTAGAGGAAAAAAACCAAAACAGACCCAAGGCTGAACCCTGGTAGGAATATCAAGAGGATATAGTAGGATGGCAGCAAAGAATAGACGGTTCGAAGAAGGCCTTGTCAATGGGGTTCCATGCTGCAAAGAGGTCAAGGAAGTTAAAGACTGGGAAGATGTCAGAGGCTTGGCCCAGGGGCAACTAAACCATGGAGGCCCACAATGCACAGATGCTGGGAACCAGCTGTGAGGGAGGAAGGGCTGGTGAGAAATTAAAGGATGGGAAAGGAGAGAGTGCTCAGTAGTCACAATGGTTGATGGATTTGCCTGTGTTTGTATTGTTTGGGAAAATATGGAAATGTTATAAGCCTGAGTAGGAAGAACAATTAAGAAAACAACAAGAGAGGGGCTGGGAGAGGAGGGGGAGAGAAAGAATGAGGTCAACGGCACCAGAGGAGAAAAGGATCAGGCATTTCTTCCTGAAATGGGAGAGAAGCAGGCATGAATCAAGCTAGAAATAAGTTTAAGGTGAAAAAAAAATAGAAATTTAGGATGCTGCTCCAAATGAACTACACAGCTGACTAGCTTATTTTTCTTTTGCATTAAAAAACCTTTGGGTTGGCTGGGCATGGTGGCTCACGTCTGCATTCCCAGCACTTTGGGAGGCCAAGGTGGGTGGATCACCTGAGGTCACGAGTTTGAGATCAGCCTGGCCAACATGGTGAAACCCTGTCTCTACTAAAAATACAAAAATTAGCAGGGCATGGTGACGGGCACCTGTAATGCCAGTTACTCAGGAGGCTGAGGCAGGAGGATCACTTGAACCCAGGAGGCGGAGGTTGCAGTGAGCCGAGATCGTGTCATTGTACTCCAGCCTGGGTGACAAGAGCAAAACTGCGCCTCAAAAAAAAAAAAAAAAAAAAAAAAAACACGCCCTTTGGGTTGCTGAAATTAATGTGATCCTGTTGGGGCAATGGTGGTTTCCAAATCTGACCAAACATCAAAATCGATTAAGAAACTTTGCAAAAATACAGCTTCCCAGGCCCCAACCCAGCCACACTTAAGCAGAATCCCTGGTAGAGGGGGCCCAGGAAGCAGCATTTTAAAGTTTCTTCAGTGATTTAGAGGGTTAAACCAGGTTTGGGACCTCTCGAGTTACGATGTTCAACCATGTATGTATATTAGAATCATAAGGCAGGTATTGGTAGACCCAGACTCTCCAGATTACAGGTATTAATATTTTTAAAAAGCTCCACAAGTGCTCTGATGTACACCCTGGTTATAAACCATAGTCAGGGGACTGGTTTGGAAAAATAAACTATCTGGATAGGATACTTGACTTTACCATACCGATTGGTCCTCTGTCATTCAGATTGCCTGACAATTAACTTTACACTTTTCTCCTATTAAAACAGCACCTGCTTCTATCCGGGCTGTCACTGGTGGGCTGATGGTTCCCTGTGGCTTCTCAGCGGATTTCTCCAGGCAGCCAGGCTTGTGGGCTTACCATCTCTGGCCCTCTGGAAAGAGCCTGGCTTTGGAAGTTTTTGTAGTATCTTTAATGTAAAGTATACAAAATTTCATTGTTCTTTATCTGAACTAACCACACAATGCACCTTATAAAAGAAACAGTAAGACACAGAATGGAGGAAGGACTATAGAAAAGGCAATAATAGTTCATATTTCACTGATTAGAAAAAAATATTATCAGGCAGACCCATAATTAATTTGGTGAGAAAATTCCTTGCACCATTAGGCCGATTTTTTGTTTTAAAGCAGCAGTAACATCACCAAACAACTACAGAAATGAGAGTCTCGCATATAGCTGTTTGGCTTTGAGGGAAGCTGTAAGCCCAGCCCTCTAAATGCCTCTCAAAGAAATACAAATTCTTCTTTTATCTAAAATGATGGTGTGATCCAATTCCTGCTCCAGCAGCCCCAACATATCATCTGTTGGACTCTTTAAAGTTTACGGCACAGACAGAAACTGTCAGTTCCTCTCCTCTTTTATAGGACATTCACATTTGCATATTCAGCAGACAGCACAAGCCTCAAAGGCCATATTCCCCAGAATGTAATCATCCTACTTTTGAAATACCGAAGATATAATAGTACAATGAAAATATTCTTACCCCGATGAAGGCTGGCTCCAGTTGTGGCTTAGCAAGTCAAAAACTAGTAAACTTGCCTGTAACAACATCCTAAAATTCCAAAGGTTATTCTTCCCCATCCACAGTTAAAAAGCCATCTCCTACAGAACAGTGTCATATCTGTGACATGTCCAAGATTAAAGGAAGAGCCTTCTTGCTTTTAGTAATTTGTCTGGTTAGAGATTAAAGAAAAAAAAATCAATCTTGAAGCTGTCAGTTAATATTTTTAAATTAAAAAAGCCATCTTCATGCTTCATGGGAGAAATGTGTGATTTTTAAACAGAGGTAAATTCCTCTTCGTATCAAGTATCAGATAATTTTTTTGCATTTCAGCACGAGGCAAACAAACAAAAGGTTATCCACGAAGTTTCAAACGCGTCTTAGTAACATAAACTGAAGTTAGGTAGCCTTCTTTGATATTGAATTACCAAAGTATCTCGCTGAAAAAAAAATCCCCCTTGCAATTAATAAACAAGTTGTGGTATTTTAACAAAGTTCCAAAGCTAAGAATCTTCACATTCCAAATCTTTCCATTCCTGGAAGAGCTTTGGTATTTAGATGTTAATAGGATGCCTGCCTTTTTTTTTTTTTTCTTTTTTTGGCCAATCTTCAGGCTAAAGAGTCTGTGAAGCAGACTTTTTCCATCCTATGACCTCAGTTTTAGGATTTCTTTCTTGCAAAATTTAGTTATTTTGGTTGGCAGATTGCCAGAATTCATTCTTATTTTCTTTCTCCTTCTGGTACTTTCTCCCTTTACCCCCTTCTGTTTCTCTCCCTTCTTCACCTATCTTGTATTATTCTCTGAATTGAATTAAGAATTTAAAGT
This sequence comes from Homo sapiens, assembly GCF_000001405.40. Classification (NCBI taxonomy): domain Eukaryota; kingdom Metazoa; phylum Chordata; class Mammalia; order Primates; family Hominidae; genus Homo; species Homo sapiens. The sequence continues at coordinate 99,707,948 of NC_000002.12, forward strand.
CCGGTTGGTGGACTGGACTACAGTCTCTATGATGTTTGGTAGGGTTGTTAGAATTAGCAAATGAAAATACAGGATGCCTAGTTAAATTTGAATTTCAGGTAAACAACAAACAAATTTTTAGCATAAGTATGTCCCAAATATTGCATGAGACACATTTACACTACAAATTATTTTCAAGTATTGCATGGGACATACATATTGTAAAAAATTACTGTTTATCTGAAATTCAAATTTAACTGGGCGTCTTATATTTTATCTGGCAACACTACTTTGGAGGTTCAATGGAAGGGATTTTAAAAAAAACAAAGGCATCCATTTACAACTCCTGGAAGAAGAGAAATTTCCACTCCTATCCTCTTGAACGCTTTTTGTCTAGATGTAATGTTCTTGATTACCTCATTTTAGTTTATTTTTGACCCAGTAAGTTGTACTAAAAGCTCCACAGAGCATGTCACATCCTTATATTAAAGAAGTCCATCCCAGGTTTCAGGTCTCACTCGGTGTCAGGCCAGGCCAGAGCTTGCAAAATTGGTCCCCCAGGCAACATGGGACCTTGGCGCAGTAACAGAACAATGCAAATGCTCCAGTTTTAATTTTTTCCTTCAAAATCTGAACACCAAATTTAGTACTTTTGAAGGCACTGATATAGTTTTCTCTCCTCAGTGCTCACTTTGGGGCAATTTAGCATGATTAGTAATAGTGATTATTAGAAAACCCAATAGAATTCACATGAATGTTGAAATGTAATAAAATGATCACTTTTTGGGCATTTTGAAAGGGCAGATAAAAATATTGATATGCTTCTGACATTTAAAGATAAGATGAAGATCTTAATTACATTAATTATTAATTCAGGTGTATTTCTGAACATCTAAAGAAACCCAGGAGGGCGACACATAATTCCAAAATGCCGTTCTCTTATTTAGAGACACATTGATATTCAGTATTTTGGAACTATTTTGAAGTTTAATAGCTGAAATGGAGGCTGTACTTTAAATTCTTAAACTGGACTTTAAATTCTTAATTCAATTCAAAGAATAATACAAGATAGGTGAAGAAGGAAGAGAAACAGAAGGGGGTAAAGGGAGAAAGTACCAGAAGGAGAAACAAAATAATCACACAGAGGTGTGAGAAAAAGTATGGGCTCTAGGCGGGTGCAGAGTCAGGTGCTCTAGCACCTGTTTGTGAACCCAGCTACTCAGGAGGCTGAGCAGGGAGGATCACTTAAGCCCAGGAGTTCAAGGCCAGCCCAGGCAAATAGGGAGATCTCTTTTTTGAAAAAAGTATGAGTTCAGGAGTCAAACTGGGTTCAAACCCTAGCTCTGTCACAAACTAGCTGTGTGAGGCTGGTCCAGTTTCCTAACCTTTCTGTGCACATATTCCTTATCTGAAAATGGGGATAACCACCCCAGAGAGCCGTAAGAGTATGAGACAAGCACTCAGAACAGTGCCAAGAACACAGTAAATGCTCAGTAAGTTTTAGGGGTGAAGATCACGTGATCTAGCCCAAACTATCAATAGAAAGATAAAACTCACCAAGTCAGAGAATGTCTCCACTTTGATAACTGGGTCATGAGAGAAAAGATTTTTCTCTTGCAGTCAAATGGGTATTTTAAAAAAATTATAAATAGCAATATTTTATGTATTTACTCATTAAAAAGAAACTTCTCTTTATTTTCAGAGGATACAACTTCCAAGGTTGTGTGAAATTAGCATGATACTACTGTTCCAAGAAGTGAAGCTATATGGTTATCAGTTCTATCCAACTACTGGTTATTCTTGTTTCACCCTACTTATTATTCTATTTACTCCCAGAAACTCCACAAGCAAATAAATGACACTCTTTCTCATCCCTACCCCCAAAGCCAATTAATCGAACTTGATCGTCTAGCTTTACTGTTAAGCAGATTTTCAAATGAAATAGTCCCAAATCACTGGGTTTCCAGCCATCTGGAAACCACTTTGAACTTCATTTGTTTATCCATGTTTTTAATGCAGCTCAGGTGTCTGTAGTCTGAGGCAGTGAGGAAAACAAGTGCTTCTGAGTCAAACACCTCTGGGGTAAAATCCTGGCTTGGCCATGCTGCCTACCTGGGTGAGCTCTCTCTGCCTTGGTTTCTTATCTATACAATGGGATATTCTAATGTTGTCTCCTTTCTGAGTTGCTATAAAGATTCGAAGAGCTGATTCATGTATAGGGTGATCCTATGTTTCAGCTTACACTTATTGTCCCTGCAGAATTGTTACACTATTACCCTTATTTTTATAAAGTATTTAATACAGAGCCTGGCACACAGTATTCAGTATTTGTTTTTTGTTTCTTTTTTTGAGACAGAGTCTCTATTGTCCAGGCTGGAGTGCAGTGTTGCGATCTTGGGTCATTGCAACCTCTGCTTCCCCAGTTCAAGGGATTATCATGCCTCAGCTTCTTCCCAAGTAGCTGGGATTACAGGCGTGCGCTACCATGCCCGACTAATTTTTGTATTTTTAGTAGAGATGGGGTTTCACCATGTTGGTAAAGTTGGTCTCGAACTCCTGACCTCAAGTGATCAGCCTTCCAAAGTGTTGGTATTACAGGTGTGAGGCACTGTGCCTGGCCAGTATTCAGTATTTGTTACCTCTTAATCATGATATACCAACACCTGCAGTATTCTAACTAAATCCTTGAAATCCCATGGAATCCTTATTTTTAAAGCAAGAATAGCCTTTTTTGACACAAAAAGGTGAGTGCCTGCCTGAATGTGAAAGTTTGGTCACCTGCCCATTATCTCCACATTCCCTGTCCCTTTGGATATTTCAGTCATTTAAGAAGTTAAAAGTGGGGGTGGAATTCTCTGCGGTAGAACCTTGGAGGCAGAGGCTAACATATTTTACATGCTTTGGCAGGATCATGTGAGCACAGCTTTACTAAAATACACTCTGCCAACAGCAGAAGGCCCTCTGAGGTGAGCAGGTGGGACGAGGCTGGGAAGCTGTCACTTGACTTCTGCCAGCTACTCGGAATGTCAGATGAATCCCAGACTGCAGCCCCTGCGGTTTCCAAGGCCCCCATCACTGCACAGAAATACCAGGCTCACTCAGCGACAGGAGCCAGGCTTCCTCCTGTCGCTCCTCCCCAGCCTCCTCACAGCCTCAAGATGCAATTCTCTTGACAGTAGGGAGGGAGGGCAGATATTAAGGGCTTTTAGGGAAATACCAGCCCTTTCTTCAGAAATGGGGTTTCTTCCTTAACATCTCTCCCGTTTCATGTGCCCTCTGTGCCAGGCCGCGTGTGGTGTCTCCAAGAGGATCTGGAGCAGGCGGACCCAGTCGGAATCTTGGCTCTGCGGCTCATGACTGCAAACCCCTCCAGGAGCCAACTCACTTCTCTGAGACCTCGTTTTTCTCTTCTGTAATATGAGATGTAATAATGTAATAATACATCTCATTGGATTGTTATGAGGATTAAATGAGACAACATGTCCAGTAGACTGCCTGGTACAAAATAGGCATCTAAGGCATGCCAAGTATCTTTATGGTCCCAGGCTGCCTGAGAAGGGGTCAGCATTAGAGGCATGCGGGTGCAAAGAGAACCTGCGATCTAGGGGTGGAAGGTGGGCGGGCTTCAGTGTGCAAATATGCAAGCTTGGCATTTAGGAGGTTTTACATCTCAACTAGAATCCAAGGAAGAGGGAGAACAAATCCAGCTGATGGTATTTCTGAAAGAAGACGCACAGCGAATGTATGTGTTCCAGCCATCCTTTGTAGTATCCTGCATTCCTTCATTTATTCATACTGTACTTGCTTATTGAATAAGTACTATGTTCTCAATGCTAGAAACACTTCAACACAAGAGCATGAAGATTCATTAAAGATAACATTGGGAGGAAGCACAGGCAGTCTGTTAATGTCAGGCAATATTTATTGATTGCTTGCTGCAGTCAATAAATATGGTAATACCAGCCACAATCTCCCACAGCCCGGGCGACTCCTCAGAAAAACGTTGGCACCTGTTAAAGCCACAGTGAGTATGGAGTAGCTGAAGTTTCTTAACTCATGTCTCTGTGGACTGAAGAGCTCATTGCAAAAGGGCCAAACTCGCTTCCAGAGACTGTTCCCCACCTTAATCATAACTGAAGTAAACCATTGCTTATGTGGTCTAACTGGAGTCACTGAAAACTTCCCTTCTCCCATGACATATATTCCAAATGCCTACTTGTTGAACCTATGAATGGGTCCTAAAATATTCTGGGTTGTCAGTTCTTTGGGTTAAAACTTTCCTAGGTCCTACTGGAATGCTCTTGGGTTCTCCAAGGGGAATACTTCAGGGAGCCATATATTCTAGTCGCCTCTTGGCAGCGTGCACCAGAGGAAAGGCCTGTGTAGGAAGACACTCACTGGCTGAGCTCTTTCAGCCTCAGTTTCCTCATCTGTAAATTGAGGAAAGACGAGCCCAGCTTTCAGAGCTACTGGGAAGACTGAAGAGATCATTTACACAAAGTGACTAGGCCAGGGCTAGAAACATGGCAGGGGCCCAGTGCATGCCATTTCCTTCTCCTTCCTCACTCCTTTGGCACAAAGCATCTCAGAAGTTGGTCAGTAACCTCTACTGTGTTTTGTGAACAGGGGCTGACAAAAGTGAACATGTGCAATTGTGACCTGCATTTAAAAAGATGAGGAATAGAAAATGTCAGAGTAATGGTAGGTGATCTTTGCGACACTTTTGCTTCAGTACACACATTCACAAAGGATACGGTATAAAATGTACTTCTGACTGTGTAGGTTATAGTCATAAAGTTTTGAGGTGGGTATATACCCCCAAAAATTAAGAACAGGGGCTCAAAGAGATAATGTAAACCCACGTTCCTGGCAGCCTTATTCACAATGGCCAAAAGGTGGAGCCAACCCAAGTGTCCATTGACGGATAAATGGATAAACAAAATGTGGTCTGTACATATAATGGAATATTACTCAGCCTTAAAAAGGAAGAAAATTCTGACACATGCTGCAACATGGATGAACCCTGTGGACATTACACTTTGGAAAATAAGCCAGACACGCAAGGACAAATACTGTATGATTCCACTTATATGAGGTCCCCAGAGTAGTCAAATGTAAAGAGACAGCAATGGTGATTACCAGAAATGGGGAGGAGCAGGGAACAGGGAGTTATTGTTTAATGGGCACAGAGTTTCAGTTTGGGAAGATAAAAAGAGTTCTAAGGAGAGGGTGGTGACGGCCGCTCAACATGTAAATGTATTAATCCTTGATGCCACTGAACTGCACACTTGAAAATGGTTAAGATGGTACATTTTATGTTATGTGTATTCTGCCAGAGTTAATTTTTTTTTTTTTTTTTTTGAGACAGAGTCTCGCTCTGTCGCTAGGCTGCAGTGCAGTGGCACAATCTCGGCTCACTGCAACCTCTGACTCCCTGGTTCAAGCGATTCTCCTGCCTCAGCCTCCCGAGTAGCTGGGATTACAGGCACGTGCCACCACGCTCAGCTAATTTTTGTATTTTTAGTAGAGATGGGGTTTCACCCTGTTGGCCAGGTTGGTCTCAATCTCCTGACCTCATGATCCGCCCGCCTCAGCCTCCCAAAGTGCTAGGATTACAGACAATTAAAATTTTAAAAAATTAAATTAAAAAATATTTGAGGAACCTTGACCTAGATAACCCCCCGAGGAAAGGTACATTTGGAAGGAGCCTGGGTGTAGAAGACAAAGGGTGGGCCCTGGGCAATTAAACAGGAGACAGGGGAATATAGACTCCCTATTTTTTTTTTTTCTAGAGAGAGTCTTGTTCTGTTGCTCTGGCTAGAGTGGCAATGGTGTGACCTCAGCTCACTGCAGCCTCTACCTCCCAGGTTCAAGCAATTCTCCTGCCTCAGCCTCCTGAGTAGCTGGGATTACAGGCGCCCGCTACCATGCCCGGCTAATTTTCTTGTATTTTTAGTAGAGATGGGGTTTCACCATGTTGGCGAGGCTGGTCTTGAACTCCTGACCTCAGGTGATCTGCCTGCCTCAGCCTCCCAAAGTGCTGGGATTACAGGGGTGAGCCACCATGCCCAGCCAGACTCCCTAATTTTATAAACTCTCTTTTACGACCTCTGGGAACCCGGACCTTCCAATGTCGTGCCAGAACACAGAAAATGGGGTTCGCAGTCTTTTTCTATGATGGTATCATTTCCAACAGACATTCCTGTGTTTTAGTGTTTTATTCTGAGAGCAAAACAAATACAACAGCAATGCCTAATCGCCCTCTCAGGTGAAACTGACCTTTCCTCCTCACCTCTTCTCCTTCAGTAACTCTCCCCAGCCCAAAGCTGACTCCTTGGTAGGCAAAGGCTGGTCAGTCTTCCTTCCTTATTCACTGAATAAGCCATGCCCCTTTGCAGGCCTCCAGTCTAATTTGTGATTCTAACTAATGAGGTGGGGTCTGAGGAACTTGAAGAGGCCCTTTCTATTTTATTTTTTATTCTTGGTTTCCAATAGTTGGAGAAACAGGATCTGGCCAACTTTCTCTAGACAAAGGCTGTATGCTAGGTTTTTCATTTTCTTAGCTGAAATGATTGTGGCAAATCACTTAAACAGATACAAAAAGGAGGTCTCTGTGGACGGACACCTCATAGACTAAAAGATCAGCCACAGTTCATCATTTTAGACATATATTGCTAGAGCCAAAATAAGTATCAGGAAGGTTTCAAGTTTCTCTGGAAAAGAAAATCTTTTGGTAACAATTCTCAAATCGACCTTGATCTCTCAACTTCCAGACACTACTCTATGATCAGTTTGTGTAACCTTATTGTTAAATGCACTTGCATAAATGATAGATTTCTTTATATGTTTAGCACACAATTGTTCCTCTGTATTTTTTCCCTCCATATTTAATGTTTTCTAAGATAGTGCTACAATGAGCTAATTAAAAAATTTTAATGAATATTATATCAATGCAGGGACACTGACATGAACATGTTGCACTTTGCATGTTTCTATATGACTCCAAGTTGCACATTATGTACCTGAAAGAGCCTCTGGGCATCATCCAGACCTGCTCCACCAATCTGTGGTGCTCACGTCTTCCAAGACATTTTGAAATAGAAGTCAGTGGTGGAGGTGAATTCTTCAGCCTCCTGCAGGACCTGCATCCTTCACTCTGGGGAGAGGTAAAGCCACACGCTTCTTGCTGATGGTCCTACTCTTGGAGAAGGTCCTGTCCTTGGAGAAGAGCTCACTCTGGCTGGCATCTCTGGAGTAGACCACTCAGTCTTTCTCCTCCTCAGCCCTAGCTTCATGAGATCTTTTAAAACTTTCTATTAATTTTTGTTTTTACCACCCTTAACATCTTCTTAGTTTTCCACGTTTTAGTTTTAAAAAAGAAGAGAAAAATTCTAGTAAAGCTCTGATCAGTATCAACTGCAGACACGAGGCTGTTTTATAGCTTTTATAAGTTATGAATATTGTTATAACAGGAGGAACAATGATTTATTTAGTGCCTATTACGAAACAGGCACTTTCCATATATGAATTCCAACTAATATATTAATTTTTGAAGAAGGAACATTTCATGGGTCTGAGCTTATAACAGTTATAAGACTTATAATGCGGTCTGAGCTTATAATAGTTTCCAAGTCTTTTACTGTACACCTGGCTGGATCATTTTCCTTCTGCCTCATTTTGTTTATTTTTTCCTCCGAGGAGTTCAACACTCTCTGTTTATTTCTGATTTATGTAGGTCATTTCAAATCTTTTTTTTTTTTTTTGAGATGGAGTCTCACTGTGTCACCCAGGCTGGAGTGCAGTGGTGTGATTTCAGCTCACTGCAAGCTCCGCCTCCCAGGTTCACGCCGTTCTTCTGCCTCAGCCTCCCGAGTAGCTGGGACTACAGGTACATGCCACCATGCCCGGCTAATTTTTTTGTATTTTTAGTAGAGACAGGGTTTCACCGTGTTAGCCAGGATGGTCTCGATCTCCTGACCTCGTGATCCGCCTGCCTCGGCCTCCCAAAGTGCTGGGATTACAGGTGTGAGCCACTGCGCTCAGCCTCAAATCTTCATTTATTCTTTAAGGCTACAGTTACTTTGTACGATTGAGGGTTATCTACAAATGTAGAAGGATATGCTCTTGGGATCTGTCTACAAGCCTGTGTAATTGACCCTTGACTTGAGAGTGGATTTTCAGTGGTGGTAAATGTGGATTGAGCAAGCACAGTGATCCTGCCAAATTGTGGCCTTCATGGAATCTTGGAAATCTTCATCTGCTCATTATTCCTAGAATTTTTCTAGTATAGGCAACAGTCTAGCAGGATGTTGACCTACTGCTTTTCAGGCATTATTTCAATTACTTGATCTTCTTGAGATGGTTATTGTCTCTAGAGAAACAATATAAGAGCTCTGGGATAGTAGCAGAATGGGACAGTGGTTAAGAGCTTGGCTTCTAGGATCTGAATCTTGGGTTCAAATCTTGGCTTTGCCACTTTAAGTTAATAAACACAGGGACATTAGTTCGCCTCTTTCTACTGGTAAAACAGGAGTATTACTGGATTGCTGTAAGGGTTAGAGAGGATAACACATGTCAAGTGCCAAGAGTTGTACCTTGTTAAGGTAAGTGTTCAAAACAGGTTAATTATTATCAGGTAAAAAAGCTGTCACATAACTATATATATATATATATAGGCTGGGTGTGGTGGCTCATGTCTGTAATCCCAGCACTTTGGGAGGCCAAGGTGGGCGGATCACTAGATCAGGAGTTCGAGACCAGCCTGGCCAACATGGTGAAACCCCATCTCTACTAAAAATACAAAAATTATCTGGGCGTTGTGGTGCTTCCCTGTAATCGCAGCTACTTTGGGGGGGCTGAGGCAGGAGAATCGTTTGAACCCAGGAGGCAGAGGCTGCAGTGAGCTGAGATCACACCACTGCACTCCAGCCTGGGTGACAGAGTGAGACTCCGTCTCAAAAAAAAAATATATATATATATATCCCATCATGGCAACTCCCAATCAATCCCCAGCCTCTCACAGCAACCCCTGTTGCCTTTTTCTTGAACTTCACATAAAGCAAATTTTACAGTATACACTCTTATGTGTCTGGCTTCTTTCATTTAACATAAGCTTCTGTGATTGATCCATGCTATAGCGTGAGCAGTTTGTTGCTATTTGATTAGAAGTATTCCATTGTATGAATATACCACAACTGTTTATTCACGAGTTGATGGACATTGGGGTTCAGTTTTGCACAGTTATGAATCAAGTAGCTACGAATATTCTTGCACGAATCTTTTTAATGAATATGTTTTTCATTTTTCTTGTACTAATGCCTACAAATGCAATGGCTAGGTCATGCAATAAATGTGTGTTCATTTATAAGAAACAAACAGTTTTCAAAAATTGTTAGGCCATTTTACACTCCTACTAGCAACGCATGAGAGTTTAAATTGCTCCATACACTTACCATGATTTAGTGGTATTGGTATTTTTAATTTGAGCCATTCTAGTGGGTGTATACTGGTATCTCATTGTGGCTTTAATTTGTATTTCCCTAAAATAAACGTTATTAGTGAAAAGCACCTTTTCATCTGCTTATTGGCCAATTTGTGTATCTTCTTTTGTCTGTTCAAAGCTTTTGTCCATTTAAGAAATTTATAATTTTGTCATTGAATTGTCAGAATATCTTATATATTCTAGACACAAATTATTTGTCAGATACACGTATTGCGAATATATTCTCCCGGTTCGCAGCTTGACTTTTCATTTTGATGAGCAGTTATCTTTAAATTTTGATGAAGTCCAATCCATTAGAACTTTCTTTCATGTTGTGTGGTTTTGTGACCTCTGTAAGACATCTCTGTCTGTTCCTAGTTGTAAAGATACTGTCTTCTGTTTTCCTCTAGAAACTTTGTTGTTTTAGCGTTTATATTGAGATCTGTGCTCCCTCTCAATTGTGTGTGGTATGAGATTCATTTTTCCCCTGAGAAGTTGCTCTGGCATCATTTGTTGAAAAGACCCGGCTTTCCCCACTGGACTGCTTTGGTGTCTCTGAGGAAAATCAAATGACCATATCCATATGGATCCACTTCTAGACTATTTTTTCTATTGATTTATTTGTCTGCCCTTATATCAGTGCCACACTGTCTTAAATTACTTTAGTTTTACAGTAAGTCTTGAAGTCAGGTACTGTAAGGCCTCTAACTCTGTTGTTCTTAAAGACTGTTTTGGCTACCTCTTTTGGTTTTCTATAAAGATTTTAGAATCTGTAAAACCATTTTCTATAAAAATGTCCTGCAGGTCTTTTGATCAAGATTGTGTTGAATCTATAGATCAAGATGAGAAAAATCGAGATGTCAACACTATCAAGTTTTCCAATTCATGAACGTCTCTCCATTTAGTTAGGTTTTAAATTTCTCTCAAAGATGTTTTGTAATTTTCATTATACAAGTCTTACACTTCTTTGGCTACATTTACTCAGTTTTTATGTTTTTTATGTCAGTTTAAATGGAATTGCTTTTTAAATCTCATTTTCCAATTGTTTATTGTTGATAAATGGAAACACAATAGATTTTTGGTTATTGACCTTTATAAGTTTACTTACTGATTCTAGTACTTGTTTAGTAGTAGTCCTTAGATTCTTAGGACTTTGTCCATAAACAGTAATTATTTTCAATCTTTATGTCTACTACTTCCTTTCCTTGCCTTATTGCCTGACCAAAACCTCCAGGACAATGTTGAATAGAGGTGATAAGGGTAGATATCATTGCTGTATTCCTGATCTTAGGAAGAAGTGCTTGGAAATTCACTATTGAATATGAATTTAGCAGTAGGTTTTTCAATTTTTTTTTTTTTTTCAGAAGGAGTCTCACTCTGTTGGCCAGGCTGGACTGCAGTGGCACGATCTCAGCCCACTGCAAGCTCTGCCTCCCGGGTTCATGCCATTCTCCTGCCTCAGCCTCCCGAGTAGCTGGGACTACAGGTGCCCGCCACCATGCCCGGCTAATTTTTTGTATTTTTAGTAGAGACGGGTTTTCACCGTGTTAAGCCAGGATGGTCTTGATCTCCTGACCTCATGATCCACCCGCCTTGGCCTCCCAAAGTGCTGGGATTATAGGTGTGAGCCAACGCGCCCGGCCTTTTTTTTTTTTTTTTTTTTCCTGATGGCCATCATTAGAATAAATAAGTTTCCTTCTAGTCCTAGTTGGCTGGGAGTGTTTTTTTTTTCTTTTTAAATCATGAATGGATGCTCCATTTTGCCAGAAGCTTTTTCTGCATCTATTTAGATGACCATGTGGTTTTTCTTCCTTATTCTATTCATATAGTGGAATACATTAAGTGATTTTCTAATGGTAAACCAACCATGCACTCCTGTGATAAATCCTGCTTAGTCATAGTGAATTACATTATTTTCATGCGTCACTGAATCAGATATGCTAATATGTTGTGAATAATTTTTGCATCAGTGTTTGTGCAAACATTGATGGGATATTGTATGATATTTTTCTTTTCTTATCAAGTTTATGTCAGGTTTTGGTATCAGGGTTGTACTGACCTTATACAATAAATTGGGTAGTTTTCCTTCTCCCTTTATTTTCTGAAAGTTTGTATAAGAGTGTTAGTTCATTTGTTGGTGTTCCATTGATATAAATATATCTTAAAGTTTTCATAGAATTTACCAGTGACCTTTTGAGTATTATAAAATGTCCTTTTTTGCCTCTTATACTCTTTGTCTTGAAGTCTATGTGGTAGCATTAATATGGTCACGAATCAGCTTTCTTATGCTTATTATTTACATAGTTTATCTTTTCTGTCTTCTGGCTTCAACCTACTTGTGTTTTATTTAAAGTACGTATTGGCCGGGCACGGTGGCTCACGCCTTAATCCCAGCACTTTGTGAGGCCGAGGAGGGTGGATCACAAGGTCAGGAGATGGAGACCACGGTGAAACCCCATCTCTACTAAAAATACAAAAAATTAGCCGGGCATGGTGGCGGGCGCCTGTAGTCCCAGCTACTCAGGAGGCTGAGGCAGGAGAATGGCGTGAACCCGGGAGGCGGAGCTTGCAGTGAGCTGAGATCGCGCCAATGCACTCCAGCCTGGGTGACAGAGCGAGACTCCGTATCAAAAATAAATAAATAAACAAACAAACAAATAAATAAAGTACGTATCATGTAGACCGCAGGCAGTCTTAATTTTGTAGCTGGTCTGACAATCTTTTCCTTTTAATTGGAGTTTTTTCAGTCCATGCTATAGTTTGGATATGGTTTGTCTGTCTCCATCAAATCTCATGTTGGAATTTGATCCCCAGTGTGGTGGTATTGGGAGCTGGGGCCCAGAGGGTGGTGTCTGGGTCATGGGCATGGATGCCTCATAAACAGATTAATGTCCTCCCTGAAGGTGAGTGAGTTCTCACTCTTGAGATAATAAATTAGCTCTAGAGGAGATGAAAGAGTTCCTGGAAGAGTAGGTTGTTATAAAGCCAGACCATCTCTTAGGTTTCCCTCTTCGCACCTGCCCATTTCCCCTTTGCCCTTCTCTATCATGTTTTGATGCAGCATAGAAGTCCTCACCAGAAGCCAAGCAGATGCTGATGCCCTGCTTCCCATACAGCCTGCAGAACCGCGAGCTAAGGATGCCTCTTTTCTTCATAAACCACCCAGGATCAGGTATTCTGTAATAGCAACACTAAATGGACTATGACAGTCCATTTGTATTTAATGCAGTTACTAATATGACTGGGTTCAGGTTTACTATTTTTCAATTTGTTTTCTATTGATACCTTCTGTTTTTCATTTCTGGTCTTTCTTTCCCGCCATCTTTTATGTTAATCTATTTTTTAGTATTTTATTTTAATTCCTACAATGACTTCTTAGCTCTGCTGCTTTTGGATATTTGTTTTTAGTGGTTTCTCTGGGTATTATACCACACATCTTTATCTTATCCCCAGTCTATTTAGATTTAATGTCATATCACTTCACATAAAATGTAAAAACTTTGCAGTTGTGTAGAATTCCACTTGCCTTCCCTTATTGTTTGTGCTATTTTGTTATATATTTTACATCTGCATACATCACAAATCCCACAAAATAATATTTTGATTCTTACATTAATTAAAAAAAGATTTACCCACATATTTATTATTTCCTATAAATATTTTCTTCTTGTAGGTTTGAGCTTCCATCTCATATTATTACCCTGTGGCCTGACAAATTTTCTTTGTCAATTTATTGTAGTGTAGGCCTACTGGAAATGAATTCTCTCATATTTTGTACATCCCAACATGTCTTTATTTTACTGTCAATTCTGAAGGATATTTTTGATTATTTAGAATTCTGGGTTGGGTGTGGTGGCTCATGCCTGTAACCCCAGCACTTTCGGAGGCCAAGGTGGGCGGATCATGAGATCAGGAGATTGAGATCATCCTGGCCAACATGGTGAAATCCTGTCTCTACTAAAAATACAAAAATTAGCTGGGCATGGTGGCACGCACCTGTAGTCCCAGCTACTCAGGAAGCTGAGGCAGGACAATCGCTTGAACCTGGGAGGCAGAGGTTGCAGTGAGCTGAGATAGCACCACTACACTCCAGCCTGGGGACAGAGTGAGACTCTGTCTCAAAAAAAAAAAGAAAAAAAAAAAGAATTCTGGCTTGACAGTTCTTCCTTTTTCTCTTTTGTCTTTCAGCACCTTAAAGATGCCTTTGCACTGTATTACATATTTGTGATGAGAATTCTTCAGTTAATTGTATCTGTGTTCCCCTGTGTATAAGATATTATTTTTCTCTGGCTGTCTTAAAGATTTTCTTTTTCTGTTTAGTTTCCCATAATGTTCCACGGTGTAGTTTTATTTGTGTTTATCTTGCTTGCAGCTTGCTGAGCTTCTTGAATCTATAAATTAATGTTTTCATCCAATTTGGGAAGTTTTCAGCTATTATTCCTTCAGATATTTTTTCAGGTCTATTTTGTCTCTCCTCTCCTCCTGGCATCACAATGCATGTATATCAGACTACTTGATATTATCCTACAATTCACTGAGGCTCTGTTGATTGTTTTTTAATCTTTATTCTGTTTTTCACATTGAACAATTCTTACTGATATGAGTTTAAGTTTACTGATTATTTTTTCATTTCTATGCTTCATTTATTTCAAATGTTACATTTTTCAGTTCCAGAGTTTTCATTTGGTTATTCTTATTGGTTTCCATTATCCTGCTGAGATTCTCCTTCTTTTCAGTCATGATGACTATGTTTTCCTTTACATCCTTGGACATATTATAGTAGTTGCTTTATAATTCTTGTCTGAAAATTCTAATATCTAGGTCACCTCAAGATCTATTACAGTGGCTATTTTTTCTCTTGATTATGGGTCACATTTTCCCACTCATATGTCTTTTAAGTTTTGGTTAGATAATGAACACTGTAAATTTTGTTTTAGAGATTCCAAACTCTCTTCTTTTAAACAATGTTGATTGTTTTTTGTTCTATCAGGCAATAAAATCTCTAGCTGATTAGCTTGAGCTTTTGGGTACTTAGTGTTATACTTTGTTAGGAAGGATCTGTTTCGGTTTTGCCCTTAATGTTACGGTGACTCCTTTACACTGAAAGCACACACCCCTTCTGGGGTTTCAATAGAAAATCTGAGGCATTTACCAAGCCCCTCTAACTTGGGTGGGATTCAGATTCTGAACTTTGTAGGCAGTAGCTGTAGGCAGTAGGCAGCAGCTGAAAAGAGTCTCTGCTCAGCATTTTTGGCTTTCTAGTTATTGTTTTCCACTACGCTCATTGGCATATTCCCCACACATATGCAGTTTAGGGGTTATTCAAGGATTGATGGAAATTTATATACAGAATGGAGGGCTCTCTTCTTTATGGCTCTTTTCTTTCTGTGACTTACTCAATTCCCAGCCACTCTGGCAGCCCTAAACTCTATCCCCTGACACCTCAAGCCATTACAGCTGTGGCTTTCTCCTTGAGTTCTAATTGTTCTTTGTGGACTGGGGCATGCCTTCATGGGAGAAGCTATATAAACATAGTTCTCACTCTTTCAAGGATCAAATGACCCTCTTTCAAGGATCAAATTTCCTACATTCTCTGCCTTCTTTTAGTTAGACTATGAATAGTTTTTTTAACAAAAGTATTTTGTCCAGAGTTTGTAACAGCTATCTGCAGGAGAGTTAGTCTAAGATAGGTTCTTCCATCATTAATATAACTGGAAGTCTGTCACAGACATTTTAATTTGTGCTTTTGTGTGTGCACGCATGTTAAGATTAAATCGCTCCTTTCATTGCCCTGAATGCTCATAGGATCACTAAATAATATATATTGAAGGATTACTCGGGTGTTGTCCAGACTGTGTCATACTGCCAAGCATTGACCATCTGAAACCAATCATGATCGATCTCCCGTTTTTAAAGGAGGCCATGAAGAAAGATGCTTCCTTAGGAAATAAGCTCTTCTGTTTGGAGACTCCCAACCTTGTATTACAATTTAAGTCCATATAATGGCTTTAATGACTCAGGGTCATAGAGTTATACAGACAGAGGGATGTATAGGCCTTACTGAAGCCACACTGGTTCCACCACACCATGAATATGAGAGAGGCATCTTTCCCAGTGCCCCATGCTTGCTAGCCCTGTTTTCTTCGCTCTGCTCCACTCCTGCAGCTGCCATGGAGCCTATTATGTTTCATGTTTTACTTAGGCTGTCTCCCCTTTTCCCATTTTCAGAAATCTGTGTACCCCTGGTTCTGTTTACCTGACTTCTGAATCACTCTGATTACTCTGCCCCTTAATGTTACAGGCCAAACTACTTCTTCCCAAAATTTATATGTTGAAATCCTAACTTCCAGTGCCTCAGAATGTGACTTTATTTAGTGACAGGGTCTTTACAGAGGTAATCAAGTTAAAATGACGTCATTAGGGTGGGCCCTAATCCAATATGACTGCTGACTATATAAACAGACACAGAGATAGACATGCACAGAGAGACGATGACGTGAGGACACGTTGGGAGGAGACGGTCACCTACAAGCGAAGGAGAGAGGCCGGGGATAACTCCTCTCTTTACATCTCCCAGAAGCAACCAACCCTGCTGACACCCTGACTGGGACTTCCAGCCTCCAGAACCATGAGAAAATAAATTTCTGTTACTTTCGCCACCTACTTGCTGGTACTTTGCTCTGGCAGCCCTACCAGATCAGTATGCTTGCCACTTAACAAATCCTCTGCTCCCAATTTTCCTACTTGATTGTGACTCATGGCTTTAGTTTGTCTCTTGAGACCCACACCCCCTCTTGGTATGGAAAATGGGCAAAAATCAGAAGGTTTATGCTCTAACTCCTCACTTCAGTGGAATGACCTTTCTTTTTTTTTTTTTTTTTTTGAGACACAGTCTCATGCTGTTGCCCAGGCTGGAGTGCAGTGGTGCAATCTTGGCTCACTGCAACCTTCGCCTCCTAGGTTCAAGCAATTCTCCTGCCTCAGCCTCCCCAGTAGCTGGGATTACAGGCGCATGCCACCACACTCAGCTAATTTTTGTGTTTTTAGTAGAGGTGGGGTTTCGCCATGTTGGCCAGGCTGGTTTCAAACTTCTGACTTCAGGTGATCCACCCACCTGGGCCTCCCAAAGTGCTGGGATTACAAGTGTGAGACACCGCACCTGGCCTGGAGTGACCTTTCTGATCCTCAGATTCCTTATCCATAATATGGGGATATTGTTTCTATCCTACCTACCTAAAAAAGCTCAGATAGATGCTGCACATAAGAATGTAAAATACTACACAAATCAAAGGCATCCTGAATCTCACTCTTTATCCGTAATGTACTGTACCTCATACCCAATTATAACAGAACCTCTGTTAGAGGTCTCTTGAGCGGTTTCAAGTTCAGAATTCTCCATTCATAGGAGAGATGCTTGCAACCTGTTATTTCTAGTTTAAGAGGCAGGTGCCTAAGAAACCGTTTTGCTCAAAGAGGCAGGAATATGGGGTGATGCTTCAAGCTCCCATTGTTTTTATATTTCCAGAGGGTTTAAAAGTAATTCCTCAGACAACTTACCTATTTTTTTTCTTTTTTTTTTCTGAGATAGAATCTCCCTCTGTCACCCAGGCTGGAGTGCAGTGGTGCGATCTCTGCTCACTGCAACCTCCGCCTCCCGGGTTCAAGTGATTCTCCTGACTCAGCCACCTGAGTAGCTGAGATTACAGGCACGCGCCACCATGCCCAGCTAATTTTTTTTTGTATTTTTGGTAGAGATGGGGTTTCAGCATGATGGTCAGGCTAGTTTCGAACTCCTGACCTCGTGATCCGCCCCCCTTGGCCTCCCAAAGTGCTGGGATTACAGGTGTGAGCCACCGTGCCTGGCCAACTTACCTATTTTCATAGATGTTATAAGAAATAAGGTACAGAGTAAAGCAAACCAGTGCTTTTAGGCAATAAACTTTTTATTTTTTTATTTATTATTTTTGAGACAGTCTTACTTTGTCACCCAGGCTGGAGCACAGTGGCATGATCCTGGGTTTAAGCTATTCTTGTGCCTCAGCCTCCCGTGTAGCTGGGATTACAGGTGTCTGCCACCACACCCAGCTAATTTTTGTATTTTTAGTAGAGACGAGGTTTTGCCATTTTGGCCAGGCTGGTCTCAAATTCCTGGTCTCAAGTGATCTGCCTGCCTCGGCCTCCCAAAGTGTTGGGATTACAAGCGTGAGCCACTGAGCCTGGCTGGGAACGGACATTTTAGAAATACGTAAGGGAAGGAGAACTTTAGAAGCACATCCAACTGCCTTAACCAAATGGGTGCCTACTGAATGTGATTTTTAACTATGTAAAATTAAATGTAGGATGCTAGTCACTTTCCAACATACTTTGTATATTCTTTGTCAGTCTTTAAAATAATTTCATTATTGAGAATTTGAAAAAATTGTTTCTACAATTAAAACTTTTATAAAATAATTTATTAAAAAATACAACTTCCCCCAAATAGCTTACATTCTGGTTGCATGAATTTTTATGCAGTTTCTACTGTTACTCAAAAGAACTGAATTTTCAATGATTCTACCCTTTTCAGTTCTCTAGAATGCCTCCAGATGGCATTAAAAGCCTTTCCCATTATATTTTACAACACAAAAAAATTAAAAATTAGTAACATTTTAACCATTTAAGACCAGTCACATTCATTATAACATCTGAAAGCAGGACAATGGAACTATTTAAACTTTTAGGGAAGTATCTTAAGAAAGACAAACATATAATCATATCTCTTATGAAATACACAGCTCTCCTATTCAAGCCAAAGGATCTTTCTAGACAAAGAAACAGATTTTGGACAAAATAAGACACTCAGTATTTTACCACAAACTGATTTCCAATCAACAGCACTTAAAAAATGCTGTTTTTTAAAATCCTGATCCCCATACAGATAAATTCACAAAGCCTATCTTATAATAAGAAAACACATGCCACTGCTCATAAGTGATAAAAATAAAGATTTTTAAGGAGCAAACCTGTTATTGACTCTTATGGAACTAAAATAAAGTCACTTGTTAGCTCATGAATTTTTTAATTTAAATGTTGGTATATCAATTTGGCATCAAATTAATCAGTAAAAATATATTTGGATTCCTTGAATATTGAGAAGAAACAGACAAAACATAGAGTGAGGAGCACATGTTTTATAAGGGCCTTTTCTTATGTTTTTAAAACTGCTTTTGTTAATTCAAAAAAGAAACTCTTGAGATTCCAGAGATATCGATAATTGTGCTTTTCACATAATTCCAAGGTGAGGTTGCAGATGGCAAGCTTCTGAAATGACCTTGTTACTGCACAGCTGTGTGGGACAGCATACCTCCCAGTTTAAGTGTGAAAAGTTCTGCAATTCTTAAGATGATGCTGAAAGTCTCCAACCAAATCCCCCCAGCATACATGCTCAAATCTCATTACATTTCTACTTCATAAAGAGAAGCATTTGCATTTTTCAAGATTCCTCTTACTCTGCTAAAGCATAAAAAATGCATCTGCACCCAAAGCATTTAGAAAGACATTATCATGAGAAAAGAGAACCATGGGCTTCCTTCCATCATCATTATTACTATTACAAGATACTTGCACTATCTCATTTTATGAGGCATATTTAAGAACAGGCATCTCTGATAGAAAATGAAAGAAACTTACGATGTATTCGATGTGCCATTGTCTGGACTCTCTGGCTCTGCATCACCTTTCTCTTAAAAAGGAAGCAGAAAAAAATACCGACATATGAGTCTTACAGTCTTTAAGATTTAAGAGAGATTAAATATATTTCCATGCTCCTATTAACAATCTTTCAAAATGTGTAGCAGGAGGCTTTTAAAACATCTTTTATTGTCTGAGAACCGGATTTGCAAAATAATTTCTTTTCTGCAATGCAACTGCCCAGGCACAAATCTGTGAGTAGGTACTGAGGAGCTATTTGCAAACAACCAGAGGCTTGGAGTGGAGACTTTGCCAGAAGATGAATATCTTACAGATGGAACCTGTTTCCTTCCACTTCACTTTACAGAAAATTTCAGGAAATAAATCCATTGGCATTCTATATCCAAGGCACTTTGAACTTTGATTGCTTCTGCTAACATAAGCCAAACCAGGTCAGGCTGAATCAGAACTTGGAGGAAAGAATTTTTTTTTTTTTTTTTTTTGAGGCAGAGTCTCACTCTGTCACCCAGGCTGGAGTGCAGTGGCACAATCTCGGCTCACTGCAACCTCCACCTCCCGGGTTCAAGCAATTCTCCAGTCTCAGCCTCCCGAGTAGCTGGGACTACAGGTGCCTGCCACCACACCTGGCTGATTTTTATATTTTTTGTAGAGACAGGGTTTCACCATGTTGGCCAGGCTGGTCTCGAACTCCTGACCTCAAGTGATCTGCCCGCCTCGGCCTCTCAAAGTGTTGGAATTACAGGCGTGAACCACCACGTCCGGCCAGGAGGAGAGAATTTTTACTGAACACTGAGGTTGCACTGTAGGTCCCAAGATCCCCCTATTTTATACCCCATAGAGAGCCCTGGTGGCAGGTTTTGGGGCCCCTAGCTTAAAGCAGAATGAGATGTAAACCAGAAATCCTTTCTGACCATCTGAAAGGCTAGTTAAGGAAATGCTTCTGTGGGCTGTGATCACTGAGGAATTAACGAGTTGTACGTAGTTGGGGGAGCTTGGAACCAGTTCACTTCTTGTAGTTTACAGTAGGCTTAATGTAATTCCTAATCCTTAATCAATTGGTGGTTTGAACCATGCATCCTCATTCTGTAAGGAGTTTCTTTGTATTTCCTTGAGGCTTGGAGATGGAAGAAGTCACTGATAACTGAGAGCGTGGGCTCGTGTGTTTCCTGATGGTTGTGCAGAGCCAATACACCCCAGAGAAGGCTGTGAGTTGCAAGAAATAGGACTGTGGTAGTAACTTGGTTTGCTATGCTCTTTCAAGTCAGGCCTGGAGATCTCTAGAATCCCTTGGTCTACTGCTCACGTCCTTGGGCCCACACATTGTACCATACCCCTTTTGTCAGCTGTCAACATTAGCTTGTCGTCACCTAGTCCCAGGAATGACTCCCTAAATTACATAATGAACATATCCCAAAGGTATTGCCCAAACTGAACTCAAAAGCAAACTTTATATGTCCTTCTCTTTTTCTTATAGGAATAAACAGTTGTGAGAAAAAGAAGACACAGTTTCTACAGTTCGTACATCTATCTCAGACATTTATCCAGTGCCAGAACAGCTATGAGGGACTTTGGCTAAAAGCTGGTCAGATGAGGGGGAAAAACAAAAAAGCCACAAAATCTATTTTAACTGCCTTGATAACAAACATTGATTAGGCAGGGCCTCAATACATATAAAACCATGTTGGAATAAAGGCTAAAGTAGCAAATTAATAAATTTGCTTTAAAGCTCATTCTTGTATATTTTCTTTTGTCTTCCAGGCAAGGTCTGTGGTGCACTCATTTAGGAGGCAAATAAGGCCTGTTCAACTGGTTTCAGTGCTGGAAAATAATTTAGTACTTTGCAGAAACATTTTTTCCATGGACTAACCACAATCCCTCTTGTAATCCTAAAATAGAGAGTTATAACACCTGCATTATATAAGACAAAACTAAATGGAAGTATATTTTTTTTCTCAAATATATGGATCCTTTCCCCCAACCTGCTTTAATTTGGTGAAACTGGTTACTTTCCCCAGTCTCTAGCCTGCAGTAGTTACCACATTCCATCTTAATGAAGAATGTAAAACAGCAGGCTTGGAAGCAGCAGGCAATGGTAAAATTCCCAAACAATTTATGTCAGAAAACAGGAAATTGAAAATAAAAACGAAGGCATTGTTTGGATGTTTGAAGAAATATGTTTTGCCTTGACCAATCATGCTGCCCAAGTCTTCAGCATGGGGACAGATGCGCAGCTGATTATCTTTGCTCTTAGCAGCACTTATGTTGTGGCAACAGGGCAAACAGAATAGGTTCTGGCAAATAGGAAGGATATAGTGGGGCCAAACAGGACATGGTGAACAGTCTGAGAGGGAGTGTTCTCAGCAAATTCAGTGCTGATAATGAATTTGCCTTTCTGGGGGGAAAAGTAAGCTGGTCAGGAACGAGATGGGATTAAAACTATTTTTGTCCTTCAGAAAGAATAAAACACAAAGCTTCCCCCACATCTTGAAATTTTAGGTGATGAAATTTCTGAAGTTAACTTGAAATGTTTAAGTGTATACACCACTGAGAATTATGGTCTCTTTATTAGGACCCAAGGGAAAATGATGAATGTAATGGAACATTCTAGAACATTAGTACAAATTTTTTTTTTTTTAGTTGGGTGTGCAGGAGATGTTTCCCACCCCGCCCCCTGCCCGCCCCACCATCCAAAGACAGCTGTCTCCAGGGTCCTCCTGTTTGTGTCAGCTGTTTTCATGATGGATATTTCATGATGGACCAATGTTTCACACTGGTCTCTTTGGGAGGGAATCTGCATTGGTCATTAATAAGCTGGGTGCAGGGAAGCCATTTTACATGCGGAAATACAATTACAGAGAGGAAGAGGGGAAAAAATGAGCCACGGAAAGAACTATATATGCAAATATATATGCATATATGTAAATATATGTAAAATCTATGTATCTATGTGTATTATACAC
Organism: Homo sapiens; assembly: GCF_000001405.40. Lineage (NCBI taxonomy): Eukaryota > Metazoa > Chordata > Mammalia > Primates > Hominidae > Homo > Homo sapiens. Next base: position 99,730,058 of record NC_000002.12, read on the forward strand.
TTTCAATTTGACAGTCCATATTTGTCTGGCTGGGCCTTCCACATTGCCTAACATACACTAGGTGCTCAGTATGTGTCTTCTGTTCTGATGCCCTGTCACTAATACAGAATTCCATGCTGCAGTGGGAAAAGATGCTTAAGGTACCCTCGCCAGTGAGACGAAATATACAGTTTGAGATATGAAACAGCTTGCTGACTCCAATAGGTCACTTAAAAAATTATAACAGTTACCTTTTTAACGCAATGTACAGAGGACTTCTATGTTGGGTGCTCTTGTGAGCATAAAGATAAATAATGTGGAATTCATGCTCTTTAAACATTTAAATGGACTGCACTGCTGGAGTATCTTACTTTCCATCAATAGTGTCATATAGGGACTAAATATGTTTTTTGAAAAGAAAATCAAAATAATCCTGCATTAAACTGAATTCTGCACAGGGAAGTTTTGCTATACTGCAACTTTTTTTTTTTTTTTTTGAGATGGGGTCTCACTCTGTTGCCCAGGCTGGAGTGCAGTGGTGCACTCTCTTCACTGCAACCTCTGCCTCCTGGGTTCAAAGCGATTCTCCTGCCTCAGCCTCCCGAGTAGCTGGGACTACAGGTGCCTGCCACCATGCCCGGCTAATGTTTTTATTTTTAGTAGAGACGAGGTTTCACCATATTGGCCAGGCTGGTCTCCAACTCCTGACCTTGTGATCTGCCTGACTTAGCCTCCCAAAGTGCTGAGATTACAGGTGTGAGCCACCGTGCTCGGCCATATACTGCCACATTTCTACACAGTTATATCAAAAGCAATCCATGTTTATGGTTTTAAAAAAATGAACAGAAAAGAAAAGGTAATGACTTTGCTTACTTTTATTTTAAATTCTGTTAGCCCTTCAATGATTAGTCTAAGTGATGTGTTTTTCTTTGCTTGAGATGGAGTCCCAGTCTGTTGCCCAGACTGGAGTGCAGTGGTGCAATCTTGGCTTACTGCAATCTCTGCCTCCCGGGTAATCTCAAGTGATTCTCCTGCCTCAGCCTCCTGAGCAGCTGGGATTACAGCTGCATGCCAAAACACCTGGCTAATTTTTATATTTTTAGTAGAGATGGGGTTTCACCATGTTGGCCAGGCTGCTCTCGAAATCCTGGCCTCAAGTAATCTGCCCTCCTTGGCTTCCCAAAGTGCTGGGATTACAGGTGTAAGCTACCGTGCCCAGCCAATGCGTTTTTATTTCTAGATGTACCAACTTTAGACAGTGCCTAATGATTTCTGATATGAAAGACAAGAGGCAAGGTATTTAATAGTCTCCCCTCCCTTATAATTTTTATTAGTTCTGTTATTATTTTTAGTGCCTCTAGTGGGCATTTGTAACTTTAAATATATTTAATCTTATTTCTCTTGATTAATCACCTTCTGACAGTATCTTTTCTTTCATACCATGTAAAATGAGGAAACTCACCCATCTATCCTTCCCTCCCACCTCCCCGCTCACAGCTATGTCTTTCCTTTTATATCACCAAGATTTAAAATATTCATACTCTGTTCAGTAATTATTGAGTCATCCTCCTTAATACTAATTTAGTTAATAATTTAATTTTTGGTCTTGCCTATAGGTCAAGTAAAAAATCATAAACCAATAATGAGAATTTGCAATATTGTGACAATATAAATATTAGTCACTAAAGAAGAAAGCAGCTTGAGTAGACCTGAACAGGAGGCAATGTCACTAAGGTAGAATGAGTGCAAATGTTCCCGACATTTATGTCAAATGAATTCTCATTGTTATGTTCTACCACGTCACAGGTTTGTCTCAAGCTAAGGTTATGTTCTCCCTAAAATACTGTTAAATAGAGCACGCATTTAGTGAACATAAAATGTATATTTACATGAAATGTATATAGACACTTTCAAAGCATTAAAATGAATGAACTGTGAAAACACCTTCCAGGCCAGGGATGGAACATCATCGAAAGTGCCTTCACTGGCTCCCATCTCTTCCCACCCTTCCCACCAGCTATTGGTAAAAGAATTGTGGCTGGGCACAGTGGCTCACGCCTGTAATCCCAGCACTTTGGGAGGCTGAGGCAGGCAGATCACGAGGTCAGGAGATTGAGACCATCCTGGCTAACATGGTGAAACCCCGTCTCTACTAAAAATACAAAAAAATTAGCCAGGCGTGGTGGTGGGCGCCTGTAGTCCTAGCTACTCGGGAGGCTGAGGCAGGAGAATGGCATGAACCTGGAGCTTGCAGTGAGCCGAGATTGTGCCACTGCACTCCAGCCTGGGCAACAGAGCGAGACTCTGTCTCAAAAAAAAAAAAAAAAAGAATTGTGTGTTAATCATTCTCTTTGTTTTCTGGAGAGTTTTTTTTTTCTTTTTAACCGCCTATGTATGTATTAATAAATTAACTCTGTTTTGGTAGTTGTTGTTTCTAAACTTCATACGACTCTAATCATACCTAGGCATTCTTCTGAGACTCACTTCTATCATGCAGTGTTATGAATTTTAGATTTAGCCATCATCCTGCATGTAGCTACAGTTTGTTCATCCTCACTGCTGTGCAATACTTTATTGTATAAATATACCAGTTTCTTATTTGTTCTTCTCCTGATGGACATTTAGATTTTTGCCATCATGAACAATAGAACTGCAAACATTCATGAACACCCTTCCTCATGCACATGTTAGGAGTTCTGGGCCTTAAGACTTCCATATGGCCAACTTTAGCAGGGAATCCAAAACTGATTTCCAAATTAACACTCCCCAGACAGTATATGAGACTTCAAACTGATTCACATCCATACCAACACTTGTTATGATCAAGGTTTTAAAGTTTTTTCTAATTTAATAATGTAGAATATAATTTTGTTGTGGTGTCTGCATTTCTCTGAGCACTAATGAGGTAAATATTTTGTACTTGCTCTTCTGTGTCATTTCTTAAAAATTATTTTTTAGTATTAATTTCTTATTCATAGAAACATTTTATTGTCTCAATAAGAGTCATACATATAGTCGTGTGTGTGTGCGTGTATAACTTTTCAATACATATATAAAACTTGGCCGGGCGCGGTAGTTCATGCCTGTAATCCTAGCACTTTGGGAGGCCGAGGCAGGCGGATCATGAGGTCAGGAGATTGAGACCATCCTGGCTAACACAGTGAAACCCTGTTTCTACTAAAAATATAAAAAATTAGCCGGGTGTGGTGGCGGGCGCCTTGTAGTCCCAGCTACTAGAAAGGCTGAGGCAGGAGAATTGCTTGAACCTGGGAGGTGGAGGTTGCAGTGAGCCAAGATCGCGCCACTGCACTCCAGCCTGGGCGACAGAGCGAGACTCCGTCCAAAAAAAAAAAAAACCAAAACAACAACAACAACAACAACAAAACTTTTCCCAGTGTTAGCCTTTTTATTTTTTCTATTATCTTTGGATAATGTTAAGTTCTTAATTTTAATGTACTCAAATTTATAGATAATTTTCTTTATTTGACACTTTTTGTGATTTAAGAAAAACATCAGAAAAATGTTTTATACTGTCTTCTAAAAGTATATACTTTTACTGATTTTTAAAAAATACCTGGATTGGTTTTTGTATATGGCGTGGGGTAGGAGTTAAGTTTCGTTTTTCTCCCTAGAAATAACCAGTTATTATGGTACTTGAAGTCCATTCTTTCTCTATTAATCTATATCATCATCTCTGCCATGAGTCCAGTTTTCATACGCCTGTGGATCTGCTTCTGGGTCTCTACTCACTCACTTTCATTGCTCAATTTGTCTATTACTGCCCTCATTACTTAGCTTTAATATATATTTAAAAATATTCGTAAGGCAAAGCTCCAACCTTGCTATTTAGGAACATCTTGGCTATTCTTAGCCCTTTGATCTATTGTATAAATTTGAGTATCATCAGTTTGTCAATTTCCACATACCCAAAAGTTGGAAATTTGATTGGAGCTGTATTAAATCTATAGATATCTGAAGAGAACTTGTATCTTTACAACACTGCATCTTCCAATTCATGTACTTGGTATTAGGCGTCTCCATTTATTTTGATATTTCTTAACGTATTTCAATAGTTTGTTAATTTTCTCCATAGAGGTCTTAACACATCTCTTGACAGGGTTATTGCTTAGTAACTTATATTTTTATACTAATATTAAAAGTTTTAAACTATAATTTTCAGTTGTTAGTGTAGGGAAATGAAATTAATTGTGTATACAGCAATCTTGCTAAATTTTCTTATTAATCCTAATAATCTGTAGATTCTTTTGAGTTTTCTGCATAAACAATATAATTTGAGAAAATGAATGTTCTTCTCCTTTCTAACAGGTACTTTTTTTTCTTAATTTATTGCCTCGACCAAGGATGTCCATCCAGTATAATGTTGCATAAAAGTGGAACTCATGTCTTGTTCCTCATCTTGAGGGGAACGCTGCAAATGTTTCAACACTAAATAGGATTCTTGTTTTGAGTTTTTTTGGCAGATACTGTTATTGTGTTAATGAAGTGGGCTTCTATTCCTGATTTGCTATTTTTCCTTTAAATCATGTATAGTGAATTTTATCAAATGCTTTTTCTTAATTTATTGAAACAATCCTATTTTTCTTTTAATATTTTAATATAATTAATCATGTTAATATTATAAAAAGGATCCAATTTTGAATTCCTAAAATAAGTACAGTTTCTTAATTATGAGTTATATTTTAAAATATATTTTGTACTTGGCTGGATGGAATTTACAAATATTTGACCTAGAATTTTTACATTTATGATCATGAATGATACCTGTGAATTCTTTTTCTTGTACTGGCTTGTCAAGTTTTGATATCAAGGTTATACTGCCTTGATATAATGAGTTGAGAACTGCTGGCTTTTTCTAATTCTCTGAAGAAGGGTGTAGGTTTGGAATTACCTCTTCCTGTGAGTTTGGTAGAATTCTTAGTAAAAATGTCTAGCCTTGAAATTGTGTGGTGGAATGATTTTTAAAAAATTACTGGGCCAATTGTTAAAACGGCTATAGGATTATTCAGGTTATATTTATATGTAAATTTCATATAAAACATATACATATATACATGTAATACCTGAAAAATCATTTTAATCATAGTCATTTCGTCTAGTTTTGAAAAAATTTTGGTATAATTTTGCACATAACATATTTTTGTTCTTGATCTGCATCACAGTTTATTCCCTTTTTGATTCCTAATATTATTTATTTGTGCCTTTTCTCTTTTTGTCCTGATCAATCTCTCTGCAAAGTTTGTCAACTGTATTATAACTTCATTGAATAAACTTTTGGCTCCATTGACATTTAAAATTTTATCTCTGCTATTTTATTAATTTCTGCTTTTGTTTTTTTTTTGTAAATCTCTTTTCCATTTGTTTTGGGTTTATTTTCTCTTCTTTCAGCTCTTAAGATAGATGCTTAGTTCATTAATTTTTTGTTTGCTAGTATGAGTCATTTCCTTATTTATTTAGAGACGGAGTCTCACTCTGTCATCCAGGCTGGAGTGCAGAGGTGAGATCTCGGCTCACAGCAACCTCCGCCTCCCAGGCTCAAGCGATTCTCCTGCCTCAGTCTCCCGAGTAGCTGGGACTACAGGCGCCTGCCACCACACCCAGCTAAATTTTGTATTTTTAGTAGAGATGGGGTTTCACCACGTTGGCCAGACTGGTCTCGAATTCCTGACCTCAATGGATCCGCCCACCTCAGCCTCCTAAAGCACTGGGATTACAGGCGTGAGCCACTGCACCCAGCTTCTAGTATGAGTATTTCAGATGCAAAGCTGCAACTTTCCCTCTAATTTAGTTTCTTCCTCCAGTTTTAATATTAGGTATTTCTATTACCTTTCAGTCCCAAATATTTACTAATATCTAGAGTGATTCTTAATTTCTAAACATGTGTTTTCCCTCCTAGTCATATTTTCATTATCAATTTCTAATTTAATCATACTGTGGTTGGAGACCATGGTAAATATAATATTTATCTTTTAAAATCTGTTGAAACTTGCTTTATGGTCCAGTAGTTGTCAATTTTCATAACTGTTCCCTGTCTGCTTGAAAATAATGCATATTCTGCAGCTGTTGGGTAATGTACTCTTGCTCATTGTGTTGTTTAAATCTTATGTATCCTTACTAATTTTTCTGTTTGCATTATACAACAGTTACGAATTTCTGTTTACATCTTCCATTAAGATAATACATTTCCCCTTGTAATTTGTGACTTTTACTTTTAAAAATTTGAAGCTTTGCTATTTGGAATTTACATATATCAAATTATTTTGTCCATATGGTAAGTTGTATCTTTCCTTGGGTAGTGACCCTTTTTAACTGTAGTAATGCTTTTTGCTTAAAGTTTATTTTTCTGGTATCAGAATAAACATATCATGCTTTTTTATCACCAGTATTTGGCTGGCATATATTTTCCTAACCTTTTTCCTTTCAAATTTTCTGAATCTTTAATTTCTAAATGTGTCATTGTAAATAGCACAGAGCTAGAGTTTTATTTTTTAAATCAATTTGGTCAATATTTGTTATTGAATCATTGCATCTAATCCATTTGTTTAAATTACTGATTTTTTTTTTTTTTTTTTTGAGACGGAGTCTCACTCTGTTGCCCAGGCTGGAGTGCAGTGGCACAATCTTGGCTCACTGCAACCTCCACCTCCCAGGTTCAAGCGATTCTCCTGCCTCAGCCTCCTGAGTAGCTAGGACTACAGGCATACGCCACCACGCCCGGCTAATTTTTGTATTTTTAGTAGAGATGGGGTTTCACCATGTTGGCCAGGCTTGTCTCGAACTCCTGGCCTCAAGTGATCTGCCCACCTCGGTCTCCCAAACTGCTGGGATTACAGGCGTGAGCCACCACGCCCGGCCTTTAAATTACTGATTTAATTTATGCTACCATATTTTTCCATATACTCTGTTTCATTTTCTCTTCTTCAATTCTTTTGGATTAACTAATAATATTCATATTCTATTTTTAGCTTGGTTTGTAAGATGTTCTCCACATTTAGTTTGTAGGTTAAATACCTTTTAGTATAGTTTAGTGGGTACCCTACAAATTGCAAATATTTACTTAATTTATCAAAGCCCAAAGTTAAAATTTTTATCCTTCTCCAAAATAATTACAGGAACTTAGAAGATTTTAATTCCACATTCTCATCTTATTTTATGCTATTGTTTTGTGGATTCCAATTGTATTTATTTTGATTACTTAACAATATATTATTACTGGTGCATGCAATCAACATTGTTTAAATTTTCCCCATATTTACTTTCACTGCATTTAATCTTTCTCGCACCTCACATTCCTTCTGAACAAAGTATGTCTTTTAAAATTTCTTTTGTGAGGATTTACTGGTGGCATACTTTCCCAGCTTTTGTCTGAAAATGTCTTGACTCATTAAATTTTTTTTTTGCAAGATACACAATCCTAAGCTGATAGTTATTTTTTCCCAACTCAGTGATGCTTCAGCTTCTCTGTTTGCAGGCTCCCACTGATGCTGTTGTGAAGTCAGGTGTAAGTTGGTTGAGTTGTTGAAGATATTAAAGGGTATTTTAATTTTTATGTGCACTTTAGCTATAATGTGTGTAGTGTGGACTTTTTTTTTTTTCATTTATCCTTGGTATTCACTGGGTTTCTTGACTCTGTGGATTAATGTCTTTCAAGTCTGGAAAATTCTCAGCCATCAATCATCTTCAGTACTGTCTCGCTTCCCTTTCCCTTTCTGAAATTCTAGTTAGATGCATGTTAGACTTCCCCACTTTATCTCCATGTCTCTTAACTAATTTCCTGTTTTCCATTTCTGTCTCTCTAGGCTGCATTCTAGATAATTTCTTAAATTCAACTTTCCAATTCATTAATTCTTTCTCAGCTATGTCTAATGTGCTGTTACATCTGCCCATGGAAATTCTAATTCCTATTATATTATTTTATTCCTAGAATTCTGTTTAACACTCCTCCAAGTTTTCTTGCTCTTTACCACATTTCCAATCCTCTCTTTTATTTCCAGAAATTAAAGCAAGGGCTCTAATTTCACATTCTAGGCTTGATAACCCCAGTTTCTGAATTAGGAGTCTGATTCTCCGCTGTCCTGTTTGTTCTTGCTCTTGCTCGTGGTCTCGTTTCCTTTTTTGTAAGGGGTTCTTTTCTGATTGTAAGTTGCTCATTTCCCTTAGTGCTCTATTTCTGTTATTATTCATTCCTCTCCATTTTCTTTTTCTGCCACCTTGACTGGCTGTGTATCTTCAATCCCTTTCATATTTTCCATCTGTGTTTTGCTTTATACTCAGAAAAAAAAAGTTTTCAACTTTATATTCAACGTTTCAGACTTCAGCTATTATCATCCCTTCTATTGTTTGTCAATCATATTTTTAATTCTCAAGTGTTCATTTGTTCTGTAATTACCTCTTTTTCATACCAATCTGTTCTCTTTTTATTTAACACAAATAATTTCAAATCTTTCTAAGGACTGCAATTATACTTGAAACTTTTTTCTTCTTTACCTTGAATTAGATTTCCTAGATTTCCTTTGGGACTAGTCTTTCTTTTTGGCGTCACTGGTTATATATTCATATTTTTAAATAAAAAATTGGTTAACAAAGGTAGTTGGCGTGGCTTTCCTGTATCAGTATTCCGATCAATTTTTCTAACACACCTATCCTTTGTAGGGAAGAGCTGATTTATGGCTCTTTGTAAGTGGGCAGGGTATGCTGATGTGAAGGATTCATTTAGGGCTCAAGAGAAGAGAAGCCTCCAGGCAAGCTGTAAGCCCAAGCCCTTCCTCCACCCACTCCTCTAAGAAAAATATAAAGCACTGTACTTTAGGTGTATAGAATTTTTGTTTATTTCCCTTGAGAAATAGTTGACTCTTCTGCCATTACTCCATGTCATCTATTTTTAAGGTCTGGTACTATCTTAGAATGTATTCTGTTTCTCTCTTTGGTATTAGTTCTCAGTGAGGAGTGAACTGTTCAATTTTTTTTTTTTTTAGCAAATATTATGGTACTTTTTGTTTTTGGGGGTTTTTGAGAAAAAATCATCCTGAAAGCTCTGTGTGGGAATCCGTGAGGATGGGGGTGGAGGGGTAATGGTTGAAGGATGGCCAGGTGTTCCCATCACTGCAAGCAATTCGCACTTGTTCTCTCTTGGGGTCCAGTGGAAATGTGGTCTTTCCTGGGGCTCCTGGGGGCTGTTCCCACCACCACTAAAACTTGTTCCTGTCTGATTCTTCCTTTGCTGTGTCACGACCTTCCCTGTTCAGGGGTATTTTTCAGTAGGGTTTTATTACTTTCGGCTTTCCAGAACACAACTAAATTTCTGGTTTGCTGATGGCACTTATTCTGATGGTGCTATTTTGGATTTATTTCCATTTCTACAGCTTCATGGCTATTAGGTGGGGATTCTGAAGGAAGGGGAAGGATTGCTTAAATGCAGTCACTCAACTGAACAGGACGTTCTCATAATTTTTAAAAATGTAGACATAAATCATCCATGTTAATATTCAAGTATCTCAATGCTTAATAAGCTTCCATTTTATAATATCAAGTTCAATTGATCAGTAATTCAGCAAACGATCTACCTTTTAAAAGATTTGTATTGAAAGTCATTTTCTGTTTATACAATCTTTCCTTTAGTATCTATAATACAGTCTTTCTCACTTCAAAGAGAATAGAAGCACTGGCCTAAAATAATGAGTTAGTAATCAATCCACACAGATATTTTGTTTTTGGTTTCTCTGAAGCTCAGTATTTCTCTATTTCTTTTTTTTAATTTTTATTTTATTATTATTATACTTTAAGTTTTAGGGTACATGTGCACAATGTGCAGGTTAGTTACATATGTATACATGTGCCATGCTGGTGTGCTGCACCCATTAACTCATCATTTAACATTAGGTATATCTCCTAAAGCTATCCCTCCCCCCTCCCCCCACCCCACAACAGTCCCCAGAGTGTAATGTTCCCCTTCCTGTGTCCATGTGTTCTCATTGTTCAATTCCCATCTATGAGTGAGAATATGCGGTGTTTGGTTTTTTGTTCTTGCGATAGTTTACTGAGAATGATGAGTTCCAATTTCATCTATGTCCCTACAAAGGACGTGAACTCATCATTTTTTATGGCTGCATAGTATTCCATGGTGTATATGTGCCACATTTTCTTAATCCAGTCTGTCATTGTTGGACATTTGGGTTGGTTCCAAGTCTTTGCTATTGTGAATAGTGCCGCAATAAACATACGTGTGCATGTGTCTTTATAGCAGCATGATTTATAGTCCTTTGGGTATATACCCAGTAATGGGATGGCTGCGTCAAATGGTATTTCTAGTTCTAGATCCCTGAGGAATCGCCACACCGACTTCCACAATGGTTGAACTAGTTTACAGTCCCACCAACAGTGTAAAAGTGTTCCTATTTCTCCACATCCTCTCCAGCACCTGTTGTTTCCTGACTTTTTAATGATTGCCATTCTAACTGGTGTGAGATGGTATCTCATTGTGGTTTTGATTTGCATTTCTCTGATGGCCAGTGATGGTGAGCATTTTTTCATGTGTTTTTTGGCTGCATAAATGTCTTCTTTTGAGAAGTGTCTGTTCATGTCCTTTGCTCACTTTTTGATGGGGTTGTTTGTTTTTTTTCTTGTAAATTTGTTTGAGTTCATTGTAGGTTCTGGATATTAGCCCTTTGTCAGATGAGTAGGTTGTGAAAATTTTCTCCCATTTTGTAGGTTGCCTGTTCACTCTGATGGTAGTTTCTTTTGCTGTGCAGAAGCTCTTTAGTTTAATTAGATGCCATTTGTCAATTTTGGCTTTTGTTGCCATTTTGACATGAAGTCCTTGCCAATGCCTATGTCCTGAATAGTAATGCCTAGGTTTTCTTCTAGGGTTTTTATGGTTTTAGGTCTAACGTTTAAGTCTTTAATCCATCTTGAATTAATTTTTGTATAAGGTGTAAGGAAGGCATCCAGTTTCAGCTTTCTACATATGGTTAGCCAGTTTTCCCAGCACCATTTATTAAATAGGGAATCCTTTCCCCATTGCTTGTTTTTCTCAGGTTTGTCAAAGATCAGATAGTTGTAGACATGCGGCGTTATTTCTGGAAGCATTCCCTTTGAAAACTGGCACAAGACAGGGATGCCCTCTCTCATCACTCCTATTCAACATAGTGTTGGAAGTTCTGGCCAGGGCAATTAGGCAGGAGAAGGAAACAAAGGGTATTCAATTAGGAAAAGAGGAAGTCAAATTGTCTCTGTTTGCAGATGACATGATTGTATATCTAGAAAACCCCATTGTCTCAGCCCAAAATCTCCTTAAGCTGAGAGGCAACTTCAGCAAAGTCTCAGGATACAAAATCAACGTACAAAAATCACAAGCATTCTTATACACCAACAACAGACAAACAGAGAGCCAAATCATGAGTGAACTCCCATTCACAATTGCTTGAAAGAGAATAAAATACCTAGGAATCCAACTTACAAGGGACGTGAAGGACCTCTTCAAGGAGAACTACAAGCCACTGCTCAATGAAATAAAAGAAGATACAAACAAACGGAAGAACATTCCATGCTCATGGGTAGGAAGAATCAATATCATGAAAATGGCCATACTGCCCAAGGTAATTTACAGATTCAATGCCATCCCCATCAAGCTACCAATGACTTTCTTCACAGAATTGGAAAAAACTACTTTAAAGTTCATATGGAACCAAAAAAGAGCCCGCATCGCCAAGTCAATCCTAAGCCAAAAGAACAAAGCTGTAGGCATCACACTACCTGACTTCAAACTATACTACAAGGCTACAGTAACCAAAACAGCATGGTACTGGTACCAAAACAGAGTATTTCTCCATTTCTTACATGTTTACTGGAATCATGATTCCTAACCATATACAAAAACAGCAAGGGAAATGCTGGTGGGGTCAGTTCTCCTAAAGTTTCAAATGTGCTGTAAATTGCAGAGAATTCTCAGACTTAATAGGAATATTATTTTTGTATACATGTGCTGGGGTTTTGGAGAAAGATTTATTTAAAAATGAAAAAAGGCCAGGTGTGGTGGCTCACACCTATAATCTCAGCACTTTTGGAGGCCAAGGCAAGAGGACCGCTTGAGGCCAGGAGTTCAAGACCAGCCTGTGCAACATAGTGAAATGCTGTCTATAAGAAAAATTTTAAAAAGTGGTATGTGCCTGTAGTCCTGGCTACTTGGGAAGCTAATGTGGGAGGATTGCTTGAGCCCAGGAATTCAAGGTTATAGTGAGCTATAATTGTGTCACTGTACTCTAGCCTGGGCAACAGAGCAAGACCTTGTCTCAAGAAAATGAAATTAAAAAAAAAATCCCCTTACTCCTAGAAAAGAAAAAGCCAATCAAAAACCTTTCTTGGACAATGAAATGCCAGAGGGTTTTATACCACACAGGGATAGTGCCACATCATGTCTTGTAGAAGAAGCATCCGTTTTTATAGAATCTAAATTGCAGTGAATATTATAGCATGCCATAAAAATATGCCGGGTGCACACAGAAATCACAGCAGACAGTCCTTGGACAATAATTCAATCTCACGGTGAAGTGATAGCAGCAGCTTTCTGGGAATCAACAGAGTGGGATGAAAAGCTCGTGTCTTTGGGGCAGAGAGCCCTGAATTCAAATTCTAGCTGTCATTTTTTTAGCCAGGTGATTAAAAAATGACTCGTTATTAGCCTCAGAAACTCATCTTCTTCATGTGAACACTGAGATCATGCAGCTCATGCAGCTATTGTAAAGATTAAGTGAAATACTGTAAGTCAGGACGCTAGCGCAGAATAGACACTCAACAAGAATTTCCTTTGCTCTTCTGTCTGTCAAAAATGCCAAGCTGGCAGAAGGTGCATTTATTCATCTGTGGGATTCCCCCTTTACCCTGAACATTTAAATTCAATGGTGAGACACAGGGAGGAAAGCAAGGGTAACTCTTCAAGACACTCTAGTCTGTGGTGTGCGATGCTGACGTCTGTATACCACGACGTGGACTTAACCAAGTGTTTCTTCTGATCTCTTTTCTTAGGACTAAATTCATCATTTTCTTCAGATTTCATGTCTTTTGTCATTTTGCCTCATCGCTGGTGCCTGTACCCACAGCAAATCCCAACAGAGGGTGGGATAATTAAGTGATATTGCCTCCGCACCACTGTGCCATCACCCCCTCCACCGGCCTTTCTCTAGCTGCGCATGAAAATTCTGCTGCTTCCCAGTGCATTTGCCAGGACATCTTTTCTCTCCGGCCCATTTGCCTCACAGATGCCCAGTGGTTGAGCCTCAGTTCCACAGACAGATCTACAGCTCAGAGGATGTTCAGTCTTCAAATGCAGCTTTGTAATTGGCAAGGGGTGCTCTTAGCTTGCTGGCTGGTCGTGAAACTAACAAAGCCCAGTCTTTGTGAGTGTGCTTTTAGGACACGAGCAGGGTAGCTTATGAATTTTTAATGCTCAAGCCAACGTTAATACCAATTAGTAGTGCCAAAGAAGAGAATTAAAACACTACTTCATGGAATGATAGCATCCTCTCTTTGACAAAAAAGCCCATGTGTTTTAATAGCCACCAATTCAATAAGGAAACTGCTTCTTAGATAGTTGAGTCTGTCTATTTCTGGAAGAGGGCACAGTACATATACCCAGCCGGTTGTGACTTTTCTTCATGGATTCTAAGGTCAATTATCTTAAGGTCTACTGATTGATTTTCTTTGCCCACTCATTTTCCTTTAATTTAGACAACCAATTATGTGCCTTTTAAGTTTTTTTCTCCCTCCACATATACTAGGAACAGCCATAATAAAGCATGAAGTTCCTTTCTCTTGGGATGGCTTTGAAATTCACCATTTTCTGTTTTGGCCTTCCTTTCCTTGAATATGCACACTTAAGGTCATCATAAATCTTATTCATTTGGGCAGCACTTGAACAAATGGCCCCTTTCCCCAGTTTTTTAGTGAATTTCTTTGAAACCTACTGTCCAATGTGTGCTCATCCTCCCTCCCCTTCTGCCCTCTGCCCCCACCCCCTGCTCCCCAGATGAAACTCCAGAGCGAAGTCTTTCTTACTTGGATTATTGTGTCCAGAGGATACAAGCTGAGAGTCCTGAAAGAACAAGAAATATCAATTAATTTTCTTATTTTGACTTTCAAAATCCAAGTTAAACATGAGATCATGTTTAAAACTGGTCATTCAGAACCGATTCATTGCTCTCAATCTCTATCAGCTACTTTAATGAGAAACATATACATGAAGGTGGACACATACATGTTAAGCAGTTCTGGGAATATACTTCACAATCATTTTTCTTTTGTATTAATGACTTTCTGTTTTGTTTATTGAGGTGAAGTTCACATAACATTAAAATTAACCATTTTAAAGTGAACAATTCAGTGGCATTTGGTACTTTCATAAGGTTGTGCAACCACTACCTCTATCTAGTTACAAAATATTTCCATCACTCTGAAGTCAAATCCCTTACCCATTAAGCAGGGTCTCCCATACCCCTGCCCTCCCAATGCCCCAGCCCCTCACAACCACCAATTTCCATCTGTCTCTTGGATTTATCTATTCTGGATATTTCATATAAATGGAATCATACAATATGTGACCTTTGTGACTGGCTTTTTACTTAACATAATGTTTTTGAGGTTCATCCACTCTGTAGCATGTATCGGTTCTTCATTCTTTTTATGGCTGAATAATATTGCGTCACATGGATATACAACAATGTGTTTATCCATTCATCTGTTAATGGGTATTTGGGCTGTTTCTACCTTTTGGATATTGTAAATAATACTGCCACGAATATGCAGGTATGTACACTAGTTCGAGTCCATGTTTTCAATCCTTTTGTGTATATACTTAGGAGCAGAATTTCTGGGTTATATAACTCTATGTTAAACTTTTTAAGGAACTGCCAAACGATTTTCCACAGCAGTGAAACCATTTTGCAATCCAACAATGTTTGAGGGTTCCAATTTATCTACACCCTTGTCAATGCTTGTTATTTTCCATTAAAAAATGATAGCTATCCTTGTGTGTATGAAGTGGTATCTCACTGCAGTTTTGATTTGTATTTCCCTAATAACTAATGATGTTGAGCATCTTTTCATGTGTTTGTTGGCCATTTGTACATCTTTGGAGAAATATCTATTCAAGTCCTTTGCCATTTTTTAATTGGTTTGTCTTTTTGTTGTTGAGTTGAATGAGTTCTTGATATAGTTTGGATACTAGACTGTTACCACATTTATGATTTGCAGTATTTCCTCCCATCCTGTCAATTGTCTTTTCATTTTATCAGTAATGTTCTTTGATGCACAAAAGTTCTAAATTTTCTAAATTTAAAGTTCTAAAAATTTTTAATAAAGTTTAGTTTACCTAATTTTTCTTTTGTTGCTCATGCTTTTGGTGTCATCGCTAAGAATCCATTGCCAAATCCAAGGTCATGAAGATTTAAACCTATGTTTTCCTCCCTGATACTTATGGTTTGGGTTCTTATACTCATGCCACTGACCTATTATCATATTGACTTTTAATCTAACTTTTCTTTGAATGAACCTTTACTGCCACCCATTTCCTGTAGATGGGTTTGGCAATCATCCCACCAGTAACACTCTATTAAACAACTGTTGTCAATCTCACGATGGTGGATAAAAAGATTAGTATGGTATCTACTTATCTGCAATGGAATAAAGCCAGTACTACACAGTATTTTAAGTTTAGTTATTGCTCAGGTAAATAGAGATTGAATTTGATTTTACTTGCATTAAAACAAAATGTTAAAATCTGTTTTGAGGATTTACATCCTCTTTCTTTGCAAAATTCTCATTTAATAGAAAGTAAACCACATACCATATGTTCTTATAAGTGGGAGTTAAGCTATGGGTATGCAAAGGCACATAGAGTGATATGATGAACTATGGAGACTCAGAAGTGGGAGGATAGGAGTGGGACATGAGATAAAAAAACTACATACTGGGTACAATGTACACTACTCAGGTGATGGGTACACTAAACTCTCAGACTTCACCACTATATAATTTATCCATGTAACCAAAAACCACTTGTACCCCAAAAGCTATTAAAATAAAAAAAATTTAAATATGAAAGACTTACACAAGAATGCGTGAATAGGAATGTAAAAAAAAAAAAAGGTAGCAGGACATAAAATCCAGCAAAACTCCTTTAAAATTTTGGCACATGGAACAAAAATCCATTGAAATTGAATGAACTTCTATTACGTGGCTTAATGTATTTTACCAGAATTTTGTTCCACGAGTATAGCTGTTATGGGGTAAAGGGTGTCATTTGATGTGACTTGTGTTATATTCAAATCCAAGTACTAATGTCTGCTTTAAAAAGAAATTCTACTGAAACAGTATAAAATGAGCCAGTCGGTGGGCAGAGGTTGGGTAGGAAAATTGAGACGGGAAGGGATTCCCACTCTATTAAACAGCCTGAGTCATATGCAGATGCCTAATAAACCTCTTTCAATTATGGTAATAATGAGCTATTCAACTGAAGAAAAAGAACAAGCTCAACTCTCACCCTGAGATTCAGTTTTTGGAAATGATTATATGAAGATGAAATATCGTTCCTGAAATGGACTAAAATATCATCTGTAAGAATGATTTTGGCCTATTTTGGATAGATGCTGTCACTAAGAAGACATCCACAATTAAATCCCCCATGTAGATTGGTACGTTTTCCTTCTCTTCAAGGGAATTCAAGAGTTTATATCTGGACATAAGTTAGTTTTAACTTTGGCACGTGAAAATACTTTGAGTCCCATTTAGTTAACTCTGCTGTCTGTAGATCTGGGCCATTTGGTGGCATCTGTACTAGGGAGGGGAAATACACACCATCAAATGGACAAGAATGGTAATTGACATAGTTTCCAGCATTAAGCTTATTTAAAAAAAAAAAAAGAAAGGAAAAAAAGAACAGAATTTTTTCTAAGACTGTTAACACAAAATATAATTATTTTATTTACTTATTTATTTATTTAGAGATGGAGTTTTGCTCTTGTTGCCTAGTCTGGAGTGCAACGGCACGATCTCAGCTCACTGCAGCCTCCGCCTCCCAGGTTCAAGCAATTCTTTTGCCTCAGCATCCCGAGTAGCTGGGATTACAGGCACCTGCCACCAGGCCCTGCTAACTTTTTGTATTTTTAGTAGAGATGGGGTTTCACCATGTTGGCCAGGCTGGTCTCAAACTCCTGGCCTCAAGTGATCCACCTGCCTCGGCCTCCCAAAGTGCTGGGATTACAGGCTTGAGCCACTGCGCCCGGCCTATCTTATTTATTTTTTAGAGACAGGGCCACATTCTGTTACCCAGTCTGGAGTGCAGTGGCACGATCATGGCTCACTGCAGCCTCAAACTCCTAGGCTCAAGCGATCCTCCTGCCTTCGTAGCTGGTACTACAGGCACGCGCCGCCATGCCTAGCTGAAATTGTTAATTTCTTGGTATGTCCTAAAACCCACAGGATGATTGTTGATCACAAGCAGAGAACCAGAGATGAGCTTACAGATGACCTGAATTAGGATTACAAACCATAAGATCATGTATCCCATAGATAGTAAACTTTAAATTTTAACTAAAACACCTGTGTGATTAATAACCATTATTATTTCTGTTTTGTGTGATAGGGAGTGAAGAGAGACTTCAAAATGGTTGAAATAATTGGTATAAAAAAAATCTCTGTGGAAGTCTTCTGTAGGAGAGGCAAGAATAAAATCAAAGACTTTGTCCCTAATATATACTCTCATGTTGCTAGCTGATGTTTTCTTGGTGGTACATTGAAACAACAACTGCTAGTGCCAAAGTAATTGGCTATAAACCCAGTGTTCTAAACTGTGCCACTCTGCGGGTACAAATAATGTCCCATTATCATTCTTACCGGCATTTGGCCAGCCTGCTTGTGGAGGGGTCAGCTACCTTACCAGGCCACTCCCACATTTTAGGTCCTCTTATCAGACACCCTGATAAGGTGTCTGCTGGCAAACCTCGGGTCCTGGGGCTGCAGCTTTTGAAGGAGGACTGTTCTTCCCAGCCAGCTGCAAAACCCCAGGGGCCCCACAGGCTATGCAGCTCTCTTATTCTTCACAGAGCCAGAGCAAGGCTGGGTCCAGAACAGAGGGAGACCAAAGTTCCTTTCTCCAAAGGGACCACACACTGAAGTCCTTTCCACTTTTGTGTCTCCTGCCACCCCATCCAGATACCTACATATGTGTAGCTTCTGTCTCACCAGCCTTCTCTCCCCTTGCAAATGTCTTCTGTAGGTAGGTGCCTGGGGAGGTCCAGCCCCATCTGTGCATTGGTATTGTCCCCCTCTGGGAGCACTCTACTAGGCCTGCAAGATTCTCTACTAGGCTTTTTAAGGGTTACAGAAGTGAGTCCAGCAAGTTAGCGGTGGAGGTGACATGTGTACAAATCATTAGAGCCCAAGGCTGAAAGTGATGTGGTGACTGCCACTCCCAATACTTCCAGCTGTGTATCCTGTTCTGATCCCCTCCCCCTGGAATGCTCATCCTGCTGCTTTCTGTTTCCTGCCTGGCAAATTTCATTCTTCCTTCGAGGCTCTGCACAGGTAAACTCAAGGGTTACCCTGTGCTTTGAAACCTTCTTGACTCTAATGTTTTTGCTACACTGTGTCATACTTCCATTACAGTAATTATTTTTTCAACAATGACTTTAAAAAAAAGTATAAGTGACAATAACACAAACCGTACATATTTAAAGTTAACAATTTGATAACAAGTCTCACATGAGGAAGGCTACCATTATTACTTTCTTGACCCAAGGATGGCTCTGTAACACCTATTCATTGACGAAAAATCAGCAAAAGTGTTAGCTGCCAGCCCCTGGAAACCACGATTCTCCTCACTGCTTCTGTGTGTCGATTTTAGATTCTACATATAGGTAATGACATCTAGTACTTGGCTTTCTGTGTCTGGCTTAGTTCACGCAGTACAATGTCTATGCTGTGTGTGTGTGTACACATATGTGTGTGTATGAATAATATATGATGTATCAGAAATGTGACTATAGTTAACAATGAGGGTAGATCTTTAGAAATTTATTAGGAGGTAATGTTCTCATCACCAAAAAGAGAAAAGAAAATGGTAACTATGTGATATATAACTTGGTAACTATTGATATATTAATTAGCTTGATTGTGGTGATTATTTCACAATATCAAAACATCAAGTTGTTTACCTTAAATACATACAATTTTTGTCAATTACACCTCAATAGAGCTAAAAAATGAAATTTTTGTACTAATGATTTAAAGTCTTAATTTTACCTCAGAAGTCAAGTCATTACTTGCACTTAAGCATCTACATGAAACAAAACAGAACAAACTGGTACAATATTTTTGGAAAAGTCGTAATAAACTGTGCTTTGGTATGTGCCCAGTTATATCAAAAGTTGTACTTATACCATGATACCTACACATAACAAAAATGTCTATGATTCTATTTTGGGTCTGGATTATCTTGGCTAGATTACGTGCAAAGATTCTAAGCATTGTGCATTTTATTCTAAGGATGGCAGGGTGCCACTGGAAGTACACACTGAATAAACTGTTCAGTTAAATTCCCCTGTACTCAATGGAAGGGCTAGAAGCCTGGGAACTTCACATGGGTTCTGATGTCAATTCCACCAATGAGATGCCACATTTCATTCACTGAGGTGTTGCCTACAAAGCCTTAACTATTTACTATATGATCCTTCACTGAAAAAGCTTCTTGACCTCTGATTCGAACAATGAATTCTTGGGAAAGAATTAGATAAACATGTCGAAAAACAGAATAGACAGTCCGGAGACAAATCCATGTATTTATGAGAAGCTCAACTATTGACATAGGGTATTTCAAACCAGTGATGGGGTGAATGGGCTATTACACTGATAGTATTATAATAACTTACTGACCATTGAAAAGAAGAAAACAAGAATCCTACATCGTAACATCCACAACTAAAACAAAGTATAAGAGAATTAGAATAAAATAGAGGACACTTAGAATATTGGAGCAGGAAAGATCTTTTTTCTCTGACATAAAAATTAAACACTTTGCTAGTGTAAAAGCACATAAAAAAGGTTTGCAAGAAAGTAGTTGTATCATATATAATAGATAAATGAATAAGAGTTAAGGAGTTCCTACAAATTAGTTTTTAAAAAGTGGTAATGGGTAATGAACAGGCAATTTGCAAAGGAAAAACAGTCAATGCTCAAGCTTAGAAGTAACTGGGAAAATGCAAATGAAAACAACAAGATATCAACTTTTCATTCATCATACAGACACACTGATAAAAAACCCAGATGATAATAATCATTGGCAAAGATATGTAAAAAGTACTTTTTTTTTTTCTTTTCTTTTTTTTTTTTTTGAGACAGCGTCGTGCTCTGTCACCCAGGCGAGAGTGCAGTGGCGTGATCATAGCTCACTGTAGCCTCGACCTCCTGGGCTTAAGTGATCCTCCTGCTACCTCAGCGTCCCAAGTAGCTGGGACTACAGGTGTGCCACCATGCCTGGCTAATTTTTTCATATTTTTGTTGAGATGGTGTCTCACTATGTTGCCCAAGCTGGTCTTGAACTCCAGACCTCAAGCAATCCTCCTGCCTTGGCCTCCCAAAATGCTAGGATTACAGGTTTGGGCCAACACGCCTGGCCAAAAGTACTCTTGAAACACAATCCAAAGTAACTGTGGCTTCTGATGCCCAGAACCACAATTCCTACTCAAGGTATCCTTATTAGAGGCATTCAAAGAGGCATTTGATCTAACAGTGTTTGTAATAATAACAAGCCATACATAATCTCAGTGTCCACTGAAAGGAATCTGATTAAATTATGGTAAATTTATACAAAATATTTTGCTGCTGTTTTGAAGAATGAAGAAAATCTCTATATATTCACTTGAAAAGGTCTTCAAATACGTTTTATTGTAAGAAAAATCAACTCT
The DNA here is from genome assembly GCF_000001405.40 of Homo sapiens. Lineage (NCBI taxonomy): Eukaryota > Metazoa > Chordata > Mammalia > Primates > Hominidae > Homo > Homo sapiens. The sequence goes on from NC_000002.12 coordinate 99,751,006, forward strand.
TAGAATGGAATTTATCTTTGTGATAACAGCATGAACAATTCTTTCAATAATTCACCTTAGAAAGCGGTGATATTGACAGTTATTTACTTTTTTGTTTTGTTTGTTTTTGAAACAGTCTCCATCTGTCACCCAGGCTGGAGTGCAGTGGCACAATCTCAGCTTACTGCAAGCTCCACCTCTCAGGTTCAAGTGATCCTCCTGCCTCAGCCTCTCAAGTAGCTGGGATTACATGCATGCACCACCATGCCTGGCTAATTTTGTATTTTTAGTAGAGATTGGGTTTCAGCATGTTGGCCAGGCTGGTCTTCAACTCTTGACCTCAACTGAGCCACCTGCTTTGGCCTCCCAAAGTGCTGGGATTACAGGAATGAGTCATCATGCCTGACCAGAAAGCTGTGATATTGATATTTAGTAACGATACATATTGTTGAAAAAAATCAACTTTTGGAAAAAATGCTCTTACTATACAACTTAGGAATTGGAAAAATATACATATTTTCTATATATAATGCACAGGGAAAATGAAATGGCACATAAACTCCTGATAGTAATCTCTGGGTAGGGAAATAATCTCTGGCTTGGAGTGCCAGGGATGTTGAGATTTTGGTCTCTTCCCATTTGTATAATTTGATCCTTCATAATGAGTATGTAGTATGTGTCAGTTATTCAAATCAAAGAAAGCCTATTAGACTCATGTATATAGTCATTTATTTTGTGGCCAATTTTTTGGTGTGCTTTTCCTTAGAAAATATAGATATCTTTTTTTAAGTCCTAGAAAATATCTTAAGCTTTAAAAAAGATATTCAGGGAAATTAAATACCACACGTCTTCAATACTAAGACATTGATTTTAAGATACATCATTAATTTAATAATAGCTTTTCAGAAAAATCCAGGACATACAATTTTATACATCACATTGAATGTTTAAAATGATTATAAGATGCATTTCAACTTCATGAATGTTTTTTAGACAAAATGATAATTACAGTAGTATCACATTTTGCAGAGAAGTGTAGGTAAGTAAGATTGGAGGCTTGATTCTCCCCCTTTCATAAATGAATAAGTATGCGCTTGCAAATTGTGAAGGATCAGATTCACGTGCCTCTGGCAGGAATATTTACAGAAGAAAAGACAATCACGGGTAAAGCCCACTGCCCACTAGAAATGCCTGCATGAGTGAAACATATTCCTCCTGAGGGATGCAAGATCTCACCTTATTTGGAAATGGAAATTTGGTTGGTTCCACTTTGCCAGGTGCTTGAATAGCAGAAAGTGGTGGAAGCCAGGTCATCTCCTGAAGGACGGGATAAAAACAAACAATATTGTGATACAGACAGTATTTAAAATCAGCGGTATGTAAAGCAGCTGTACAAGTGGGCCTTCATAAGGCAGGGAAGGGTTAAAAAATGTACAAAGGCTGAAAGAATTTTAAAAAAAGATGTGAAATCCACTTTTATGATTTCATTTCCTAATTTTACCAATTCTTGACTCCTTGGCTCTCCCCATGCTCCCTTTATACCTTAAAAAAGTTTGCAAGGCTGTCCTATTTTCACTTCATTTAAGGTCCTGAGTAAAGGGACAATCTAGTAGCAAAAGTTCTATGGAAAATGCCACATGAAGGGGACTCGGACTTGATCCCACAGAATTCACAGGGTGTCTCCAAAGAAATGCATAAGGTACTTTTAACTTTATGAATCTTTATTAGAGGAGTTATTTATACAATTAGAAATAAAGTATCAGTTCTCAATAAGGCCCACACATCACTTTGGTCTTCATAAAATGTCATTCACGGAGAGTGAAAAAACAAATCACGCCTATGAAATACAGAGACAGAATGATGTCATTTCTTATAACACAGTATTAAGAACACAACATGAGCTTAACATGGAATAATTTCTCATCCACTTTTTGACACACTTTCTCTAAGCCTTGGGAAAGGGAGAGAGGGGTTGTTTTATTCACTTCCAGTATTCACCTTCAGTTTCATCTCTGGAAGGGAGTTCCAATCAATAAATGATTACAGAATTACATTGATTTCTGATGACCAGGACGCCAACTTGGAGTTTACGAATTAGATGTGAACCCTATTATTATTATTATTATTATTTTTTGAGATGGAGTCTCACTCTGTTGCTCAGGTTGGAGTGCAGTGGCGTGATCTGGCTCACTGCAACCTCTGCCTCCCAGGTTCAAGTGATTCTCCTGCCTCAGCCTCCTGTATAGCTGGGATTACAGGTGCGTGCCACCATGCCTGGCTAATTTTTGTATTTTCAGTAGAGATGGGGTTTCACCATGTTGGCCAGGCTGGTCTCAAACTCCTGACCTCGGGTGACCCGCCCACCTTGGGCTCCCAAAGTGCTGGGATTACAGGCATAAGCTACTGCGCCTGGCCGAACCCTATTTCTTGATTTGCCTGCACTTCCAAACCTAAGCAAGCACAGAAGCAGTGGTCGATCCATTTTCAGAAAAGTGAGAAATTCTCTCGCTCGAGGTGAGGACATTTCCTTACCTCCCTTTGGCGGGTGGGTGTTGAAAAGCGATTCTGTCAGGCTTTTGGAAGGAAAGAGCTCTTGGGAATGGTCGGGCACCTTCTTTTCTTGGGTCATTCACCTCCCCCAGCACCTCAGATAGTGCAGAACCCACACAGGAAGCCGTGGGAGGGCGAGTGTGTTCAAAGCCATGTGGGAAGGATTTACTGACCCCATATCATCTCTCCCACACCACGACACGTGACACAGACAGTAGGTGGGTTAGGCACATACGCATTCTAGGTGTCCCTTCTCCATTCTGGTGTTACCAACCAATTGTATACAATTTTATACATCACAAAGCAAAGCAAAGGTGGATCCAGTGACCCTTTAAACTGTCCCTCTCTCCTCCCATCTCTGCCCTGCTGGTGCCTTGGTCTCCCTTTGAGGAGGCTGATAAGCAGGACTGTCAAGTTTGCGTCCACAGTGGCATCTTTGTCCATGGAGTCAAGGAACTATTCGTCATTCTCAGAGTTGGGCCACCTTGTCTAGGACCTGGTCAGCTCTTACCCAGAGTGTTACTACCCGATTAAGAAAGCCATGAAGACACAAGTGGGTTTTCCATACCTTGGCTCCCCCATAGGGCCATCTCTCCTCTACAAGGTTTCTGATTTTATCCTTCCATTTTCATTACTGGAGAGGATATGTGATTTTGCTATAAGTGGCTTCAAATCTTCTGTAGAGAAATTATTCATCAATTACAAACTATTAAACCAATTGTCCTTTTCCTCTTTTGTTGACTGTCTGATGTGTCCCTGAGTCCATCCCACTGCTAATCAGCCACTCAATAGCTTCCTTTGCAATCACTCTTTCGCTTACACAATTTACATTGTCTGATCCTCAGGGGACAACATTGCGAAGTACAAACTAATTACTCATGATTAAACATCAGACTTACACATACCACCCCGGTATGTCTATGTTAACTTTGCATACAGACTCCCTCTGTGTATCAGAATGCCTCACATTTGTGCAATTTTTCTCTGACTGTAGCTAAAATCCAAAAAGATAAACTATTATTTCAGCGTGTCCTCCAGCAACTCAAGAATAAATAAAATGAAAAGTCCATAAAAAATGAGTAACAGTACTTTCAAAAGAACACTTCCTAGACCAACAGCTTCTTACAACTGACACTTTCAGGTTCAAATCTGTTTAATACACCGTTTATCCAAGAGTGGAATAGCAGACAAACTTTGAGATACCACTAAGCTGTGATTCTTAAGGGTGGAAACTGTCCTCCTGATCTTCGTACCTTAATCAGGGTCCATCCCTGAGCACCCACTCATCCCCTGAACATTTCCTGAAAACTTACCATTGGCAGGCACTGTAACTGTGTCTTATGTACACGAAGTGCTCAGTTCAGCATCTACTGAATTTGAAAGTTAGGGTATCGGCTCTGGCTGTGTCTATTATCAGTCTTTCTTCTCTAATTCCAGCTATGCTTGTAATCAATCTTTCCATTTCTTTCTTTCTTCCTTCCCTCCAACTCACCTATTCATTAATCCAATAACCACCCAACCTCAAAAGCAATATCCACAGAAGGCAGATGACACATTCTCTTAGCTTGCTGTCCTCATGCAAATACCCCTTCTCCTTTGAAGCTCTTGCCAGGTGGTTTTGGACCCTCACTAAAGATGAGCTGCATCTTTTTCTGTCCACTCCACTCCTTTAAATCAGACTAACGGCTCCCTCCAAAATTGCCTCCTGCCCTCCCTACCTTCATGATATTTTCCTATTTTTTTTTTTTTTTGAGCTGGAGTTTTGCTCTTGTTGCCTAGGCTGGAGTGCAATGGCGCGATCTCAGCTCACCGCGACCTCTGCCTTCCAGTTCAAGCAATTCTCCTGCCTCAGCCTCCCGAGTAGCTGGGATTACAGGCATGCGTCACCACACCTGGCTAATTCTGTATTTTTAGTAGAGATGGGGTTTCTCCATGTTGGTCAGGCTGGTCTCGAACTTCCGACCTCAGGTGATCCGCCTGCCTTGGCCTGCCAAAGTGCTGGGATTACAGGAGTGAGTCACCGCGCCCGGCCCCTATTGGTTTTTTAAAGGCAACTGGGCAATCTTATGGGCACCCCCAAGCATTTCTTTTCACCTTCTTGACATGTTCTTCTTCTGAGTCCATCTCTGCTCCCCTCAAATTTTTGGCTTCACAACCCTGACTTTAACTCTGATCTTTGGACTTCGTCTTGAAGATTCGGAATCTTGGCTTTTCCCAGTCTACTCTGAGCCAGCTCATTCCAGGGAATCGCCAGGCCCTATTTCTCATCCGGTAAAAATCGGCATATCAAATTGCTCTTGAAATTCAACACCCAACACTAGCCACCTTGCAGACATCTTAGCTGGCTTCTCCTACACAAGGGGAGAATCAATGGTAGGTCCATACAAATCTGGATCAAGCCCTCATGTCTCCATTTTTGGACCAAGCTCTCATTCTGGCTTCTCTGATTCTATACTTGGGCTCCTTAGGAAAGGTAACTGTGCACAATGGTGGGATACAGAAGTAGGACACGGACTTCTCTAAACTTGGGCCCTCCTTTCCTTCTCCTTTGAGGCTCTTGCCAGGTGGTTCTGGATCCTCATTAAAGATGATCTGCATCTTTCTCTGTCCACTCCACCCCTTTAAATCAGCCTAATGGCTCCCTCCAAAATCGCCTCCTGCCCTCCCTACCTTCATGTCTTTCTATTGGTTTTTAAAGGCAATTGGGCAATCTGGTGGTGGCTTGGGCCATGTGGCTTGGGCAATCCTTGAATTCATTCCTAGTCTGTTCCTTTTTCTGAGTTCCTCAAACATTCTTTCCACATTGGTGATTTTTCTTGAGCCTCACTTTGATCCCTGCTTTCTCACAACAGGTGACCCTGCCTCCTATGGCACTGAATAAACAAAGGCTCTTAAGTGTAAATGTTTCCCAAGGACAGACCTGTGGGTGTTCATGCCTGACCCCGTTGCCTTCCTTCTGGTCTGACTGGAAGAGGCATGAGTTCCAAGCTAATACCTGCCTGCACCCTCTGTCTGTTACTCTGTCCTTGGGGATCCAGTTCCATCAGTATCTCACTGGTATTGGTTTAACATCAATCTTTCCTTCTCCACTGGCTTTTTCCCCCAAGACTGACAAATGATCTCAGGCCTCAGCCCTTCCTGACACTGTATTCCTCCTCCAGCTGATCTTCATTTCTCTATTTCTCTTGATAGCTAACACTCTCAAAGAAGTCTTTATACTTGCTGTTTTGACATCCTCACCTACCATTTCTATTTTTGACTTAAGATTTTTTGTTGCAGATTATACACATAAGAGTCCATATAATATTGTGCATGTGTGTGTGTAAGCTTAAGATTAATGAAACGAATACCTGTGAACTCATGACCCACCTTCACATTTCCAAGACCTTAGCAACCACTTTCAATAGAAGCAGCCCTGACATAACTCCTTCTGTTGTCAAGGGCATTGGATTTCCTTGAATGCTCATTTCCCCCTGACTCTCTTCCCCCGTGGCTCCCACGCTGTCCTCCTGGCCCAGCTCCACTCTCGGAGATCTCATGCTCATTCTTTTTTGCTGAAACTTCTTTTCTCTCACTGTTCCTTGGGTGTTTTGTGTTCAGCCTTCCTCTCACTACCCTTCTTTCCCTGGCTGATCTTGCTACTGTGGCTTTAAAAACCATGTGGTATGCTGGTGATGCCTAAAAGCACATCCAGGTCTAACGTGCCCACTCTAGATGTCTACTGAGCCACTCAACCTGGGTGCTCATGAGCGATTCAAACTCACCATGTTTAAAGCTAAACTTACACGCCACACAAACTTTTCTTCTTCTTGTACTTTATATGCTGGTTAATGGCAGCAACATCTATTAACTCTTCAAGTCAGCATACCTGGAGTTATGCCAGATTCCTTCTCTTTCACTCCCTCTCTCATAATAATAACAATAATTCTCATTTATTAAGCATTTAAAATATATTATGCACGATTTTAAACGCTTTATGTGATTTGCTTAATTCTCATACCCACCCTGAAAGGTAGGCTTTATTATTTTCTTACTTTATAGATGAGGAAACTAAGTCACTAAAAGGTTAAGTGATTTGCTGAAGTTCACCCAGCAGCTGGACTTAACCATATCCTGGGCTACCTCTAAGTGGATCCAAGACCTTGTATATTCTAGCCAACTCCTAACTCCAGCCTCTCAAGCTGAGATCCCCTGAATATACCACGCTTTGCACATGCTGGTAGCACCTCCCAACCTCCTATTGTTTGCTGGGTTGTTTACTCATCAGTCAAGACCCAGCTCCATTTCCTCCTTTGCTATGAAGTCTTCTTTGGCCAAACCAAGCCACCGTTGACTCAACCTTCCTTTGTGCCACATTTCCCACGTACAGGTCTCTTTTAGAACACTTGTCCCCTCTATTGTGGTTACTTGTTTATACATCAGTGCCTCCCCTCTAACCTGTGATGAACCCCTCAAGGCTGTGTATTTTTTGTCTGGTGGCCCAGCACCTAATACAGAGCCTGGAGCAGAATGGGTGCTCACTTCATTTCTGAACAAATACTGAATTGAACATTCAGCAGTGAATCTCTGCAGTGTGTCTACCTTTCTCTCCTTTCTGTTACCTGAACTGCCATCCTAATCACACCTTCATTATCTTTAACCTGAAGTACTCTTATAGCATCCTGATTGGTTCTCTGTCTTCTGTTAGCAGTCCACCCTCCACACTGCTGCAAACTCAATTTTCGTAATTCAGAAAAACTTCACTGCTCTAAAAATCTTCACATGCGGTCGGGCAGAGTGGCTCATGCCTGTAATCCCAGCACTATGGGAGGCCAAGGCGGGAGGGAGGATCACCTGAAGTTAGGAGTTGGGAGACCAGCTTGGCCAACATAGTGAAACCCTGTTTCTACTAAAAATACGAAATTAGCCAGGCGTGATGGCGCGCGCCTGTAATCACAGCTACTCGGGCAGCTGAGGCACAAGAATCGCTTGAACCTGGGAGGCAGAGGTTGCAGTGAGCCGAAATCATGCCACTGCACTCCAGGCTGGGTGACAGAGCGAGACTCCATCTCAAAAAAAAAAAAAAAAAAGCTTCATATGCATCATCACATCACAATGATGATGATGATGGCAATGGTGACGCTGAAGATGATGATGGCTCCTATTAAGTTTTAGTTTTCAAAATACTTCCCCATGCATTTTGTCACTTATGCCCAATCTTTAACGCAACAATTGCCATCTCCATAGTACAGCAAGGAAGTTAAAGCTCAAAAAGATTAACTGATTAGTCCAAGGTCACTCAGTTTCTAGGTTTGGCCAGATAACTCTTTACTCCCAGTCCAGTATTTGTTTTCCAATCTATTGAATTTACCCTCAGAATCCTCACCCTAGTACTCAAGACCTTCTACAATAAGGTCCCAGTCTTCAGCTTCATGCCTTTTTATTGCTCTACAAATACTCTACCTACAAGAAAAACTAGCCTCTGCTTTTACTTACACCATCCCCTTAGTGTGTGAATACCCTTCCTCATATGTCTCTGAGTCTCTTTTTATCCATTAAGGCTCATCTCAAACATCATTTGTGTCTTGAGGCTTTTGCAGATTTCCCTTCTATGCCAATATAATAGGATAGTTCTCTGCTCATGCTCCTCCAAAGCACTTATTTCTTTTTCTCTTACATTCTGTTTTGTGTTATAGTTTTATGAATATGTACTTCAATCTACACCCAACCATTTATCTCTCTTTGAATGCTCTTTCTCCAATGTGAAATAAAAGCAATACTTAGGAATCCTAATAATCTCTTTTAAGAGCATTCAGTTTTACTAGGCATAATCCCCAAATAGGAATTCTAATAATCCCTTTCAAGAGCATTTGGATTTACTAAACATAATCGCCTAAAGAAGTAATATAAATTTCCTCTGAGAGGGATATTTACTTATCTTTGTGGAGACTGGAACATCTTACATAGTAAGTGCTCTATATAAACTTGTTGAATTGAACTGAACATCCACATTTCAATGCAAACTTGCTTGCTAATTTTGCTTTAATTATAGCTAAGTATTTCCGTGTGATTTTTCCATCTAACAAATTCTACTAACTACATGAAGGAATAGTAAAGAAAATATGGTTACTTAAAGCATTCAGGTCTGTAAGAATTTCCAAAACCTAAGAATTATTTCTATGATTTTAATACATTTATAATGTAATGCAAATACAAAATATGTAATATACATACAAAATGTAATTTATGAGGTACAATGCTTTTATAAGATTGATTATCCATTACATTAAAATTTCACACTAGAATTGCATGGGAAAATCAAGGGCGAATGGACTATCCTGATTTCCTCTTCTATCACTTGCTAGCCTCCTGAGCTTAGGTAAGTCACATGCTCAGTAAACTACCGTGATTTCAAGCTGTGGACTTTACGATCAATCAGATCTCAGTTTGTGGTACCTTACAACCAGAGGAAATGGGGATATAACTATCCCATGGTTTAGTCATAAAGATTAAATGAGATCATACATACATACATATATAAAGAAACTAGTATAGTTCCCCTCCCATTTAAGCATTCAATAAAAGACAGTACTGATTAATATCAAGCTGAGTTTCTGAATTGTCTCTAAAATGAGAAATATAACTTCACTCTGAGCTTTAGTTGTTGGGAGTCTGAGATGAGAGAATATATGGGGAAGAGTTTTTTAAATAAAAGAATAAGTATCATGCAAATGTAGCCTGTAATTAAGCTAGGATTATTAATGCAAACTATGTATTACTAAAACAGAAAGATATTTAAAGAGATTATTATTATTCCTAAGTATGATCTGTACTTTTTATTGGAGAAAATGTCCCTAAGTTTTTTCATAGAAACAGATTTCTGACAAAATAATAGTCAGTGGGATAATACGATTTGATAAAAATGTATTTCATTTGCACCTCATTTCTGGTAATGATTTAAAATATAAGCAAAGGTAAAATTTATCATTCCTGCTAAAATTGCACTTAGCTTGCTCCACATTATTTTATCACTGAGAAACAATGCTATTTCATTACAAGGACACTGATCCCACGTCACTGTAGCCATGGTCCTCACCCCTGCCTGTGTTCCCCACTTCACCCCCAACCACCCTTTCATTGCTGCTTTGCCTCTATTGACCTACTTTGGCCATCCTTTAACCACTTCCCAGACCATATGTAAGACAGGAAGAGAAATGTAATGTTTAAAGCCACTTACTCCAAAGTCTAGCTGGCGACCTTCGGATCTTATAAACTCCCCTGCCCTTTCTTTGCTTTGTCTGCCTTCTCTCCTTTTTCATTTTCTTGTCACTCAGGAATAAGCCTGTACCCTATTCCCCTACTCTTGAGAGGTCCTCAGTTTTGCCCTTGGGGTTTCTTAGTCACCTGCCCTTTTTTTTCCTTTTTTTTTTTGAGATAAAGTCTCACTAAGTTGCCCGGGCTGGCCTCAAACTCCGGGGCTCATATGATCCTCCTGCTTTGGCCTCCCGAGTAGCTGGAACACAGGTGCAGGCTGCCATGTCCCACTCCTTAGCCTTTTAGATACTCCAGGTGATGGAACTGAGAATCCACGTATCTGCCTCAACACAGCATCGCCAGTCCCTTCTCCCTACACAGATGTCTAGTTACTCAAGGGATACGTTCAGGTGACTTCTTTTTTTTTTTTTTGTATAGGCTTATAATGCCAAGACTCTTTATATTAAATATACTCACTTTTCTCCTAAAATGAAAGAATAGATGGTTAAATGATAAGGACACAGAATATTGCTCTTCATAACTGGCTAACGTTTTCTCTATCCTCCATATCCCAATTTTCAGGAGGTCATGGGCACATGGGCCAGTTTCCATTTTCACGTCTACTCTACAGCAAGACTGACGCCAGTCTCCAAGAACCCACACACTGATGGTGCATAGACTTTCATGTGCTCCATCTGCACAATGCCCTCCATGTAGCTGACCACTCTTCTGATGCCAGCTGCCTCTGCCTGTTTTAGGACAAGTGACAGGAGGCCTTGGGCATCCCCACCTCACGTAGCAGCTCTTTGTTACCAAAGGAGAGAAGAAACAAAAATAGAATTTTAGCCTCAAGTTAAATCTTCGAGTTCAGAGTGTGCAGCTATGAAGACCTGCAAAGTCTGTTTAGCTTACAATAGGTTCAACTAGAAAAAATTTAAGCCATGTTTTCATTTCCCTATTAAAACAAGTGAGGAGAAAAACACTTTTCCTGGTCTCTCTCCCTTGTCTGTCACTGCCACAGGAGAGTTCCATCTCGAACACTTACTATGTCACCTTTGTTCCAAAGTTTCCAGTGACCCCGGTCCAATTGTTCAAGATGCTCTGTCACATGGCACCATCAAGGACCACTGTGGCATTACCGCCTGCTGCTTTTCTATACACTGTCTTCCCCAAGCCTGATGTCTTACTTCTTGTCCTGCCCCAGGCTTTCCTGCCCCCATCTTGTTTCTCTTTTCCTTTCACGTTATTCCATCTCACTTACCTCTGCATTCTTTCTCATCCTGGCCTGTCTGTGAAGGTGACCTGTGCTACCCTGAGCGAGCCCTCTCTACCCTCCACTTATATATAATCAATGCCACTTTTTTTTTTTTTTTTTCAGATGGAGTCTCGCTCTGTCACCCAGGCTAGAATGCAATGGCGTGATCTCAGCTCACTGCAACCTCTGCCTCCCCTGTTCAAGCGATTCTCCCGCCTCAGCCTCCTGAGTCCTGGGACTACAGGCACATGCTACCATGCCCAGCTAATTTTTGTATTTTTTAGTAGAGACGGGGTTTCACCATGTTGGCCAGGCTGGTCTCAAACTCCTGACCTCAGGCGATCCACCTGCCTTGGCCTCCCAAAGTGCTGGGATTACAGGTATCAGCCACCGTGCCCGGCCAATGCCACTTATTTAGCAACTACATGCTACTCAGTGCTGTGAGCTTTCTTGTCATGTGTTACCACTATCAGAATATTTTTAAAATCCCTACTAGATTACAAACTCTTCGAGGGAAGGGATCATGTCTAATAATGCTCTTGTAACTCCTCAAAGGCCTAGCACAATGGTCAGAATAATAGGAATTAATTGAACTTCTCTGTAAGTCTCTTTTCTTGCCTGTGAAATAATGGTAGCAAGAAATTACACTGGTTTCACCAAGCGTATGTGACTGTTGCCAGGATTGAAGGATCTGCCTGGCAGATGACCGCAGTTAACTCCAGAATTCTTTGTGCTCAGAAACTTACTGTTTTCTAAACAAGACACGGGATGAATTCTGCGACTTGGGAATAAAAATGCAAGATGCTCACGTTGATGTTTATGTGTGGCAGTGGCTGCTGATCACAGTGTGATTTCATTTTCAGTTTCTGTATCAGAATAATCATTCAGCTTTTCAGTTCTTCTCACACGTATTATTCGTGTTATGACACTCTTATCAGATAAGTGCTGCCAACAACAGACATGGTGATTTTTACAACACTGCATCTCATCTAAATGCTGGCAGCTAATGCCACTGTACCTGGTGAAGAGGAAAACACCCCTACGGGCCTGTACCTGGGACACCAGGCAGTAGCCCTGGAGTAAGATCAAGTGGGAGACACATATTCCTCCCCTAATGGGACTGCAGTGTGCATTCTGCCTGTCAATCCATTCCTAGCATTTGTGGGCAAAGACCCAACATCCCCCTTTAAACACAGATTCCAGGGTCAGGCTGGAAGGCTCAGAACTAGGAAGTCACACTTAAAACCTTTAAGTTGGCCTCTAAATCAACAAAAATTCACAAACAACCTTATTTTACCACTCTACAGTAAAAAACAAACAAACCTGTATAGTTTGAAAAATAATAAATATAATGCATTCATATCGATTAATATTAACAGGCCAGGAACAGTAGCTCACGCCTGTAATCCCAGCACTTTGGGATGCTGAGGTGGGAGGATCTCTTGAGCCTAGGAATTCTAGGTTTCCGTGAACTATGATTGCACCACTGCACTCCAGCCGGGGTGACAGAGGGAGACCCTGTCTTTAATCACAACAACAACAACAATAATTAGCATTTTGATGGAAATACTACTGATTGAAAACTTTTAGGAAAATGGTAGCTGCTGAAAAAAGTGCCTTTAAAAAATATCTATTTCTCATAGTATAGCATAGGCTGCTAAAATGCCAGAAACCAAAATTGCAACTGATTCAAACACAGATACAAACCAGCAAATAACCAAAAAGACTGCAAAAAAGAGGGTTAACAAAAATCGTAGCAAAATCTTGTTTCTTCAATCTGAAAACCCAGGAATATGTCCAGTTTGAACTGAAACAGGCCTGAGAAGGGGATTCCTGGGAGCTGTACACGTGTTTTCTGGTCTTATACCGACCCACTGGATGACAGGATCTCAGAATGGGACGCTGATTAATCTACTTCATTGCAGTGCCTGAGCTTCTGAACTCTGCCCCTGCCTGCGATGAGGTTAATCATCAAAGGATAAAATGGGGGTAACAATCAATAGAATCAGTTTGAGAGGCAGCTTTCAGTTCAGGTTTTGCAGACTGACAAGTACGAAAGTAGCCATTCAAACTGGAAACACTGAGGGTAACTCAGACCTGTGCATCCCACTTGCTCCTTGGTCTGTAGATTCTCACTTATCTAAAAGCAGAGGCCACAGGGCATCTGGCCTTTCATTACTTCCTTTGCATCATCAAAAGCACTCCTTATTGCAGGGAAGTCAATTCCATGCCACTGGAGACCCTACCTTTCACCTCCTTGACTTCAGCTTCCCTGGAAACTGAACTCTCCACAGAGAGGATTAGAACATTGAGAAAAGTCAAGATACAGTCTTCACCTTAAAAGTTTGTTTCATGCTAGATCCCTTAATTTTGGACCTTTCTGGAGAATTCTTGTTCTCGTTTTGCATTTTTCCAGCTTTCTTTTGGGGCAGAGGATGAGAGTCACCTGTCTTATTATCTCTCTGTGTCAAGTACATTCCTGTTCTATTTATTTACTTGAAACTTTTTTGAACAATAAAAATGAAACATTAAAAAAATTTATTCTTCGATCCACCTGGTTTTCAATGTTCATTTTATTACTTGTGTTTAAAAAATAATATGATTCTCATTCTTTAACTTGCAGATTGTTCTTAGAACTGAGCATTGCATTAAAATATTCAAAGTAGTAACATTTAGATTGGGTCTTCAGAATTTTAGGAAGATGGTTTTGCTGCTGAGTATACAGCTGCATGGACTGAGTGACTCTTGTTAAACCCAGGTGACTCCAACTTCACCACGGAGTCCCTGCTGCAATATACAGACACCTGCTAGTTTCTGGCACTCCTTCAAATCTCGTGCTCATGATGAGAAGCAATAATTGGCCTGATTTTAAATTTTAAAAATGCTTTTTTTGACAAGCAAAAAAAAAATTAAAACATTTGAGGGGCACTGAGAGAATTTCCCAAATTCTGAATCTGGGGCTGACACATCACTGCGTCATTTCTGAGCCAAATCTTGTCAAATCGTGTTAACTCGAGGTTTATAAAAAGTGAGCCAAATTTCTGATCAGCTCAGGAGAAAATGCACGTTACTAACTATGCCACTGACACTTTATTTCTGACTCACATAATACTTTTTAGTGGTAGCACAAACACCCAGAAGTGAGCCTTCCTAACAGACAAATAGATGATCGTTGAACTAACTGTGGCTTGCAACAATCAAACCACTCTTTCATATATACTTAAAGGAAAAAATGGCATTATTTGGGACAGACTGGAAGACTGTGGAGGCTGGAAGGAGAAGGGGGTGAAAATTACATTCTTGGCCACGTTTTCCACACAACCCATTCCTGAACCCCTTTCCACAGACAATTTGGAAATGTGCATTCAATAAAACCCCTGTCGCAATTGCAGAGAAGCAGAGGGTAGAAGAGATCGGGCTTGGAGTCAGCATCTGGGAAACCTTGTATAATTTTGGCCTTGCCATAAACCAGCAGAATGACCTCGGGCAAGTTTACTTTTCCGATTATTAGTGTCCTTATCTGTAAATTGGTATCAATCATTCTATCTTGCAGGATTACCTGAGTGGTTAGTGATAAATATACAAAGAACCTAGCGTAATAGCTGGCACATAGTAGGTGCTCATAAAAAATAATTATTGCTGTATTGCTACCTTTATAACTAGTGTTGACAGCTTCTGGATTCGACCTGGTGAGGAAAGGGGATAAATATAGAAGACGTTTATGAATTTGTTTTTTAATCTATTTTACTCTTTAATTATTTAATATTTAACTGGTTAATTATTCATAGTCAAACAGAAGGCTTAATAAAAATGTGCTTATTAAACAATAATTTGCTTCCTTAACTCCCTTCACCACTAAAGCAGCATGTCCATAAAGGGAAGGAAGAATGCTATCTCAGGGTCTGGAATTTTTCTTCAAAGGGATAGTTACTAGAAATCAGCATACATCCTCTTTCTAGTTTGGGGCTCTACAGATTAGAAGCTTTGCCCTCATGCTATAGACTACCCTTGCAGGCACCAGCTTGGGTAGTATAGGAGGTGTTAGGCAAGCTGGGAGTGTAGCGGGAGGCTACCTGGCTATGATGACAGGGCAGTGATTACTGTCCAGGCAGGTGGCTGAGCAAGGTGACAAGCCTGGGCAAGAATAAACCCTGGAAACTACTGGGGCCAGGATCAAAGTTCCCGGTCAGGTGGGACTTCTGGTTTACCAGAGGGAAGGTTAGGACAATCCTGCCGAAGGCACATGCCTTTCTCCCTTTCAAATGTTTCCCAGCTAAACCACTTCCAAATGAGCAGGCTTCTACTAACTTTATGCAAGTATTTTTCTCAGTTTTGAGAGGTGATTTATAAATCACTGAATGGCATTGCCCTAGGACAGCAGGGATGTCTCTGGGTCTTAAGGATGAATGTGAAGGCAGGATGACTTTATAGGAAACAGAAAATGTCTACTAACATGCTCCAGATATTGACAGTAAAATCCAGAGGCTGGAGGAAAGCTGGTTAGCCTTGGAAAAACCATCTTTTCTTTTTCTTTTCTTTCTCCTTTTTCAGAAATAAGGTTAAACTATCCTTAAGAATAAGAAGGAAAATATTAAAACATTCCCCCCCAAAAGTTCATAGATCTTCAAGAAAAGAGAAGTTAGGACCAAAATATAAACAGGATGACAACTGCTTTTATTTGAAGAAAATAGAGTTTTCTAGAAGACTGAATCAGTATAGCCTGATAAAGTGCTTATCCATTGGGAAAAGATATTCTATGGGAGCAAACAAATAAAGATAAAAGAGGAAGACATTAAATTAATAATGGCTAAAGAAGGTGAGAGCCTGAACTCACTTGCTAAATGTGTCTTTAAAGAGGGAGCCAACATGATCTCACAAGAGTCTCTATGAGAAGGTGAGAAGGAAGGTTCTTAGTACTCAAGGGCGAATAGGCAATCTACAAATTTCAGACCAATGTTTTTATCCCTTGATGTTCACTGACAACACAGACACAGTTCCCTGTTTTGAAAAGAGGTCTAACAATCATGCTGAACAGTCTGAGACTTAATAGAGCCAATCAGTTCAGTTTCTATTAGTGCACCTGTACACTCAGGCATGCGTTCAACCAAACACACATTTAGACACTCAGACTACTCTAGGTCTTGGGAAACAAAGCAGAATACAACAGACATGGCCCCTGCTCTCAGGAGGTGTAAGCACCATGAGAGGAGAGAAGCAATAAACAATGAACAAATACATGTAAACGCAACAGATCTATATTCGAACAGTTGCTGCATGGTTCTGATGGGTCTAATTAGCATTTTGGCAAAGAAGAAGCATGAGAAGGGCATGGATTCTGTGTCAGACATTTGAGGGGCTGGCTTGTGGAAATGACATTATGTGTGGTTTAAAGCTACAGGGAAGATTTTGGTTTTAATAAACTTCCTAACAATTTCTGTCACTAAACATTCCACAGGTGTTTTGTGCTAAGCACTGTTCCAGGTGGCTACATTCTGGTAAAATGAGGTAGACAGTAAACATGTATATGACACTATGTAACATCACACGTTGTAACCCAAAGCAGCATAATTTGGCATAATGTAATATAACATAGTAACCATTAAAGCTGTGCATCAGTAAACTGGCCATCACCATCAGTGAAATGGTGAGCTGCAGCTGGGTGCGGTGGCTCACGCCTGTCATCTCAGCACTTTGGGAGGCCGAGGCGGGCGGATCACGAGGTCAGGAGATTGAGACCACGGTGAAACCCCATCTCTACTAAAAATACAAAAAATTAGCTGGGTGCGGTGGCAGGCACCTGTAGTCCCAGCTACTCAGGAGGCTGAGGCAGGAGAATAGCATGAACCCGGGAGGCGGAGCTTGCAGTGAGCTGAGATTGCGCCATTGCACTCCTCGAGGCATTTGGGATCACAAGCAGAGTGGGATGTCTCTGGGAATCCCCAGCCTGGAGCAGCTTCCTCTGACTTTGGTGGAGCCACATGCAGGGCTCAGGGCAACTTCTGCTCTCTATTCTTAACCTTCCTTAATTGTTGTGTCTCAATATTTTCAGTCTCAATTCCTGACTCAATGAAGTTCTTAATTTCATATGTGATCCCTGGTGGGTTTGGGACACATGATTTCATTTTAGTTTTTAATTGAAAAAGTATTTATTGAAAAAGTATTTCCATAATATTTTCTGCTTAAATAACATATGCTTCTGGTTAAAAAGTTAAACATTGCAAAAAAAATAGCAAATGCAGGAGAGTGAAACCCCCCAGGATCCTAACACCTGCAGATAATGTCAATGGTGACCAGTGTTAAGCACTGGGTACTTATCTGATTTTTATATACATGCACTAAGATGGGGATTATATTAATATATGTATATTTAATGAGGTCATACTGTTTGGTGATATACTCTTTTTCACTGAGCATCTTTCCCAACACAACATACAAATGGGTCTTCTTTTTTGCAGTTATTATTTTGGATTGGTTCATCTTAAAAGTCTTTCTACCTAAGAATAGTTTACACACCATAGTTACAGTGTTGCAATATTCTGTTTTTCTGTGTACTTACTGTTACCAGTGAGTTTTATGCCTTCAGTTGATTTCTGGCTCATTAATGTCTTTTTCTTTCAGATTAAATATCTCCCTTCAGCATTTCTTATACGACAGGTCTGGTGTTGAGGAAATTCCTCAGCTTTTGTTTGTCTTAGAAAGTTTTAATTTCTTCTTCCTGTTTGAAGGATATTTTCACCAGATACACTATTCTGGGGTAAAAGTTTTTTTTCCTTTAGCACTTTAAATATGTCACGCCACTCTCTCCTGGCCTGCAAGGTTTCCGCTGAAAAGTCTGCGGCCAGATGTACTGGAGCACCATAGTATGTTACTTGTTTCTTTTCTCTTGTTGCTTTTAGGATTTTGTATCTATCCTTGACCTTTGGGAGTTTGATTATTAAATTTCTTGAGGTAGCCTTCTTTGGGTTAAATCTCCTTGGTGGTCTCTAACCTTCTTGTCCTTGGATATTGATACCTTTCTCTAGGTTCCGTTATTATACCTTTGAATACACTTTCTCCCTATCTATTTCTCTCTCTGCCTCCTCTTTAAGGCCAACAATTCTTAGACTTGCCCTTTAGAGGCTATTTTCTACATCTTATACCTGTGCCTCACTGTTTTTTATTCTTTTTTTCTTTTGTCTTTGCCGATCATACATTTTCAAACAGCCTGTCTTCAAGCTCACTAATTCATTCTCCTGCTTGATCTGTTTGGCTATTAAGAGACTCTGATGCATTCTTCAGTATGTCAGCTGCATTTTTCAACTCCAGAATTTCTGCTTGATTCTGTTTAATTATTTCAATCTCTTTGTTAAATTTATCTGATAGAATTCTGAATTCCTTTTCTGTGTTACCTTGAATTTCTTTGAGTTTCCTCAGAACAGCCATTTTGAATTCTCTGTCACATACCTCTGTTTCTCCAGAATTAGTCCCTGACACCTTATGCCTTATCTAGTTCATTTGGTGAGGCTGTTTTCCTGGATGATGTTGATGCTTGCAGATGTCACCGGTGTTTGGGCACTGAATAATTAGGTCCTTATTGTAGTCTTTGCAGTCTGGGCTTGTTTGTAGCTGTCCTTCTTGGGAAGGCTTTCCAGGTATTTGAAATGACTTGGGTGTTGTGACTGACACTGTATCTGCATTAGGGGGCACCCCAAGTCCAGTAACATTGTAGTTCATGCAGACTCACAGAAGTACTGCCTTGGTGGTCTCGGATAAGATCAGGAAGAATTCTCTGGAATACCAGACAGAAACTCTTGTTCTCTTCCCTTACTTTCTCCCAAACAAATGGAGTCTCTCTTTCTCCCTGTGCTGAGCAGCCTGGGGCTGGGGGTGGGGTGACATAAGCACCCCTGTGGCTACCACGACTGGGACTGTGCTGGGTCACACCTGAAGCCAGCACAACACTAAGTCTTACCCAAGGCCACTCCCTGGCTACAGCCTGTATTTGCTCAAGGCCCTAGGGCTCTATGATCGGCAGACGGTGAAGCCAGCTGGGTTTGTGTCTTTCCCTTCAGGGCAGCGAGTTCCCCCAGCTGGGTCCAGAGATGCTGTCTAGGAGCCAGGGACTGAAGATAAAAACCTTAGAAATCTACGTGGCCTTCTATTCCACTCTGGCTGAGCTGGCACTCCAACTGTAAGCCACAGTCCTTCCCATGGTCCCCTCTCCTTTCCACAGGCAGAAGAGCCTCATCCCAAGGCCACGACCACGACAGGCCCACAGGGATTACTGCCAGGCCACTGCCGATGTTAACTTAATGCCCAAAGGCCCCTCAGTCAAGTCGTGGTGAGTGCTGCCTGGCCTGGGACTCACCCTTCAGGGCAGTAGACTCCCCTCTGGCCCAGGGAAGGCCCAGAGATGGTATCCAACAGCCAAGGCCTGGAATCAGGGACACCAAGAGCCTGCTTAGTGCTCTACCCTGCTGTGGCCAAGCTGGTACCTAAGGTGCAAGACCAAGTCCCTTTTACTTTTCCTTCTGCTTTTCTAAGCAGAAGGAGTCTCTCACTATAGCCACCACAGTTGGGAATGTGGTGGGTCTCACCTGCAGCCAGCAGTCTCAGAGTCTCACCAAGGCCCATGGCATATGACCTGGGTATCACTGCTGGTTATTCAGGGACCAAGGGCTCTTTAAGTCAGCAAGAGATGGATCTTGCCAGGACTTGGTCCTTCCCTTCAAGGCAGTGTCTCCTTCTGGCCCAGGGTGTCTCTCTAGAAATGTTTTCTGAGAGGTACGGCCTGAAAATGGGGCCTCACAGCTCTGACTGGTACCCTATCCCTCTGTGGCTGAGCTGATAACCAAGATGCAAGACAAAGTCCTCTTTACTCTTGCCCCTCCTGTCCTTAAGCAGAAGGAAGGGGTCTCTTTTGAAGCTGGGAGCTTTGTTGCCTGGGTTTGGAGGAGGGGTAGTGTAAGCACTCCCTATTCACAATAGCAAAGACATGAGATCAACCCAAAGGACCATCAGTGGTAGACTGGATAAAGAAAATGTGTACATATATACCACAGAATACTACGCAACCATAAAAAGGAACAAGATCACGTCCTTTGCAGGAGCATGGATGGAACTGGAAGCTGTTCTCCTCAGCAAACTAATGCAGGAACAGAAAACCAAACACTGCATGTTTTCACTTATAAGTGGGAGTTGAACAATGAGAACACATGGACACATGGATGGTGGGGAAAAACACATACTGAGGCCTGCCATGGGGGATCATCAGGAAGAACAGCTAATGGATACTGGGCTTAATATCTGGGTGATGAGTTGATCTGTGCAGCAAACCACCGAGGTACACGTTACCTATGTAATAAGCCTGCATATCCTGCATATGTATCCCAGAACTTAAAAAATGAAGAAGAAAAAAAAAAAAAAACCAGAGCAATTCACACTCAACAGCATGCCAGGGAAGATGTCTCAGCCCTGGTGTCCTGACAAGAGCAGTTTCTGAATAGGAAGAAGGCTGGCACAAATGGATACAGCAACACATTCTAGAGATGCAAAGTTCCAACAAAAGCATTTTAAAGGTCACCTTGTTTATATAATATTTATGTTTTAAGACCTTATGATTCCCCCAATATTTCAAAGCTCTCAGAGACAAAAGAATAACATGGTATAAAGAAGTGGAACTCGGAATGAGGAGACGTGGACTCTGGTTTCAGAGCCACAGGAAACTGTGGAATCTGGAGGTGAAGACAACCCCAGGAAGTGACGTATTTCTAAATTTTCTGATGAGGACACCCGGCCCCAAGAAGTTCTGTGAGCTGCCCAAGGCCTCTCAGTCACTTGTGATACAGCCAGAATGCAGGGCAGGGGCCACTGTGTCCTTCTATGTTCCTTCAGTCTGCAAAACAGCGATAAGAATAGCTAATTGGGGTTTTCTGAGAAGTTACTGTATTGGAAACCATAAATATGTCATTTAATGAAGAACAATGAGCTTCGGCAGGATTTCTTAAGTGTGAATGCAATCGACATGCGGTATTCCTGCCTTCTTGGTTCTCTCGTCTCATACTCAACTCTGGTCCCCTTTCCCATCCTCCACCTCAGAAAACAAGAAGTGGGACAAAATAGGAAAGGAGAGAAGAGGAAGAATAAACAAGAAGTGGGACAAAATAGGGAAGGAGAGAAGAGGAAGAAAAGAGTGACGATGAGCCCCGGGCGAGGTGGCAGGGGCCTGAGAGGCAGGGAAGGCAAATGGGGAGCTTTGTTCTGACCAGGCCGTGTGCTTGGTCTGTGGGGCCTCTGGCTTCCCATGGGTGAGTCCTGTGAGAAGAACTGTGATAGTCTAAGTGTCTGCCAAAAGAAGGGAGTGAATTAGATGCAACCCATTCCACCCTGCCTCAGGAACAATGTACACACAAATACATGTCAGGATTCTCTCTGAACTTTACACAGAAATTGCCTGGCTATGTTCAGCTCTTCTCAGGGAGAGAAACAGAAAGTATTTGCTCTGGAAATCTTGTATCAATATATAACCAAGATCTTAATGTTTTCAGACTTGCCCCTTCCTTTTTCTAGCATTTGTTTTTTCTTCTGTATCTCCTCAGGAAGATATGGTGGCAATTAAAAGAAAAATTATTCTGAACAGCCTGAAGTGATATGGCTAAGCCTAGCACCACTTTTATTTCAGAGTTAAACAACCATGACTTAATTCTCAAATTGCTTCCCAACCCTGGGAAGTTAAGGTCCTAGTCTCCGGCTAATTCTAGAACCATCTATCATTAAATGAAGTTGAACACAAAGAAGGGGCGACTGCAGCTAAGGGAAAGGCCGTCAATCCTGACACCAGATTAATCTTCCCCAAATGCCTTTCCTGCCTGAGAGGGTTTGTGGCTGCTTGTTAGACTAGATCCAAGTTCTCAGCCTTGTCTCAGGCCTGCCTGGCCATTGAGTGTCTCACATGCTTCCCACCATTCCTCATGGGAGCCTGGGTTCAGACCGGCCAGGTTCCCACTCCCGTTCACAGGAAGGAGGCTCTGCGACTTTCACCTGCAGGCTCTGCTCACCCGTTGTCACTTCCCCATCCACATCCTACCCTTCTATCACATCTTCCTTCAAGAAGACTCACACTGTTCAGGAAACACCTGCTCACTGCCTCCTTAAGTTCCTTTCTCTAAATGTCTACAGTGTTAATAGTTTATAGCACTCAGCCCACTGATTGAGACCACAGCTAAGTTTCTGAGGGCAGAGACCCCCTCTGTTTAGTTCACTGCTCCTTCCCCAGTGTCAAGCTTAGCCAGGTGCTCATTAAAGAATTACAAAATGAGCAAATGGTTACTTGACTCGTGAGGTAGGATAAGACAATGAGACTGATTCTTAAACTACTTGCTGTAATATAAACTCATATAATTTTTTTTGTTGCTACAAAGCTGTCATCTAGGCAGGTGAGTCTTTTATTACTAAAATGCTTGGAGTGCTCAAACGTTTTGGGAATTCTTCTTTGGAAACTGTGCTACGTCAATTCCTGGGGTTGGGGTTGAGGTGGTGGGGGTGGAGGTTGGTGTGATGGGGGTGGGGAATCTCAGAGTTAAGACTGGATATGAATTAACAAAGAGACAAAAGTCACTCAGGGCCAAGCCTTAACTGAAGTGGCTGATTAAGCTAGTGAGAGCAGTTCTGGATCAAAACTGATCAAAAGTCAGTCCTATTCAACATAGTATTGGAAGTTCTGGCCAGGGCAATCAGGCAAGAGAAAGAATTAAAGGGTATTCAAATAGGAAAAGAGGAAGTCAAATTATCTTTGTTTGCAGATGACATGATCCTATATCTAGAAAACCCCATCGTCTCAGCCCAAAAGCTTCTTAAGCTGATAAGCAATTTCAGCAAAGTCTCAGCATATAAAATCAATGTGCAGAAATCACAAGGATTCCTATACACCAACAACAGGCAAGCTGAGAACCAAATCATGAAAGAATTCCCATTCCCATTCACAACTGCCACAAAGAGAATAAAATACCTAGGAATATAGCTAACAGGGGAAGTGAAGGACCTCTTCAAGAAGAACTACAAACCACTGTTCAAAGAAATCAGAGATGACACAAACAAATGGAAAAACATTCCATGCTCATGCACAGGAAGAATCGATATCATGAAAATGGCCACACTGCCCAAAGCAATTTATAGATTCAATGCTATTCCCATTAAACTACCATTGACATTCTTCACAGAATTAGAAAAAACTATTTTAAAATTCATATGGAACCAAAAAAGAGCCCAAATAGCCAAGGCAATCCTAATCCTAAGCAAAAAGAATAAAGCTGGAGGCATCACACTGCCCAACTTTAAACTATAATACAAGACTACAGTAACCAAAACAGCATGGTACTGGTACAAGAACAGACATACAGACCAATGGAACAGAATAGAGAACCCAGAAATAAGACCACACACCCACAATCATCTGATCTTTGACAAACCTGACAAAAACAAGCAACGGAGAAAGGATTCCCTATTTAATAAATTGTGCTGAGAGAACTGACTAGCGATATGCAGAAAACTGAAACTGGACCCCTTCCTTACACCATATACAAAAAATCAACTCAAGATGGATTAAAGACTTAAATGCAAAACCCAAAACTAAAAAAGCTCTAGAAAAAAACCTAAGCAATACCATTCAGGACATAGGCATGAGCAAAAATTTCATGACAAAGATGCCAAAAGCAATTGCAACAAAAGCAAAAATTGACAAACGGGATCTAATTAAACTAAAAAGCTTCTGTACAGCAAAAGAAACTACCAACAGAGTAAACAGACAACCTACAGAATGGGAGAAAATTTTTGCAATCTATGCCTCTGACAAAGGTTTAACATCCAGCATCTATAAAGAACTTAAACAAATTTACAAGAAAAAAAATAAACCGCTCCATGAAAAAGTAGGCAAAGGACATGAACAGACACTTCTCAAAAGACATACATGCAGCCAACAAACACATGAAAAAAGCTCAACATCATTGATCATTAGAGAAATGCAAATCAAAACCACAATGAGATATCATCTCACGTCAGTCAGAATGGCTATTATTAAAAAATCAAAAAACAACATGCTGGCAATGTCGTGGAGAAGAAGGAATGCTTTTATACTGTTGGTGGGAGTGTAAATTCAACCATCGTGGAAGACAGTGTGGCAATTCCTCAAAGACCTAGAAGCAGAAACACCATTTGACCCAGCAATCCCATTACTGGGTATTACCCAAAGGAATAGAAATTGTTCTATTGTAGTGCTATTAGCAATAGAAAAGACATGGGATCAACCTAAATGCCCATCAATGATAGACTGAATAAAGAAAATGTGGTACATATACACCATGGAATACTATGCAGCCATACAAAAGAATGAGATCATGTCCTTTGTAGGGACCTGGATGGAGCTGGAGGCCTTTATCCTTAGCAAACTAACACAGGAACAGAAAACCAAATACTGCATGTTCTCACTTATAAGTGGGAGCTAAATGATGAGAACACATGGACACATGTGTGGGAAAGACACACAGTGGGGCCTGTCAGAGGGCAGGAGGAGGTAGGAGGAGGGAAAAATCAGGGTGATGGGCTGATAGGTGCAGCAAACCACCATGGCACACATTTAACTATGTAGCAAACTCGCACATCCTGCACATATACCCCAGAACTTAAAATAAAAGTTGGAAAAAAAAAAACCCAAGTCAGGATGCCATTCCTCATGGCTCATCCTCGCTCTCAAGAAGAAAGCCATTATAGGAATTCCTGAAAGACGACAACATCATTAGAATGAGTATTTAGATTCTCAAGATGACTATTTCAAAGGACAGTAGTTCCTTGCATGCACTAAAAATACCCCGAAACATGAATACTTCTTTTTTAAAATGAATCTAGCAACTAGCACACAGAAGGAAACAAGTCAATACCCACTGACCTAGTTGTGGTAGAACACTAGTTTAGTTCTGGGCAAATATAAACTTTAAAATAAACCCGATGCTTTAAAAATACCAAGCTTCTACAGTAGAACGATAAAATAATACAACAGTAGGAGACATGTGAAAATGCATGACTATCTCTCAGGAGGAAACAAAGTGTGGGGAACTTTTAAAATACAACTCTCAAAGGGGTTTCAAATGGCATCGGGGGAAAAAAGGAATGCACTTGATGTTCCTGGAGTTCCTTATAATTGTGTCTCTTTGGCTCCTAACAAAGAACCAGCAGCAGAGTCAAAATTATTTTGGGCAAATTTCAAGAAATTAAAACAAAGGTTTAAAAAATCACAGAAGAGTAGGGGTCAGTTTGTTTACCTAGCACAGACAGATGGTTGTATTTCTGTAGTTAGAGGAGCAATGCAGAAAGACTTCCAAAGTTCCAGATGAGGCACATTTGCCAAGAAAATGCTTCAGGTTGGCAGAAGGTAGAAACCCTGTATTGGCTAAATATTTAGCAACACTGAAGAATTTTTAACACTAATATCTCATTTGGAGTGGAATATGCTTTATGGTCTGAATTCTTTCCCCACTCTGTTTTATAAGTGATGATAAAAATCAAAACATAATCACCTGTCGAGGATGAATCCTGCACCTGTGAAATTATATTTCAAACAAGCCAACTTCCTAATTACAATGGAGAGGGAACTGGCATGAGGAAGCAAGTTATTTCCACCATTCCGGCAGTGGGCTCCAGGCTCCCAGATGAAGAGCTGTTGGTACAACCACAAAAAAACTGCTAAAATCATCTTTTATTATTCCTGTCTGCACAACAAATAGCTCCATCTGGGGCTCAATGGTAGACTCCAGCCAAAATTTGTAAGGGCTCGGCTCTGAGGCATCTGATAGCAGCCCTGCATAAGGCAGAAAATCAGACCACCATCAGCACCAGGATCACTGTCTACATGAGTTGATGAAGAGTTTGTGGGGGGCACTGGGCCGAGCATGTCAAGGGGCACAGAAAATTGGAAGCATGGACCCTGCTTTAAAGAAGCTTACAGGGCAGTTGGGGAGATAGGAATCTACAAACACACATATGCTAAAGCACAACAGTCCCTCAGTTATGTGTGGCAAATTCCAAATGAGGGACAGGCGGTGATGCTTGGAATTGAGCAAAGTCAGAGCCCGCTGTGAGTGGCAGTAGCCAGTGCCACACAAAGCAGGCAGGGTGTGAGCATCTTCTGAGAACTTCCTACATGTAAGTCTCCACGCTGAGTTCCTACCCAGGTCCTCTCATTTACCTGATTCCTTCCCAGGAGCATCCTGGGAGAGTGCCACTAGGAGACCACAGTTCTTCCTGCACAGAGGAAACCTTCCATTTCTCCACAACGTTTGCTTGATCCTACTTGACTCCAGGCCCTTCCTGCTGGGCTTTAAGCCAGTTGATACCACAGTGGCTGGCGCAACTCTGAAGTGTGCATGTTCAGAGTCCTGAGTCCCTAGACCCTGGGCATCTGCAGACTGAATGCTGCTGCATCCCAGGGCTCAGATGCTGAGTCATGGGGAGTGGTCTTTGGGCTTTTCTCAAAGGAGTACACCGCACTGGATATTTATGTCCTTAGTTGGGTTGGGTTAAGCATTCCCATCTGCGTGCCCTGGTAAGCTTCTCCAATAGATGTTATGTACAAGGCTCTTCATTCATAACTCTTTCAAATATCTCAGGTAAGGATTGCTAGCTCTTCGCCTCCAACATCTGGCAGGCTTTCTACCTGGTTCCTTTGCTTTCTGCCTCTATGAAAATGCTCTGAAGTGCTGGTCTTGGCCAGGCAAGCTACCTGTAGGCCATGTCTTCATGCACACAGACAAGTTGGCTGCCTTCTACCAGCTCCCGGTGGTCCCACAGAGCAGATGCGCCACAGGCTGTGTCCTGTACACCCTGGCCCTGGGAGCGCAGGCTCAGTTTGCACAGCATTACTGAAGCAGACCCTGGGGTACTTAAAAAAAGCAAAAGCAAAAAAAAAAAAAAAAAAAAAAAACAAAATGCAAAAATTAGTTCCAGCACTATCAGTTCAAATGGGCAATGTGCATGTCCATATGGCTGGGCTCCTCCAGGTCTGACTGTGCAATAAAGACAGGTTTCAGTTGGTTTGTTCCAGGCCTGAGAGCCAGAAGGCAGAGCAGTCTCTGAAGCACTGAAGCCAGAGTGACCCCTGCACATCGCATCCCTTCTGGATCCTGCCTGGAGCTCTGTCTGCCCGGAACACCCTTCTCCTCCTCCTTCCTCTGGTCTCCTCCTCCTTCTCCTTCTCATCTCTTATCTCCTTCAGGTCTGTGGCTTTCCCCAGCAGTTTACACAGTACCTGGCACTAGGTGAAGCTCAAAAATATTTGTTCAAAACATGAAGTAATGTACAATTGATACAAGGAAGGGATGACACAAGGTGCCTCAGACAGGCAGAAACAGAGGGGATTAACAGCACGCATAGAAAGCAATAGATGTATTCATGCATAAGCACACCAGCAGGATGCCACCCAACTCCCACCATAACTGGCTGGGACAATGCTTGGTAGCCTGTCTCTCCCCACTCCCATCTCTAGATGCTCTTTCATGTGAATATCAATGTGATCTATGTCATCGGTCTGCCAATCTATCTTAACAATATTAAGTCTTCCTATCCATGAGCACAGAACATTTTTCTACTTTTTTAAGTTTTAATTTCTTTCAACAATGTTTTATAGTGTTCAGTGTACAAGTATTGCACTTTCTTGGTTAACTTTATTGCTAAGTGTTTTATTCTTTGGATGCTATTGTAAATGAAATTTCCTTAATTTCATTTTTTTGATTGCTCATTGCTAGTGTATAGACACAAAACTGATTTTTGTATATTGATCTTATATTCTGCAACTTTGCCAAACTTGTTTATTACCTATAATTTTGTGTGTGTGTGTGTGTGTGTGTGCGCGTGTGTGTGTGTGTGTGTGTGTGTGTGTGTGTGTGGCGGGGTTGGCTCTTTAGGGTTTTCTATATGGAAGATAATGTTATCTGTGAATTAGAGATAGTTTTACTTCTTCCTAATTTGGATGCCTTTTCTTTTCTTGCCTAATTGCTCTGGCTAGTACTTCTAGGATAATACTGACTGGAAGTAGTGAGCAGACACCCTTGTCTAGCTCCCGATCTTAGGGGGAAAGCATCTGCTCTTTTATCATTAAGCATGATGTTAGCTGTGGGTTTTCCATGGGTATCTGTTCTAGCTGGAGGAGGGCTGCCTCTGTTCCTGGTTTGTTGGGTGTTTTTATCATGGATGGTTGTTGGGATTTTGTCAAATGCTTTTTCTGTATCTATTGAGATGGCCATGTGGCTGTTATCATTTATTTATAGTTAGAGTATGTTATATTAATTTCAATATATAAAATCAACTTTGAATTCTTGGCATAAATCCCTAAGAAATAAATTCTTAAAACAACAGCAAGATGATAAATATGCTCATAATATTACATAGCAGTGTGGTGTTTCACATTTTTCAGGGAATTTTCACAAACAAAAAACCCTGGGTAAGTGACCACACAGTCACAGTTATTATTCTTATTAGTCAGTTACGTATTTTTGTGTATTTAGAGGGTACAAGTCCAGGTTTCTTACATGCATATACTGCGTAGTGGTGAAGTCTGGGCATTTAGTGACCCCATCACCCGAAGCGTAAACACTGTACCCAGTAGATAGTTTTTCAGCCTTCACTCCCCTCCCACCTTTCACGGTCTATTATTCCACTTTGTATGTCCATGTGTACCCATTGATTAGCTTCCACTTGTAAATGAGAACATGTGGTATTTGATTTTCTGTTTCTGAGCACACAGTTATTATTATTAGTCTTCATTTTACAAGGAAAGAAACAAAAGCTCAGAAACTTCTCCAAGGATACAACATTGGCAAATGGCAGAGCCACGACCTGGATTCAGGTCTTCTCATTTGTGGTCTAAATAGTCACATGCACGGAGAGAGTGTTACAGTTATACTGAAAAGATAGCCGCACATCATTATAAGAAAAGATAAAGAACACATCTCATTCAAAACTAGAATCCCAGCATCTGAAGGACTACTGAAGTGTCTAATGAGCATGTGTTCATAATCCTTTTCTATGGGTTGTTCTGATCACTGTAGGAGGAGCAGGACTTATCTCCCATCTCCAAACACTCTCCCTTGACCTCACAGCAGACTAGAGCAACTATCCCATTTCTCTGCTCCTCTTTATAGCAAAACTCTCCATCTAAACTCCCTGTCCTGATTCCAGTCTGTGCTTCAAGCTGACGCTGGTCTGGCATTCCTGGGGCTGATTCTCAGTTTCCCGCCTACTGAACCTCTCAGCGCTCTGTCTGAGTAAATAATTCTCTCCTAGATGGATCACTTTCCTCCTGGCCATCAAAACATCTACTCTTAGCTTCTCCTTCCCAGGTTCCTTTGTAAGATCCTTCTCACCTTCCTGATTTTTATATGACTGTGCAACCCAGGGTTTGGCTCTACAATCACTTCCCTTTTCCAGATATACTTATGTTCTGGATGATCTCATCCTGGCCACGTTTACCCTGCCAAACTACACCTTTCGCCTGAATGCCAAACTTGTGCATCTAACTGCTTCCCAGCTACCTCCACTCTGATATCTGAATAGAACCCTAAGTGTACACATTTAAAACTCAACTCTCGAGTTCCACCACAAACCTGCTTTTTCCATTGTCTTCCCCATCTTAGTGAATGGCAACTTCATTCTTCCATTTGTTCAGATCCAAACCCTGGACTCATCTTGACTTCTCTCTTTCTTTCACCCTGAGCATGCCATATATTACTGAATCCTGATAGCCCAACCCTCAAAATGTATCCTGGATCTAGTCACCTGCGACCTCCAAGGCTGCCCACCTTAGTATACAACACTGTCATCTCTCATTTGACTTTTCCTGAGGTCTCTTGCTTCCACCCTTGTTCCCTGACAAGCCTCTTCTCCCTATAGCAGCCAGAGGGATCATTTAAAACACAAAACAGATCATGTCAGTCTTCTGCTGAAAAACTTCCAGTGGCTTCTTATCTTATGGAGAATGAAACCCAAGGTTCTTGGATCTGGCCCTGGTTCCCTCCATGACTCAGTACTCATCATTCTCCCCTTACTTACTCTACTTTAGTTACAATGATTTTCTCCAAACAAACCAAACAGGTTCCTGCCTCAGGACCTTTGCACCTACTGTTCCCTTGGCCTGTCCACCCTTCTCCATGTCAGCAATGCCACTCCCTCCCTTACTTGATAGATCTCTGCTCAACCACGACTTCAGCAGAGAGGGCTTCCCCGTCTGCCCTATCTTAAATAACACCAGCCCAGTCATTCTCTATTCCCTCACCTTGCCTTATTTTTCTTCTTAGCACTTATCACTGCCTACCATTTATATATTTATTGGTTTATCTGTTTATTATCTCCCCTTGCTAACATGTAAACATCATGAGAATAGGAAACCTTCTCTGTTTGTTCATTGCTATATCTTAGGGCTGGGTCAGCAAAACAATGGCTGCCAGGCCAAACTGGCCTGCCACATTATTTTAAACGATGTTTTACTGGAACACAGCCACACCACTTCACTCACTGCTGTTATCCATGGGTGCTTCTGTGCTACAGAAGCATAATTGAGTTGTCACATCAGAGACTGGATGGCCCTCAAAGCCTAAAATGTTGACCATTTGGTCCTTTCCAGAAAACGTTTGCTGGCTCGTTTTGGGGTCTAGAAGACAATGCTGGCACACAGTAGAGGCACCAAACACATTTGCTCGATGAATAAATGAATGAATGAATGAAATAAAAGAAGAAACCAAGAAGCGGATTAAGAAATATTATACCAAAAGGGCATTTGCATTTGTTACCAGATTAACCAAGTATAGCAAAATATTAGAAAGAGTGATTTAAACTTAACAGAAATCCAAATAAAGAAAAAAAAAATCTTATAATTCTGTTTTCTATAAATTAAGAATTATATGAGGTGAGGGAAATGCTGGGGTGAATACTGCTAGCCTGTGTGACATTCAAGCTTATACAGAACTTTATTATCTGGGGGACTTCAGTTCAAATAAATGAACCCACACACACTAAAAACGATCGCTTCAGAAACCTGAAAGGGTTTTTTCTTTTTCTTCTTTACAGATCTTCTTTACATTCAGGCCAATGTTTTGATTTTCCATTTCCCCTTGGGCATGAAGACAGTTTTCTTTTGGAGTTGGGGTCCCCACATTGTAATAACTGTTAACAGAGTGCACCTGAAAGGCTTAAAGGTAGACCCTACCAAAAGCCCTTTGGCCCAAACATCTGTAAATGCTAGTGAACATTATCAGATAAAGAAGCAGGATTCCCTTTTTATGTTTTTAAGGTACCAATTCTGCCAGCATGAGAGAGAGTAGAAGGAACAGAACTCAAAAAGTACAAGGTCAGAGTTAAAATTTTAAAAGATGGTACAAAGTCCCCAGTGAACAGTTGCAGGACACACTGCCTGAGCTGTGCTGCCGCCATAGGAAGAGGGGCCTGCCATAGTCCTGCAAAGCTTTTCCGCGGCAATCCATCTGAAACTGCTCCTGAAACTTTGTCAACTTTGACCTGCAACACTGGTTCTCAAGAAAGCCAGTCAACAAGCATTTGCTCAAGTCCTTCTATGCTTTACTTTGAGTTTAACATCAAAGGCTCAGGCCTCTCTTCTGATATTTGACCACTTTGACTGGTAATTAGGTTTGTGGATGAACAAACACCTCCATCTCAACACACGTACAAATGCAGTGTTCATGGCAAACTCAGAGACAAGACTTCTGCAGGTAACATTAGTGTTCTAAAACCCACAACAACACACAAAGTATTTTAAACTAATGGCATTTAGAAATCCAGAAGCAAAAAAGACACAAATTCTTATTTTGGCACATGAGTGTGTAGAGGATCTGTTTTCTCAAGCACAAATATTTTCCAAACAAATAGTTTTAAACATCCAAAAAGTCTGTCTTTCCTTGCTGTTTTAGAAAAGTTCCTAGGGCTTCTGAGAATTTTATGAGAGATTAAAGACAGTCAATGGCTGCTTGGTACCTGGCGCCCAGGCTGGACTTATCTTTTCTTCGCATATCTTTGGCAGAGGATAGCGGTAGATAAAATCCATTATTGACAGAAGGAAAACAGACAATGAGCAGAGAAGTAAATGAGAAAGCTTCATTATTTACCCAACTTTGAAATGGTAATAAAGCTTTTGCTCTATCCCAAAGTTTGACAATTGCCATGCACTGCCAACCCCTACCTCTCAAGTCCCCTTTAATATCCTCCTCCAAACTTGAGGGGTTCCAACTGTGGAGATTCTGAAAAGCTGTTGCACACCACCTCCTCTTCTAGAGCCTGCCTATCCCAAGGGGCTGACGCACTGTCAGTGTCTGGGGACGCTGGGTAGACAATGCAAACGAGAGGGTGTAAATGTAAATTCTGCATTTGGGTACCAGTGGCTGTGCTGCAGTGTGAGGGAACTCATCCATCTCAGGAACTCTGGCCTCTCTCACGAGAGAAGAAAGATGCCCTGTGAGAGCAGAGGAATACACGGCACAGGAGGATTCACTTCTGCCTCACACTGTCCTAAGGACTAAGCCATGCTGGCCACTGACGAAATACGTGTTCTTTTATTAACCAAACAACATCTTTGCTCAAATCATCTGTAGCAAATCATTTAGCCTGACTGCTTTTCTGGAATCCAGAGCTGTCTTTCTAAAATTTGTGATGTGGAAGCTGTCATTTGCAGAAACTTCCAGAAAAAGAAAGAATGGTCAGGAGACCATACTGAAGGTATATATCCAGCCACTTTTCTAAAATATTTTATTCTTGCTGTGGTACATGACAGGGCCCCCCTGGAAAGGGAAAGTGATTCAAGAGGGTCTCCTATACCTGACTTGAGCGGTAAATCAACAAACCCTTTCAGCACCTACTATGTGCTAAACATAGATATTGTATTTCATCAATTATATATTGCCCGTTGCAAGTACTTTTTGAAGCTGCATTAACTCTCTTTGATCAAAAACTTACTTTTTAAGCACATCCAAGTGTTTCTGAAAAGTATTCAAAGAAAACACTAAGGTAACCTCTGCAGATGCCTTGCCGAGAGGCCAGTCTGCATTCCCCTTGCCAGTGGCTCTAGCATAAGTGATTAGCAGGGGGGTTAAGACCCAAAGCCCCTCAGGGAATCTGGATACAGCATCTGTCAATCAGAACCAAGCCCAGATAGCCCAGTTACCAGAACTTTGTCCTCTTGGATAGTTTCCCATCTAGAAACAAGATTTGGGTGAGTCTCCACAAGTCTGCCGTTTTCAGCACCCTCGTGGATGGTCTGGAGGCATTCTTTGGGTTGTTGCGGAGCATGTGTGTATATTTCAGTGTAGTAGTATCCTGCCAAACCTCTGCAGGCTCTAAATATGATAGAGCACGGTAGTCTCGCAAAGGGAATGTGCTGCACAGCACAGAAAGGAGATGAAAGGTACAAGGCCTTGGAGTTAGTCCCTCTAGAGGCCTGAAACAAGCCCAGAGCAAAGGGTGACCGGATGGCAAATAAAAGTGCACAGCTCAGTAAATTATGCAAGTTCACATTACATGCTAGTATGATATTGGAACGGCATAAAGCTTTGCGCAGTATTAAGACATTCTGTTTCTCAACTTTAAAATCTTAGGCTATCGGCATTTGAGAGAAGAAGCTCTATCAGGCATTTCGCTGCAAGAGCAATTTTATTCTACTGAATAATGTGGACTTACTTTCTCTTAGCCACTTTTTATTTTAGGATATGAAGTATTAATAGGTATATACCAAATGTAACTGTATTGTCCTATCATTCAGTCCATACCTTTCAGGTGATCTCTATAGGCTGATCTTGAGGTGAGTACATTTTAAGTTATTAGAGTTTAAAAACTCATGATAACCTGATCAGGAGGTTGTGTTCAGCTTCCTCTTTGCAAATATGTCTTTGCTACCGTGGCTGGCGTGTTCCCTCACTCCTTAACTCCAGCTCTGCAATTATCCTGACTTGTTTTTAAACCATTGCATGTTGCTGAGTGTTTGCATACAGCAGCGATGTTGCGCCCTCTGAGGTTTTAGTCACTTATCCTCATTTATATCCCTGCTTGTGTCCCGGTAGCCAGGAGAGAATGCAGATGTGGAAAGAGCAGGAGAGTGAGTTCCAGTTACTGCAGGTCAGCCTGAATTGGCTTGTCTGTTCTTAATCGAACTCTGGCAAAGCCACTCCAGGTTCTAATCTATGTGGACCTCTATAACAGAAAGCAAGTGAAATCGAGAATTACAGTCATGCAGTCCACGACAAATGAAAATCTATGTTACTACCTTAGTGCCACACTCACATTAAACGGCCATTTCCAAATTTAAAGTAATAGCACAGAAGTGGCTTCTACCTGCCTTTATAAGGACAGCGCTAGTTCGAAAATTATATCCAAATCTCCAAAAATTACCTGTAAAGGTTACAACTACCAGAGACAGGAAGATTAGCTTAGAAATAATAAAACTTTACTCTCTCCTTATTCCTCTTCTCTTTTTACAATGCAATCTCATCACAGGTTCTACATGAACAATAAAAGGGGGACATTTTTATTTCCCCTTAGATTTCTTTTACTTAAAAGTTCTAAAAACTGTTGTAGATAACAGGCTTTTCTGCTGTCTCCTTCCAGTGAATATGTGGAAGAGTTTAGAACTCTTCAGAAAACTTCCTACTTTTCACATACACTCAAGAAATTCTGAGAGTTTGAATCAGCATGAACCTTTAAGTGATTTTTTTATTTTTATTTTTAGACAGAGTCACGCCCTGTCACCCAGGCTGGAGTGCAATGGCGCAATCTCAGCTCACTGCAACCTCAGCCTCCCGGGTTCAAGCGATTCTGCTGCCTCAGCCTCCCGGGTAGCTGGGATTACAGGCACGTGTCACCATGCCTGGCTAATTTTTTGTATTTTTAGTACAGATGGGGTTTCACCATGTTGGCCAGGCTGGTCTCGAACTCTTGACCTCAAGTGATCTGCCTGCCTTGACCTCCCAAAGTGCTTTAAGTGATTTAAGAAGAACTTGAGTTCACTTAGTGCCTGTGCCCCATTGACATAGTCTCTGCCTGATGCCCCATGGCCATTCGTTGAGTGCGGACTCTCAAATCTTGCACAATTACGGGTGCTTTCTGCAAAAGGATGGTAGGGAGATGAAGGGTTTGGGCTTTTTATTCTGACTGCCATTTCTTCTCTGTACTCTTGGGAATGTTGTTTAATCCCTCAGGCTCAGTTTCCTCATCTGTAAATGGGGACTGGAGATTGATAACGGTATTTGACTCATGAGGCCAATGTGAGGCTCCATGAGATATTGGCACTAAAGCCACCATCAGTCCGCACACACTAGCTCAGTGTACATCCGTTAATGTCAGTTGTGGCTATTGCAATGATTAAAGATTAACACGGCCATAAAGCGAAAGGTAGAATATTGAATGTTCAGATAAAATAAAGTTCACCTTTAAAACAACAGATGTTTAAAAAAATCAAGATTTTCCACCTTTTACTTCTTGATCTTACATGGTAATAATGCAAGTATGACAGCGCAATGCAGTAAGCGTAAGGTTGATAATTGTGGCTCTGCCCAGAAATCAGGGGTGTGGGGGCCAGTAAATAGAACAGATACTGAAAAACATTTGTGGGTTTTATGCCGTAGTGCTATAAAGTTGCATAGTAAAAAAAAAATAAACTATAACTTCAAACTAATCCTTTTATGCCAGCATGCTGTAAAATATTTAGAGGATTCGGGCTGGCTTTAGTGATGGATTCAATGTGCCGTGGAGTTTTGTCCTTTCCCAAACTTTAGCTGCAATGGCTGAATTCCCACCACACCATCTGTTCCTGACACTTGGTCTCATTAGTACGAGTATTTTTATTGATACACACAGTAATGCTTCTCATACCATCTTAGCTAAGCATTATTTATTGTATCTATATATACAACAATATTAACACAGTCAAGCACCAGGATCGGTACTTGAGGGCATCATTAAAATCAGCCAGTGTTCAGTGAGAGACTTAATGATGGATTTAATAGTATTAAATGGGCAAAAATGCCCTTGGCCTTTACATGCTCATTTAAAAACATATAAAAGAGCAGTAATTCAGGCAGTTATACTTCTCTCAAAGATTTTGCTCTAAATCACAGATGGCAGCGGGAGGCCACGGCTGTGTGCTGGCTCACACCCCACTCACTCCAACCGAAGCCAGAAGTGCTCGTTGGGTCATAATTAGCAAACCACCCGCAAACTCGACTCTTTAAATCAGAGGCCAGTGACTGCCAGGCTGGGGCATAGACGGGAGAAAACAAGCAGAAATGGTCAAGGTGCTCTCTGGAGCCTGCCTTCGGATAGCTGTGACCCCCACGTTAGGCATCAAGACAGGGTTCCACACCTGCGCCGCCACCCCTGCAGTGTGAGCGCTGTATTTTGCTTTCTGAGAAAGCCTCACGGTTTGGCTCTTTGGTGCATGAGGCTTTAAGGCGATGTGCCCCCTGCCCAGCTGTTGCCCAGCTCCCAGCCCTTGCCACAGACAGCATACATCTCTGTTTTAGAAACAAATCATTTAGTCACTTAATCATGAATTCCCGATGATGTACGTCCTGCAGAGGTCTGAGCTGGGGCTGCTGGTCTGAAAGTCTACGTACTTCTGACTGGAGACTTAGGCTAGGCTGGGTTTCAAATTTGGATGAAGACGGTTTTGGCTGAGCAGGGAGAAGAAAACAAACAAACGAACAAACAAACAAACAAACAACAATCCGGGAGCCTGGAGTTTGCTGAGAGGCTCAGCTTTGGGGAGATCTGGGGCTGGCCATCCTTGGAGTCTGCTTCCTTATCAGCAAACGCCTCCTAAAGTTGTTATGATACTTCTCAGAACTAGACAGCATATATGAAATCAGATAATGCACAGTTGTGCACTACTTGGTGACATTTTGGTTAATGACAGACTGCATATATGAGGGCAGTCCTGTAAGATTATAATGGAGCTGACGTCCTATCACCTAGTGATGCAATAGCCATTGTAATGTCACAGTGTAACACATTACTCACCATTGTGGTGATGCTGGCGTAAATAAACCTAATGCGATGCCAGTCATATAAAAGTATGGCACATACAAAATTATGTACAGTACATACTATTTCATAATGATAATAAACAATGATGTCACAGGTTTATGTATTTACTACATTACACTATACTTTTATTATTTTAGAGTGCACTCCTTCTACTCATTAAAAAAAAGTTAACTGTAAAACAGCTTCAAGCAGTTCCTCATGAGGTATCCAGAAGAAGGCACTGCTATCAGAGGAGAGGACAGCTCCACGCATGTTACCACCCCTGAAGACCTCCCAGTGGGACAAGATGTGGAGGTGGAGGGCTGTGATGTCGATGATCCTGACCCTGTGCAGGCCTACACTAATGTGCTGTGCCTTTGATTTTAGCCCAAAAAAATTAAAAAGAAAAGCATTTTTAATGAAAAAAGCTTACAGAATAAGGATGTAAAGAAACTATTTTTGAATAGTCGTACAGTGTTGTTTGTGCTTAAACTAAGTGTTATTACAAAAGAGTCAAAAATTACACAACTTTAAAAATGTATAAAGTAAAAAGGTTACAGTAAGAATAGGCTAAGGTTAATTTATTACTGAAGAAACAGAAGTTTTTTAAAAATAAATTTAGTATAGTCTAAGTTCACAGTGTACAGTAGTGTACGATAATGTCCTAGGCCTTCACATTCACTCAGCACTCACTCACTGACTCACCCAGAGCAACTTCCAGTCCTGTAAGCTCCTTTCGTGGTAAGGGTCCTATGCAAGTATACTATTTTTAAAAAATCTTTTATGCTGTATTTTTACTCTACCTTTTCTGTGTTTAGATACATATATAGTTATCATTGTGGCACGATTGCCTATAGCATTCAGTATAGTAGCATGCTGTGCAGGTTTCTGGCCTAGGAGCAACAGACCATACCATATAGCTTGAGTGTATAGTAGGCTATACCATCTTAGTTTGTGAAGTGTGATGTTCACAAAACAATGAAATGGCCTAACGACACATTTCTCAGAACATATCCATATTGTTATACCATGCATGACTGCATATGAAATGCTTCATACAAAGCTTGGCATTCATAATTTTAATAAGTTGTTGGCCAGGTGCGGTGCCATGCCTGTAATTCCAACTCTTTGGGAGGCCAAGTTGGGAGGACTGCTTGAGGCCAGGAGCTCGAGACCATCCTGGGCAACACAGTGAGACCTGTCTCTACAAAAAATTATCTGGGCATGGCAGTGCATGTAGCTGGGCAAGGTGGTACATGCCTGTAGTCAAAGCTACTTGGGAGGCTGGGGCGGGAGGATTGCTTGAGTTCAAGAGTTCGAGGCTGCAGTGAGCTAACTATGCCACTGCACTTCAGACTAGGTAACAGAGTGAGGCCCTGTCACCAAAAAAAAAAAAAAAAAAAAAAAAGTAGTTGAGGATTCAGGCCACTGGTTCTGCCTTCTTTTCCAGACACCCTAGAAATCATGAAAATGGAACCAGAATGACAGTATGGCTGCCCTCTCCCAGAACTTCCACCAGGCCTCTCTGCATCCCCCCTGGGATTAACCTGCATGGATGGCAGCCCAGCCTCTTCCTGCCTCTGGCCTCAGGAGAGACTTTCATTTTGGAACTGCTGACAATCACATCAAGAACAGGTCATGTCAGGAGAGGCTGGGAATGATATTGCTCGAGGATTCGGAGGCTGCTTCCATGGGAAGTTACAGACCTAACTGAGTCCTTCTCACACTTCTTAAAGGCTTTCAGGAAAAATAAACATCAGTGGCATAAGCGCAAGCTCTGCAAATTAAAAGATGGCTACAAAATGATCTTCTTTGCATTTTAAGCAAATTACAGAATCATTCAACTAATTTCAACAATGAAAGGAATGTAGATCCAGTGAAAATTACACATGCATGGACCCTGGTGATGATACCTAAAATTAGATTGTTGATGGCAGCTCCTGCAAAAATAAATGCAAAGTGATTGCTCATCAGAAAATACATACTGAGTTCCCATGTGAAACTCCTGCCTGTGATAAATTCTTCCAACGAAATGACTACTCAAGCATTTACCAACCTGCCTTAGAAAATAGTGCAAGCTAATGTTTCTTGTCCAAAAATGTGTATACAGCACAGATAAGAAAAGAAATGTGACAGTAACAGCAGAGTCTTGAACTGGCTGAAAAGCCCATACAGTAAGTGCTATAAGGACATCAACTAGGAACTGGGCTAACGTGGTAACTAGTGTCTGACAGCAGCACCCACAGCAAGACAACTCAAAATTTATTAATAAAACTACCACAGGCTTTCAACATCTACATACAATGGGCCTAAGGCTTTGTAATCTTTGAATGAAATACACTACAGAGAACCTCCTAGTGAATGAATGAAAGATCTAAGATTTTCTTCTCTTTGCAAAGGAACCCTGAGCTGTATTCATGCATTTGAGGATAAGATGTTTCCTTTATGGAGGAGTTTGCTTTTACAATTTTATTATCAATATCCATTAAGTAGCAACTGAATTTTATAGCAGGTTTCAAACAGGGGCAATGTCTGGAGATATGTTTGGTTGTCATAACAGAGTGGGTGCTACTGGCATCAAGTGGGTAGATGCCAGGGGTACTGCTAAACATCCTACAGTGCATAGGAGAGTCCCACAACCAAAAATTATCTGGCCTAAAATGTCCATAGTCCTAAGGCAAAGAAACCCTGATAAATATACAACAATCTACAACTCTGATAAATGTACGGTGATTGTACTCTGGGTATTTACTCAAGATAAATGACAACACACGTCCACACAAAAACTTGCACACGGCATAGCTTTATGTACAACAACCCAAACCGAAAACTCGAAATATCCATGGCAAATAAACAATGGATAAAGAAATTATGATATACCCATAGAATGGAACGCTTCTCAGCAACAGAAAGAACGAAGCGAGTACACAAAACATGAGTAAATCTCAAAAACAGTTTGGTAAGTAAAAGAAACCAGGCACAAAGAGTATATTCCATCTTTTTCTAGACAGGTGATGTTCTAGAACTGGCCATGCCGAACTAGGCTATACAGACCACAGGCACTTCAGTGATCATGTTGGCCTGGGGATAGGAGAGTAAGGGTTGAGGTTCCTCTTCTTTTTCTTTATTCAAGATGGAAATGTGTTGAAAATTAGTTGGTAACATACAGTTGTCCCTCGCTACCCTTGGCGGATTGGTTCTAGGACCCCTGTGGATACCAAAATCTACGGATGCTTATATAAAATGATATACAATGGTGTGTTTCCATGTAATTCTCCTATGTACTTTAATAAATAATCCCTAGGTTACTTACAACACCTAATGTCATGTAAATACCATGTAGATACTTGCTTTATTGCACTGTTCGGGGAATAATGACAAGAAAGATAGTCTGTGCCTGTTCAGTACGGATGCACCATTCTTTCCCTGGCGCCTGAACGTTTTTGATCTGCGGTTCATTTAACCTGTGAATGTGGAACCCACAAATACAGAGAGCCGACTGTACAGTCAACCTTCATTATTCACGGATTCTTTATTTCTGAATTTGCCCCCTCATTAAATTTACTGATGCCCCAAATTTCATACTCACAGTGCTTTCCTGGTCATTCATGGACACGCACAGAATGGTGAAAACCATGACTGGCCCAATGTGCATGTTTCCAGACAAGGCTGAAAAAGGTGACACGCTGTCTTCTTGTTTCAGCTTTCCTACTGTCCTTTTTGTGGTATATTTAGTGCCATATTTTTTGCAATTTTGTGTTTTTCTTTTTTTTTTTTTTAATTTTGCTGTTTAAAATGGACCCCAGGCATCGTGCTCAGTGCTGTCTAGTGATCCCAAGTGCAAAAAAGTTGTGATGTCCCTTATGGAGGAAATAAGTGCATCAGATATGCTTCATTTGGGCATGGGTTATAGTGCTGTTAGCTGTGAGTTCAGTGTTAGTGAATCAACAATATATGTTAAATAAGGTGTCTTTAAACAGAAACACACATACAACAAGGTTATATACTGATTGGCTGATGTGTGATCGAAGGCTCACAGCAACTTAACTTTGCATTTTCCCTAGGTTCAGTATTTGCTAATTCAGTATGACTCTGTAAAACATAATACCATGAATAATGAGAATGGACAGCATATGTGAGTCTTTTTCTAGACACTATTACACAGAACTCTGGGACTGAGGCTAGAGGATCACTCGAAGCCAGGAGTTCAAGACCAGCCTGGGTAAGAAGACTCTGCCTCTACAAAATATAAAAAAATTAGCTGGGCGCACTAGCAGTGCATGTGTGTAGTCCCAGCTACTTGGAAGGCTGAGGTGGGAGGATCTCCTGAGCCCAGGAGATTGAGGTTACAGTGAGCCGTGATTGAGCTGCTGCACTCCAACCTGCCTGAGTGACAGAGTGAGACTCTGTCTTAAAAAACAAAACAAAACAAAAACAAACAAAACAACAAAAACTCAAACAAAATGAAATTGGCAAGAGTATATCTTTGCCTTAGCATCTTCGGAGCAAAGCAATTTGTTCCTTTATCATTAGTTAAGCTACTATAGGCTTTTTGTGGATACCCTTTATCAAGCTGAGGAAGTTTCCATATATTCCTAGTTTGTTCAGAGTTAAATATATCTTAAATTTTGCCAAATGCTTTTTCTGCACCGATTGAAATATTCATATAATTTTATCCTTTATTCTGCTAATACAGAAAATTATACTGACTGATTTTTGTACGTTAAACCTTCTTGGCATTCCTGGAATACTTTACTTATTATATATTTCTGAATTTAACTAGCTAAGTTTTGTGAAAGGTTGATATCAGACTAATGTTAGCCTCATGAAAAATATATCTGGGACATGTTTCCTCCTCATTTGTTTTCTGAGTAATTTTGTACATGGTTAATATTTCTTCCTCAACCGGTAACATCTGAGTGACACCATCTGATCACGGTGATATGGTTTGGATATTTGTCCCCTTCAAATCTCATGTTGAAATGCGATGACCCCTGGTGTTGGAGGTGGGGCCTATTGAGAGGTATTTGGGTCATGAAGGTGGATCTCTCATGAATGGCCTGGTGCCCTCCCCATGGTAATGGGTGAGTTTCTAGCTCTATTAGTTCCCGCAAGAACTGGATGTTAAAAAAAGAACCATGGCACTTCCTTTTTCTCCAGCTCCCTCTCAATGTGACACGCCTGCTCCCCTTTCGCCTTCCATCCTGACTATAAGCTTCGTGAGGCCTCGCCAGAAGCGAATGCTAGCACTGTCCTTCTTAAACAGCCTGCAGAACCCCGAGCCCAAACAAACATCTTTTCTTTGTAAATTTCCCAGTCTCAGGCATTCCTTTACAGCAACACAAAACAGACTAACACACATGGAATTTGGGGGAATTACAAATTCAATTTCATTAACACAGATAGGACTACACAGATTCTATTTTTTGGGGTAGATTTGGTCATTTTTATCTTTAAATAAATTTGTACATTTCCCCTAAGCTGTTGAATCTATTGGCATAAAGTTGTTAACAGCAGCCCTTTATTTATTCTTCTAATGTTTGTAATACCTGTGGTGATGTCCTCTCTTTCATTGCTCATATTAATCATTCGCGTTTTCTCTTTTCTGTTGTTTAGCCCACTTAGAACTTTATTAATTTTATTGATCTTTTCAAAGGAGCAGCTTTAGATTTCATAAATTTTCAGTATCTTTGTCCATTTTCTATTTTTAATGAGTTCTGCTCCTATCTTTATTATTTCTTCCTTCTACTTCCTTTGGGTT
Source organism: Homo sapiens (assembly GCF_000001405.40). Classification (NCBI taxonomy): domain Eukaryota; kingdom Metazoa; phylum Chordata; class Mammalia; order Primates; family Hominidae; genus Homo; species Homo sapiens. Next base: position 99,793,824 of record NC_000002.12, read on the forward strand.
TAATTTACTCTTTGTACTTGAGATTCTTAAGGTGGAAACTCAAGGAACCTGACGTTCAACCTTTCTTCTTTTTCTGTTATGAACATTTAAAGCTATAAGATTTCCTTGAAGAACTGCTCTAACTACATTTTACATACACATCTTCATTAGGGTCAATATTTGTTCTAATTTCTCTGATGATTTCTTCTTTGACACATGGATTTAGAAATATGTTGTTTCATTTCCCCATATTGGGGGATTTTCCAGATATCTCTTTTATTTCTAAATTAATTTTGTTTTGGCCAGAAAACATATTCTGTATTTCAGTCCTTCTAATTTATTGAGATTGGTTTTATACCCAGAACATGGTCTATTTTCCTTTTGCTATGGGTCACATTTGCTGCTTCTTTTTCTTACAATTTTGGAATGGATGCTTAACATTTTGGATGTTGGTAAATGTTTTTCTTTTCTTTCTTCAGAGACTGATGAAGTTTGTTTTGTCGAGAAATTAGGTTACTTGTGTATCAAAGCTTATTTTTAAATTGTGTTAGGGTGTAGCCAATCCCTTTATTCTAGAGATACTTTAGCTGTATTACTAAGACATAGCTAGTATCTCTACTTAATGCTCTGGGTTGTTAACAGGGTCTTTCCATTAAGGCTTGTGAGAATTTAAATGTATCTTTGCTGTATGTGAGTTCTGGGGATTGTTCATCTAGTAGCTCCATGGCAATTTTTATTTGCATAGCCTTGTGGAATTTCATATTATGCATGCAAGGATTAGTATTCAGCTAAAGACTCAAGGGGTCCCCTATGTAGATTTCTGGAACTCTTCCTCTGAGTATCTCCACTTTAGTATTCTGTCTTGCAAACTCCAGCTGCCTAGGCCTTTTCATAGTCTATTTTCCCTCAACTCAGTGAGACTTCTAGTTCTGTTTAAAGCTCTGTCTCTTCACTACAGTCTAGAAAGCAGCTCTGAATATAAATCTGAGATGACTACAGTAGTCACCTAATTTATTTCCCTTCATGGGATCATGATTCTGTACTGACTGTTTTCCAATGTCTGAAAACAGTGATTTCATATATTTTGGGTAGTTTTCTAGTTGTTTATGGCAGGAGGGCAAATTCTATACCATTTATTACTTCATAAGAAGAACTAGAGTAATCACTCAAAAGTACGAACCTGATGATATCACTCTCCAGCTTAAAACCCTTCCATGCTGACTATATAATTTGCTGTCTATACTGGTATATTTCTGAAGTGCTAAAATGCTAACCAGAAGAAGTGCTGGTGATTCACAATAGCAATGATATGGAATCAACCTAAGTGCCCATCAATGGATGATTGGACAGAGAAAAAGTAGTGTGCATATAAACACACACACACACACCATGGAACACTACTCAGCCATGAAAAAGAATGAAATCATGTCTTTTGCAGCAACATCCCTGGCTGCACTGGAGGCCATTATCTTAAGTGAAACAATACAGAAAGTCAAATACTGATAGTCTCACTTATAAGTGGGAACTAAATAATGTGCACACATGGACACAGTATGTGGAATGACAGACACTGGGGACTCAGAAGGGCAATGGCTGGGGGGCAGGTGGGAGGGCAGTGAGGGATGCGAAATTACTAATGGGCATAATCTACATTATTCAGATGGTGGATACACTAAACGCCCAGATTTTACCACTACACAATATACTCCCATAACAAAACAGCACTTGTAGTCCTTAAATTTATCCAAGAAAAAGGTGTGGGGATAATGAGCATAAACCAGGATGATCACAGGAAAACTAGCACTTCTGTCACTGCTAAACTCCTCGGCTCGGCTTCTAGGCTCTCATTACTTCCCCTCCTCATTTCCCTCCCACCTTCATTCCTTTAGCTTGAATGCCTCTACAGTGCTGTATTTCTTACGTGTAGCAACTCTCCTCTCCTGTTCATCTAGTAAACTCCTCTTCTGCCCTCCAGGTGGTTGAAACATTAACTTCCTCTAGGTCTACACGGTGCTTTGCACCTGATTTGGCTTGCACCTCATGCTATTCTATTAATTTATTTGCATGTTGCCTCCTCTTCTAGACTAGGTTTTTGAGAAAGTGAGAGAAAAATCAAGAAATCTGTTTTAGAAAAATTAATCCAGAAACAATATTTGTGAAAAATTGGATAAAGGATGAGGAACAGGGGCAATTTAGAAGATTGTTTAGTATCTATATTCTTATTTAACAGCAGCCTTCAGAGCTAAAGAAGCCCAAAGGCCTCTTAACACCTAATCACCCATTTATTCCTCTTAAACTCTCACCTGCAATCAAAACCTATTCAGAAAACCAGAATTTTAATGTAAAGATCTCAGTATGAAGGTTTTTGGTATTTTATGATCTAAACAAACCTTCCAAAGTCTGGTGAGGCTCAAGTTGGCAAACCACCTGCAATCTTCCCACTAAACTATATTTAGTATCCCACTGTAGCACCCACTGCAACTGACATATGAATACACTGTGCTAACAAATACATTACTTAATACAAAACTCTTCAATTTATTACATTGTGTCATAAATTTGTTTTGCTTTATAAGAAAATAGATTTTAACTCAAAAAGTTTCTTATTTGGAACAAATGCATGAAGCAAAGGTTTTCAAGCACTGGACATCAAGCAACCAACAACTTAATTCCCAGGAAATGAAAAACTGATGAGGCAAGCTGTATGACTGCCCCAGCTTACTGCACTAAGAACTTCTGGGCTATAGCACAGGGAGGGGAAACCATGAGAAAGCCCAGTGAACACACTGAGCTGAGAGTCTGGGGAGAACAAGTTGACTTGAGTTTGCTGCTCAGGACACAAGAGCGGAGATTGCTGTACAGAGAGAATCTTGAATATCTGCAGGTCTTCCTTGAGTATTCAGCAGAGTTCTGAGTGGCACAAGTACATGAAAAAATAACCTGAGGCTAGGGAAAGAATCATCTGAAAGGATTACAGAAAAAAATACCAGGTGCTTACAAGGCCAGGAACAGAAATTGTGCTCACCAGCCAGACTGTAAAACCTTATAATTAACAGGGCATTGGATAGAGCACTCAAAAGAATCTTGCCTCAGAACTAGGCAATAATTAGCCATAGACTAAATGATGCTCTTTCTCACCTGACAAACTGTGGAGACAAAACCCAAAACAATCACACTATTTCCAAGTAACTTAACTACATCCCAGAACAAAGCACAGGGAGATCTGTAGAAACACAAAAAAGCAAAACTCTGTCTGGGTCCAACCAAAGATTACCAGATAGACAGATCACCATACGTGCAAAGAAGCAAGAAAGTGCAACCCATAGTGAGAAAAAAATAAGACAACCCAGAAAGGCCACAGGTGTCAGACTTATTGGACAAAGATATTAAACAGTTACTATTTGTAATATGTATGTCCAAAAAGTTAAGTAGAGACATAGAAGATATACCAAAGACCCAAACTGAGTTTTCATCTAGAGATGAAAACTATATGAAATGCAAATATACATTGAATGCAATTAATGGTAGAATAGAGATTGTAAAAGAAAACATTAGTGAGCTTGAAGACATAACAACAGAAACTACACAAAATGAAATACAGAGAGAAAAAAGAGCATAAGTAAACTGCAGAATGACTTCATGTGTGATCTAATGTACATAAAATTGGAGTCCCTACAGGAGAAAGGGGAGGGTAGAAAATATATTTAAATAAATAATGAAGGAACAAAACTGTAACATTTGATAAAAAACATAAATCTACAGATGTAAGAGACTCAGTTATGATAGGTACAGTAAACATGAAGAAAGCTACAAAAGGACAAAGTATAATCAAATTGCTCAAAACCAGTGGTAAAAGAGAAACATTTAAAAGCAGCCAGAGAAAGACGAAACAGAGATTAGGATTACAACAGATTTACTGTTGGAAACAATGCAAGTAAGAAGACAGTGGAACAACATCTCCAAAACATGGAAAGAAAATAAATAACTCCAAAATATATATATGACAAAAATATTTGTCAAAAACTAAGGTAAAATACAGACATTTTCAGATATGCAACAGCTGGAAAAGTTCATAACCAGCAGATCCGCACTATGGAAAATGTTAAAGGAAGCCCTTGAGGCAGAAGGAAAGTGCTAACAGACGGAAATATAAATATACCCAAAGCAATAAAGAGAACTGAAAAATGGTAAGTCTATTAAACATATTTTATAATTTGAATATGTTTAAAATATAATTGATTAGTTAAGAAAAAAATTATATTTTTGGAGTTGATAACATATACAAGTAAAATGTTTGACAACAATAGGAAAAAGGTGGCTGGGGAAGGAGTAATGAAGAATTGCAAGGTTCTTACACTGAACATGAAGTGGTAAAATATTACTTGACAGTAAGCTAAAGATGTCTACTATAATTCCTAAAGCAACCACTAAAATAACAAAGCAAAGAGTAATAGCTAATAAGACAACAAATGAGATTAAATGAAAACAAAAAAATAACTCAATGCAAAAGAAGACAGGACAAGAGGAAAGGGCAATAATTATTCAATTACATTAAATAATTGCATTCAATGCTAACTGCATTGAATTACATTGAATGTAATTATTGATACGGTTAGGATTGTCTATTTTCCATCCTGTTTTTATTTATCCAATCAGATAAATAATAAATAATATATGTAAACACTATAAAATCCCAGTTAAAAGACAGAAATGAGCAGACTGCATTAAAAGATCAAGACCCAATTATATGCTATTTATAAGAAATATACTGTAAGTATAAGAAAAACCAAATAGATTAAAATAAAATGATAGAAATATATATTACATGCTAACATTAATCAAAAGAAAGCTGAATTGGCTATATTAATATTAAGGTAGATCTTAACGCAGCCAGGGATAAAGAAGTTTATATCACATTGTCTAACGGACCAATCAATATGACGTAAAAATCTAAATGCTTATGTGCCTAACAGCAGAGCTTCAAAATACACGAAGCAAAAGTGAATACAACTTCAAGGAGAAATAGACAGTCCCTTAATTATAGTCAGAGATTTCAGTATCCTGCCCTAGTAATTGATAGAATACATAGGAAGAAAATTAGTCAGACTTTTCTGACTAATGTAGCCTTGAACAACACTATGACACCATGGTCTAGGTAGAAAATGTAATGAAATCTACAGAAAAAGCTACTAAAATTAATAAGTTAGTTTCACAAAGTTGCAGGATACAAGATCAGTAAACAAATATAAATTACATATCTATATGCCAGCAACTAGTAAATATAACCTGAAATTTAAAGATAAATGCCATGTATACTAGTATCAAAAATAAAACATACTTAGGAATAAATCTGACAAAAGATGTTCAAGTCCTGTATATTAAAAACTATAAAACACTGCAGAGAGAAATTAAAGAGATCTAAATCTCTAATGGTAGAACAGAGATTATAAAAGAAGCACTAGTGAGCTTCAAGGCATAATAATACAAACTACATAAAATGAAACACAGAGAGAAAAGAATAGTGAAAAGAGAAAAAAAGAATATAAGTGAACGGTGGAATGACTACATGTGTGGTCTCACATAAAATTGGAGTTCCCTAAAGGAGAAGGGGGAGGGTAGAAAATATACTTGAATAAATAATGAAAGAAAAAAAGACCCTTAACATTTGATGAGAAGCAAATAGAGAGACATACCATGTTCATGATTTGGAAGAATCGATATTGTTAAGATGCCAATTCTTTCTAAATTCATTTGTAGATTCAATGCAATCATAATAAAAATCCTAATAGGCTTTTTATTTGTGTGGAAATTGACAAGTTGGTTCTAAAATTTACACAGAAAAGGTGTTAAAATAACCAAAATAACTTGAAAAACAAGAATAAAATCGAAAGATTATACTATTTGATAGAAAATCATACAGCTATAGTGACCAAGACAGTGTGATACCAGTGTAAGGACTGACAAGAACCAAACAGAGAATCCAGAAATACACCACATATCTACAAACAACTGATTTTCAGCAAAAGTGCAAAGGCAATTAAGTGGAGAAAGGACAGTATTTCAACAAATGGTACTGGAATAACTGGATACTCATGTGCAAAAGTTGAATTTCCATCCACACTTCACAATGAATCTTAAACCCAAATGTAAAGTCTAAAACTGCAAAGTGTTCTGAACCTAACATAGAAAAAAATCCATTGTGACTTTAGATTATACCAAGATTTCTTAGCCACAACTCCAAAAACAAGAACCATAAATTAAAAAATGTAAAACAGAACTTCATAGAAATTAATTTTTTAACAAAGTTTGAAAGACATGTCTTTACAATCTCTAAAGACAAGCCCCATACTTAGAGAAGATATTTGCAAAGTATGTAAATAACTTGAATGTAGAACATATAAAAAAGACTTTTCAAAAATCAACAATGAGAACAAAACAACCTAGTAAAAAAGGCCAAAGTTTTTTGAACACATCACCACAGAAGATACATGGATGGAAAATAAGTGTATGAAAAGATGCTCAATACAACCAATCATGAAGGCAATGCACATTAAAACCACAATGAGATACCACTACATACCTATTAGAATGTTTAGGATTAAAAAGATCAAGTGTTGGCAAGGATGTGGAGAAACAACAACTCTCCTCCATTGCTGGTAGAGATGTAAAATGATATAAGCACTTTGGAGAACAGTTTAGTGGGTTTTTAAGAAAATGTTAAACATACTCCTATTATTTGATCCAAACATTCCACTCCTAGGTATTTACCCCAGAGAAGAGAAAGCACAAAGACATTTTGTGTGTTATAAACATGTGCACAAATATTTATAATAGCTTTTATGTATAACTGCCCCCAAATGGATACAACCCAAACGTCCTCTGACAGGTTAAGGGATAAACAAATTTTGTTATGTCCATACAATGGAATACGGCTCAGCAATGAAAAGTAATGAACAATTGATCCATGCAACAACATGGATAAATTTCAGAATAATTACACAGAGTGACAGAAGCCAAACAAGAAAGTACATGCTATATGATTCTACATATATAAAACTCTAGGAAAATGCAGACTCACCCATAGTGACAGAAAGCAGAGCAGTGGTGGCCTGGGGATGAGTGGGGTGTGTGGAGAAGGGTAGGAGGGATCAATTACAAGGGGTCTGAGAATGAATTTGGCAATGATGGATACATTCATTATCTTATCAAAACAATAATAATGCAAATTCTATAGCATGAGTTACTTACATATAATTATACATATGTGATATTTTCACCGGTATATACCAATGTGAAAGCTTACCAAATTATCTAAATATGTGCAATTTACATGTCGATTATATCTCAATAAAGAAATGTGAAAATGATACTTCCTATTTCTTCCTAATTCCATGCAATTTAGACTTCATACATGTAATACTTTCTGTAAGCTCCCAGCAAGGTTTCTTTCATCAACATCAGCTAAATAATTTGGAGAAATTTATCAGAAATTTCAAAGTATGTCAACTTCAATTTCTTCTTGTAATTTCATAGGTTAACTTTCTTCTCTAACCTTAGTCCAAATGCACTACAAAATATTTTCTCATGCTTTCATTAACCTGGTCTTCAGTGCTTCAACAGATTTTGGTGATTGTAATATTTACAGAGTCAACAAAGTGAAGCCAATAGCACTACTGATTGGAAAGGCAGGGGTGGGCCCCTAAGCAAGGTAACCCGCAGACCAAGCAGGAGACTGTCCTGAGCAGATACTTCCCCACTCTGAAGGGAGTCTCAAGTTCCCACTACTGAAGCACAGAACTTGTACTTCCCATTTCCTTCGGGACAATCTGGATGCAGGAGGCTGCTGTGCTAAAAAGTTTTCACCATGTCACTAGCTTGACATCTACTTTTACGACCTCTCATTCTTAATTATGTCCCTGAATCCCAGCTCCTGAGCTCATGTATTTATCTTTGTCCAGAAAAGCGGAAATTGTAAAAACAAATTCTATAGCATGAGTTACTTATATATAATTGTTATGTGGGGTCTCTATTATTTCAAGTCATTAATCAGCCAAGTTCCATTATTTTCTGTAAGTCAATCCTTTTGCCACTCTTCCCATAAGCACCTCCCAATAGAACTATTTCCTTTGTTAAATGCATGCATATGCAGGTTTTTACATGTATATTATGTATCAATTATCATATAATTACATAATTACTGTAATCGGATTTAACTGTATAATTAGAATGTGTAATTACATAATTAAAACATGTAATTACCAAGTTTAAAAAGTTATGGAAATTATTTCTTTTAAATGAATAATGCATGTATGGGAGACAAACTTTCAAAGCTCACTACTTAGGCCTTCTAAAAGTCATTTTAACTAAAAACACAATTTAAAATCCACTAAGCCAGTTATTTCACATGACATGTTGAATACCTTAAACTTTTTTAATGGATTTTTATCTTAAGAGAATATTAGAAACCTTCAAGGGCTCAGCATCTGGATGTAGGAAAAGGAGACAAAAAGGCAGCTCTCTTCAAGTGATCATGAAGTCTGACTGCATTTTTAACCTATTCCCACTTACATTAAAAGTTTTCTTGGCTGGGCGCGGTGCCTGTAATCCCAGCACTTTGGGAGGCTGAGGTGGGAGGACTGTTTGAGCCCAGGAGTTTGAGACCTGCCTGGGCAAGATGGTGAGACCCTGTCTCTACAAAAAATTTTGAAAACTTAGCCAGGTGCAGTGGTGTGCGCCTGTAGTCCTAGCTACTCAGGAGGCTGAGGCAAGAGGGTCACTTGAGCCCAGTAGTTTGAGGTGGCAGTGAGCTATGATCATGCCACTGCACTCCAGCCTGGCCAATAAAGTGAGACTCTGTCTCTAAAAAATAAAAAGTATTTTCCTAGGGTGTCTTTTTTTTTTTTTTTTTTTGCAGCTATTGTAAAAGGGATTCAGTTTTTGATTTGACTCTCAGCTTGGTCACTGTTGGTGTATAGCAGTGCTACTGATTTGTGTACATGAATTTTGTAACCTAAGACTTTACTGAATTCATTTATCAAATCTAGAGGTCTTTTGGTGGAGTCTTTAGGGTTTTCTAGGTGTACAATCATATTACCAGCAAAAAGAGATAGTTTGACTTCCTCTTTTCCAATTTGAATGCCCTTTAGTTCCTTCTCTTGCTTGATTGCCCCAGCTACGACTTCCAGTGCTATCCTGAATAGAAGTGGTGAAAGTGGGTATCCTTGTCTTATTCCAGTTCTTATGGGGAATGCTTTCAACTTTTCCCCATTCAGTATGTGTGGGTTTGTCATATGTGGCTTTTATTATTTTGAGGTATGTTCCTTCTATGCCTAGTTTGTTGAGGGTTTATATGATAAAGTGTTGCTGGATTTTATCACATGCTTATTCTGTTTCTATTATCATATGGTTTTTGTTTATAATTATGTTGGTGTGATGTATCACATTTATTGATTTGTGTATGACGAACCATCCCTGCATCCCTAGTGATCATGGTGAATTATCTTTTTGATGTGCTGTTGGATTCTGTTTGGTAGTATTTCATTGAGGATTTTTGCACTTATGTTCATCAGGGATAGGAAGTGAAAGATCTCTACAAGGGGAGCTACAAAACACTACTGAAAGAAATAATAGATGACACAAAGAAATGGAAATACATCCCATGCTCATGGATTGGAAGAATCAACATCATAAAAATGACCATGTGGCTCAAAGCAATCTACAGATTCAATGCAACTCTTTTCAAAATACCAACATCATTTTCACAGAACAATAAAAAAAATCCTAATATTCATAAGGAGCCAAAAAAGAGGCTGAAGAGCCAAAGCAATCCTAAGCAAAAAGAACAAAGCCAGAGGCATCACACGACATGACTTCAAACTATACTATAAGGTTATAGTAACCAAAACAGCATGGTACTGGTATAAATGTAGATACACGGACCAATGGAGCAGAATAAAGAACCCAGAAATAAAGCCAAATACTTACAACCAACTGATCTTTGACAAAGCACACAAAAACATAAATTGGAAAAAGGACACCCTATTCAATAAATGGTGCTAGGAAAACTGGACAGCCACATGTAGAGGAATGAAACTGGATTCTTATCTCTAACCATCTACAAAAATCAACTCCAGACGGATCAAACACTTAAATCTAAGAACTGAAACCAGAAAAAAATCTAGAAGAAAACCTAGGAAAAACACTGCTGGATACTGGCCTAGGCAAAGAATTTATGACTAAGAACCCAAAAGCAAATGTAACAAAAACAAACAAACAAAAAATAAATGAGACCTAATTAACTGAGAAGCTTCTGCATAGCAAAAGAAATAATCATCAGAGCAAACAGACAACCCACAGAATGAGAGAAATATTTGCAAACTATTCATGTGACAAAGAACTAATATCTAGAATCTACAAACAACTCAAACAAGTCAGCAAGAAAAACCAAATAATCCCATCAAAACATAGGCAAATGACATGAATAGACATTTTTCAAAAGAAGATACACAAATGGCCAAAAAATATATGAAAAAATGTTCAACATCAGTAATCATCAGGGAAATGCAAATTACAACCACAATAGATACCAACTTACCACAGCCAGAATGGCAGTTATTAAAAAGTCAAAAAACAATTAATGTTAGTGTGGATGTGGTGAAAAGAGAAGACTTATACACTGCTAGTGAGAATGTAAATTAGTACCACCTGTATGGAAAACAGTATGGTGATTTCTCAAAGAACTAAAAGTAGATCAACTGTTCAATTCAGCAATCCCACTACAGGGTATCTATCCAAAGGAAAATAAGTCACTATGTTAAAAAGACATCTGCACACATGTTTATCGCAGCACAATTCACAATTGCAAATATATGGAACCAATCTAAGTGCTCATCAACTGATGAGTGGATAAAGAAAATGTGATATATACACCACAGGATACTATTTAACCATGAAAAAGAATGAAATAATGTCTTTTGTAGCAATGTGGATGGAGCTGGGGGCCATTATTCTAAGTGAAGTGGCTCAGGAATGGAAAACCAAGTACCCTATATTCTCATTTAGAAGTGGAGGTAAGCTATGGATATGCAAAGGTATACAGAGTGGGAAAATGGACTTTGGAGACTCAGAGGAGGGAAAGATGAAATGCGGGCAAGGGATAAAAAACAACACATTGGGTACAATATACACTACTTGGATGACAAGTTCACTAAGATCTCAGACTCCATCACTACACAATGCATCTTGTAACCAAAAACCACTTGTACCCTAAAAGCTATTAAAATAAAATATATGTATTTTAACAAGTTTTCTTAGTGTAATTGACAGCAAATAATGAGCAGTGATGACTAGTACAAAAGTCATCACCCAGCTGATGTTTTGGTAAATCCAGGAAATGGTATATCTGATTCAATCCCATGCTTGGTTTCAAAGGCAAAATGTTACTTAAAAAAATAAATGTTGACTATATACCTGCTTGATAATAAGAAACATTCACCTCTCTTCGTTTAAGTTCAACTTAAAGAAGAAACATTTTTGAAAAGTGAGAAGTGTGTTACATTGGTGGTATTATGATAATAATTCAAGTGTGCTTGATGCTGGGGATAAAATGACAAATCAGATGTGTTCTCTGGCCTTGCGTTGTTCAGACAAACACATGAGCCAATAAATAAAACACAAAGAGAATATGGACAGTAATGGCTTTCAAAACTTAAAAAAATCTAATAATAAATCATTACAATTTGTTGCCTGAGGAAATAATCCTCATCATGTAAACCAGAAGTCAATTATTGATTTTTCTGACCACAATCAACACCACAGCCGAGTATGCTCTGTGCAGGAAAATCCCTACTCCTCTTCAGACCTGCCTGTAACACTCTATACATATTTAATCATTAATAACATAACACTTATCCTATTGCTTCACAATTATGTATATGTCTATTTCTTCTTTTGAATGTGAGTTCCAGGAGGGCAAATGCTTAGCGCAGGAAACATCTGCCTGCAGGAGTCTTACACACACACACACACACACACACACACACACACACACGATGAAGGAACATTTGCCCGCTCTTTTCATGGAACAGGATGCTTTTGTTTTTGTCTCTTCACATCACAAGTAACCAGCACATCTTTGAAAACTCAACAGTTTAACCTGGAAATGTTCATAAAGATCATTCTCAAATGACAACTTATTCTTGGACAAAATAAGAAATGCAAATGCAAAATAAAAGAATGTGTCCCACAGAGATGATAGAAAAAAAAAAGAGCAGAACAGTTATAGTAAACCACAGGCTAAACCCTCATATTATGCATTGCATCAGCCATGATAAATAAGGTTCGCATTTGTCAGATCCGATCAACTTGGTTTCTAGGGTAGTCCAATTTCAGCAGACTGCTCTAGCACTAATCATCTTGTGAATTCATCTGTGGTAGGTTAATGTTCAATTCATTAATTAATTACTCCCATCAACATTCATTGAGCTTCTGTCTACTACATGTGAAGCAGCATGTGGGGTATGGGATATGCAACACAGAGCGGAAAATAGCCCCTGCTCTCATGGAATTCATGTTCCAGGAAAAGGGCAGACACGTAAACAAGCCTAACACTGCAAATGCTCAGCTCTGCGATGGGAGTGTGTGCCAGGACCCCAGGAGCATGGAGGAGGATGAGGACCCCTGAACAAATTCAATGCGATGCACCAGGAATCTCGCTCCCTATGGCTCCCTATTTGTTTCCTCTGGGGAACCACTCCAGACTTGATGGGGGGAAATCCCAGTTGAACTTGATATGACAGAGCAAGTAACTTAGAACAACACTGATTCTGCAGAACCTGGACTAGCAGACCTACTAGTCACAGGAGTCCTATCCCTTCTTCATATACCTGTCTCCACGCCCCCACCCTCATTCAAGATAAAACATTCACCAGCATTCCTCTTAATGCATCTTTGTTGGGAAGATGACTGGAGCCCAGCACAGTGTATGGCAAACAGTAGGCGCTCTGTGTTGAATGCTGAATACTTACATGAATACCACTGAGAATCCACAGTAAAATACATTTGTGTGTTTTGGTTTTGTTCCAACAGATTTTCATCATTTCTGAAGAAAGAGACATACTCCTGGAATGTGGCACATGGAAACTTCCTGGTTTATCAGGAGTTGATCATGACCTCTAAGAGCTCAAAGCTCAGCTGAGGCTTTTGCAGAACTGGGAAGCATGGCATTCGTCTCAGCCTAACCCCCCACATTCCCTGTGTTGCTTGTGTGGTGTTACTGGCGCCACCAGGGCTATCCCTTGCATTCATCAACAGATACCGAGAGAAAGTTGCTGTTCCCATGTTCATGAATTGAACCTGTCACCCATGAATGCACTTTTGGCTCATCAGATTAGCTGGTTGTCACCTCATAAATGAGGAAACAGGGTCCTGGATGGAAGAGGATGGTGCATAGGACAAGGCAGAGAAAACGGAGTGGTGGGTGGGTTGCTGCATGGTCTGTTGGCTCCCGAAGTCTAATAAGATGACAGAATCTGGAGTTTGGAAAGGATCCTGGACTCACCATGTACCTAATGCATGAATTCCTACCAACGCACCCAGTTTCTGTTCTTCCTGGGATGGAGAACTGTCACATCCCCTAATTGACCATTTGGCTTTCTGATATCTCAGCTGGTGGAAAGGTCTTTTTGATATTGAGTCCCAATTCATAAATTCTACTCCGTGGTCCTGGTTTTTCACTCTGAGGTCAAAAGAACCAATCTAGTCACCTGATGCTGTGATCTTAGTCCTGAAATTAAGAGTCAATATTACTTGCTGCCTTGACATCTGGTAAAATAAGGCAGGCCTCAATTGGCCTAACTGCAAGTTCTCCCCACACTGCCCCTATGGATAAAGTCTTGTAGCAAAACACCCTCTTTAGCAGGGGGACCAGGCACAGTTCCTGCTTATCGCTGAGTGGCGGGTTTAGCTCCCTGCCAGCCTGTGGAATTAGTCAAACAAGCCAATCACATCCTACTGTGAGAACCAGGGGTCAACCTACCCTCTTGTTACTACAAAGCTGGCCTCTGGCAGTCCCCGCTGGCTCACTCTGTTCCTGAATACAACCCCTCTGTGCCCCTGAGCCCCTTCCCAGGCTGTGAGTATATGTAATTAATAAGTGCCTGTCAATCTCATCTGTTCATTGTCAGGGGCTGTGTGTTCAGCCATACCCATCACCATAGGGTAGGAATCCCTCCCTCGCCAATGGGGTGAAGGGGAGGCAACCAAAATAGCTACGTCTTAGAACGAGGCTCTGGGAACCTTAGAAGAGTGGGTTAAAGAGAGGCCGGAAGAACTCTGTTTGATTAGAATTTAAAATTCCCATTTCCTCCCTCTTTCCACCTTTCCTAAACACCACTCTCAAGGTTTTCTCAAGTGACTGTGGGTATGGAAGCTGATGTAACACAATGGCAGGAAACAAGAACAAGAACAAGTGAACAAGGCAGAATCAAGAGAGCCATACTTTAGGAAAAGGTATACAAAGAAATATTCTGGGATCCCAGGACCATCAATGACAGTAAACTTACTCTAGAAAATAAGTGTCATTATTCACTGGATTCACCAGCACACTCTATTGTTCTTACTGTAGTTCTTTGGCTACCAGATGCCCAGGTACCAGAACTCTATTTGTCTCTGTATGAAAATACAGAGTGATGAACAAGAAAACTAGTGATTACAACTAATGCATGTGTTCTAGTTACAAACACAAACCTGCCCCTCCCCCTCCTCTGAGCTAATGGATGAACCTCAATCAATACACTCAGGAAAGACTGCAGAATCAATAACAAGGCTTATTTAACAGAATTAAGAAGTGGCTTTTTAAAAAACAAAAGAAAAAAAAACAAGAAAGTAGACACAATTGCAATAACTGCATTCTTATGTTGCCTGGCAACAAGATATAAAAATGATGTACAATGTCAGTGACTTATTTTCACATAGAGAAGCAGCCCCCTGCCTTGGCAATGCTATAATGTACTTTCCCCCAACTAGAACTCCACAGAGACTATTAATGCTACCATTTTCCATAATACACTGTTAAACAATCATGTGTTTTTGTTAGTGCATTAAAACACTGAATTTACTTAATGACTACTCAGTGAGGCAGCGGCTACAGAAAAGGGAGGAGTTTTTGTTTCCTTTGCAAGCACAGGAGTTCGTTCCCTGGGCAGGAGAATTTAACAGGTAGCAATGGATATGAATCAAAGCACTGGAATTCACATACCTAGAGAGGAAGGTGCACTCTTACGTCTTTTCAAGGGAAAGCAGAAAATGAAGTCGAAGTGCAGTATTAGTGTTCCTTGACTTTAAAAAATTTTCTTTAGAATATGAAAGAAGTTTCTGGAAGGCAGAAAGCCTTTGAGGTTCCAAGACATATACTTGGACATGGGAGTGAAGGTTCAATAGAAAAGGAAAGTGACAGCAGAGCGCTTTAGCTGAGAAGAAGAGAAGAACAAGGAGCGGCTACAGAGGCACCCAGCTCTCAGGGTCTACGGGGCAAGCCCTCAACGCGGGGGGCTGGCGCTCCTACTGCAGCCTGCACCTCTGGCAGTGGGGAGGGGGCACAGGTTTGCACCCTGCTGGGGGTCACACATACATTAGCTCATTTCATCCTTCTATGAAAGCCCATTCAATAGAAGCAGAAAATAGATTCAATGGGATTAGGTGATTACCCAGTGTCTGTCGGCTAGTGAATTGGAAAGCTGGAATTTAACACTAAGCCTGTCTGTCCTCAGAGCCACCACACACCTTTGCCTCCATTGGCTGTCACTAATTTCCAGCTGTAGGGGATGTTCTGGGATTGCTGCCATTTAGTGCCCATGGAGCACAAGTAAGGAGGAAAGCTATTTCCTCCAAAGAAGCAATAAAACAAATAAAAAACAAGAAACCACTTTCCTGATGAGTCCCACATCCCACTGCGCTGTATTTATGTGCACATTTGTTAACTTGCACACTTCCATGATTTTTTGCAAGCTTCTTACTCATTGTTCACTAACTCCTTTGGTACAGGGCCAGGTGTTATATTTTTATAAGAAATAGTTTTAAAACAACTGTTTTCTGCTGAATAGAGCATTTTATTCAGGAGACCTCCAGTAAATACTGATGGACAACTTGTGGGTAAGGGAAAGGTCACTTTGTTTTACAAAATCTTTGGGAAAAGGAATCTGTCTTATTCACAGTGCTATCTTCAACACCTGCACTGGACTACAGTAAGTGCTCAATAAATAGGTACAAAATCAACATCATGCACTCAGGAATTTCAAAGTCTTCCTGATATGCTGATGGACCAGTGATTTTTACTCAGGATCCTTGGGGGCTTGAACCAATACTGGTACCTCACAGCCTAACTGAAATGAGCAAAAAAGATGGATAACGTGAAGTGGAATGCTGTGGTTATGGAAAGGGCAGACAATTATAGGCAAAGACAACTTGATGTCAGCTCAGCATCCTCCCGGTTGCTATGCAACCCCAGAGAAGTCCCTTGTCTTACCTGGCCGCTTTAACCTCACCACACCTGTTCCCCCATCTGAGAGATAATTACAACACTTACTGTGTCAGGCAGTCAACAAGTATTTATGGAATGCCCACAGGGCACAGAGCAATAAACCTATTGCTTACTTAAGCCAGGAAATCAAGCTACAGCAAAGCAGAGGATTAGTACAAATACCTGGGCAAACGTGCCACCCGCAGAAGCATTAGGTTCTTAAATCCTCCAGGTAATTGTGGTCACACATTAGTCTTGGCTTTAGGGCCTTTTAAAGTAGTATCTGAAATATCTTGTCTATCCACTTTAGTTCAAGTGTGTGAGTGTGTGTGTGTGTGTGTTGGCTTTCCATCTCCGCTTAACAAATCACCTCAAACTTAGTGGCTGAAAACAACACAGATATATGATCTTAGAGTTTGACCGCTAAAAGTTTAAAATGCATGAAAACCAAGGTGCTAGCAAGACCACGTTCTGTTCTGGAGGCTCTAGGGGAAACTCTGTTCTTGCTCCTTGCAATTTCTCAGGGCCATCACATTCTTTGGTTTGTGGCCCCTTTTTCCATCTTCAAAGCCAGCGACACTGGACAAGTCTTTCTGATGCTCTCATCTTTGGAATTCTCTTTCCTCTGTCTTCCTCCCCCACATCTAAGGGCCTTTATGATTACATTGTACCCATCCAGATAATCCAGGATAACCTCCCCAACTCAAGGTGGATGATTAGCAACTTTAATTCCCTCTTGCCATGTTACCTAACATATTCACATGGTCTGCGGATTAGGACATGGGAGGGACGTGCTTTTCTGCCTACCACATGTGTGTCTGGCTGTAATTATTTATCTATTGAGAGCAATGAAAGGTCATTCATTCTATGGGTACAACTCAGGACCTTATGTAAGATCATCTATTGCCTTCAGAACTTTATGCTCTCAGGAAGGTGATAAGTATGTAAAATATTAACAACCAAAACCAACCCTGTAGTTTGCAAAGCACTTTGACATTCATCCTTTTGGTTAGAACCTCTCAGCTACTTTGCAAGACAAGTAAGGAAACTATTATTATCTCTGAATCACAGATGAGTAAACTGAGGCACAGAGGTTTTTTGGTTTTTTTTTCCCTTAAGGACAGAAAACAGCATATTCAAACCGAGGCATGTGGGTTTCTGGTCTGGTGCTCTTTATCCTCCCCGTACTGCAAACACCTTTACAGTATGTGTCATATTGACATATGTTGCCAAAAGAAGAGATCCTGCTCCTATTTCATGAAAGGAAAACAGATGTGAGGTTGTTCAGAAACTCAATAAAGTGCATAAAGTATGCCCCTTGCAGAGCTGAGGCACCAGATTCTCCCTCCATTAATTCAGTCTTATCCCTGATCCATGCTTGCAAAGCAAGAGACAAGGGAACGAAAGGACAGAAAGAATTTCTACAGGTTGAGTCACCATTTGGACGCAGAACAACGTGGCAATGTGGGCACTTCATGCACACAGTTAAAATAAGTCACACGCTTTATGTCTGCATATTTTCTTTGTATGAATAAAAGAATGCAGCTGTACGATGGCCTTGGCCTTGTGTGGACAGTGGTAGCTACGTACCTGAACACAGACAATGAGAGAAGTTGAGAACTTTCATTAAAATATTTCAGTCATGTAAGCCAATGAGCATTATTTTAGTCTCCATAAAGCTGCATTGTTTCAATAGAGAATCCAAGGCCAGAAATGTGCTCATTCTAGGCACAATCTCACAGTTTGTCCTGATGTCTTACCTTGAGGGGGTGTGGGCAATGATTCTTGTGCCCAATGCAAAGAGATGCCCTGATGATTAGTGTAAGGTGGCCAATCCTGATGACCAGGTTCAGACATCCAGAGCCTGCCAGCCAGCAAATCAGGCCCTACATTTTCTCCCTCTCCATTTTTTCCTTTCCTTTCCAGAAGCGGTCAGCTTCTAGAAGCCACCCACAGTGGCCTCTACAAATAAGATGTTACTTCTGAAGTAAGATCATTGTCTTCCTTCCGATACCCTCTGACGAAACCTCTGAAGGTGAAACACTAGCAGAGGCTGAAAAGTCATGATCACCTGCTGGTAATGCCCCACAAAGGCACGGAGGACACACGTGCTGAGCAGTACCTGATGCAGCAGCCTCTGGAGATAAGACTTTCCCCAGAATCCCCAAATTCTCACGTACACGGCATCGTCCATGACTCTGACAGTCATATTGATGACAGATACGAAAAAACATGGTCGTTGGTATCATAGAGGAAACTACATAAATGTAAATGCATAAAGGGAAGTCGAGTGTGACTCCCTTTCTTAATTGTCTAACGCAATTCCCACTAGATGCATAAATTGCAGTTCCTATTAACGGCACTATGAATAATAATCGGTTTACTTTCTGACTTGTATCTAAATATACTTTCTATATGATTTCATCTTTTATTCAGCTGTTTAAAAGCAGAACATCTAATTACAGTTCCTATTAGTCAACATTAATTTTTTTTCTTTTTGCCATGGAGCATGTGTGATGACTGATTTTCTAAAAACAGAATTCTTTAGCATATGGAACAAATCGTGTTATTATTAATGCATTCCCAGATGACTCTGCATATCAATTCTCTTAATTATTTAGTCATTGCTGATTATGTCTTTTTATAATTCATTACCCTATTTCTCGCAGTGCAGGCATTTTATTCATTAAGTGTCAAAATGAAGGGCTTGACCTCCAAAAAAAAAAAGATAATCAGGAAATACCGACACAGTTTTACAAGTCTGCGCTTCCCTTCTGGAACATTTTCATGCTGTGTGATAACATGCTTTAAACAACTTTTCCAAGGACATCAGTAGGTACACATGACAGGGTTGCAGGCAGAGGTTGGAGGGACGTCGAGCAGGGGAGGCTGTGGAGTTGCTCACACGAGGTTTTTCTAAAGATGAGACGGCACCAGTTCCAACTACAGCTCAATCACACTGCCATGTTCTCATTCTAAACAAAAATGCCATTTGTGTAATAGATTTTTATACCAGTTTTATTCAAAAGCTAACAGGATGCTTCCAAAAGAGCTCTTTAAGTAGTAGTACTGGGAAGTCTAGGATAAGAAACATTTACTAAATTAAAAGAGGACTAGGTCTTAATAAGAATTCACTTTGCCTTCAGGCTGATCCTACTGAAGTTATGAAACCTGACCTGGAGTACATAACAAGGCCTGTGTACTACGATCCTCATGCTCATGTTGGCTCATTATTTCAGTGAGGTCTGTGCACCTTGTCTGAGACCAAATTCATTACTTAGAAAAGGCAAATAAAAAATATGAAAAAGAATCAAGGAAGCTGAGACTGTGAGGAGATTAAAGGAGAACAAACACACCTACTTCTACCTGGTTAGAGCCTTCTCTGTATCTAAGATGTCAGCTTCACACAGATGGAATTTTGGGAAGAATCTCCCCAGGCTTCCTCAACAACTCTGCTTTATTTGTAACCTAGATGGTAGCCACTACAGTAGCAAAGATCACAGTCACATAGAACAAAACAGTTCACCTGTTTATAAAGTGCACCTTCCAGCTAAACACATGGCTGCTGACCCTACCAAGTTGAGTACTACTGAGCAAGTTGTTCTAATGAAACCCATTCTGTCTGTTTTCTGACTAAGAGCAAACAATAGATGCCAAATACTCAAAGAAGGGGTGTACCTAGGCACAGCCAACCTTGCAATGGAGGGGTCCAAGAAGAGTGTTATGACCTTCAGCTCAATACCCACCTGAGGGTCTACAAGGGTTGAAGCTGAAGAGGCCAAGAAAGAAACTTTCTTGGGGGAAAGTTGCTGTAGTATGTGGCATTTTTCCTCCCCTATCTGTAGTGGGTAAGGGGATGACAGATATTTCTTTCTCACCTCTAGCCTAAGTAAAAGAGCTTCTAATCACACAAACCACCACCACCACCACCACCACCACCCTCAAAGGACTTTATATTTGTTCTGGGGGCTTGGGGATAACTAACTGAAGCCTGAAAAAGCCCACAGGGGAAAGGCAACTGAATGGCCTGAGATATAGCACAGAAGGGTATACTGGATGTGAACTGCACTCCCACCTACAGAGAGACAAAATATACTACTGCATGCAGAAGCTGAGTTGGAGCACGCATAGGGAAGGAAGGGCAGGTCCTGGGGAAGATTGAAAGGGAGGCACTACCTTCATCAAGGGAGCTACAGCTTGACATTCACATGGGGAAAATCTTTCTGGAACCATGAAAACATCCCACAAGAAAAAGAACCCTCCAATCTCCAATGCCAGCTCACAGGAATAGCCAAGTAAGATTGTTCCAGCCCCTTACCACTCTTTTATCACACTAGCTCCGGCTCCTGGAGGAGCCAGGGCCCCAGCTAAAAAATAAAAGAAGGAGAAATACAAGGCAGTGGAAGAGAGAAGGGGCAACCATGTCCCTCCACCCCTCCCAGGATTACAGCCCAAAGAAGGCCCAAGGTGGAGGAAGGAAAAACTTGAAGTTTAGAGCTTTGACTATGCCATATGATTTGGCATTTTAATTATACTTTTTTTTTTTTTTGAGATGGAGTCTCACTCTGTCACCCAGGATGGAGTGCAGTGGCGTGATCTTGGCTCACTGCAACCTCTGTCTCCCAGGTTCAAGTGATTCTCATGCCTTAGCCTCCCAAGTAGCTGGGATTACAGGCGTGTACCATCCCCCCCGGCTGATTTTTGTATTAAAATGACACATTTTTGTCACTAAGAGTGACTGGAGAACTTTTTTATTATATAACAATGTCTAGAAACACCATGGAAGCTATGAGATTTCATCCAGGGGCAGGGGAGGAAGTAGCCCACAAAAAAGGTCTAGAGAGACAATGAGAAGAAAAATAGAGTTGCTTTATGATCATGAATTGTTCAGTCTTATTCCTTGGATGTATCAGTTGCATTTTTTATTATAGCAAAATATAACAAAATTTTACCACTGTAACCATTTCTAGGTGTACAGTTCAGTTTAAGTATGTTCACACTGTTGTACGACCAGCACCACCATCCATCTGTAGAACTTCTCCATCTTCCCAAACTGAAACTCCATACTCATTAAACAATATGTAATGATTGCATTTTAATGAGCAAATAGAAGAATTCAGCACAAGTCCCGGCTCCTGCCTTTGGCACTTACTCCATGCTGCTGCTGCTGTTTTACTTTTACTTATTCAATTTCTGATGCTCTTATTTTCTTTGTGTAGATCTGACTTTCTGACTATATCATATTCCTTCTGCCTAAAAAATTGCCTCCAACATTACTTGTAGAGTATGTCCACTAGCAATTAATTCCCTCAGTTTTTGTTTGAGAAAGTATTTCTCCTTAACGTCTGAAGCATATTTTTGCTGTGCATAGAATTCTGGGTTGAGAGTTTTTTTTTTTTTTCCTCTTTCAGCATGTTAAAGATGTCACCCCACTGTTTTCTTGCTTGTTAGTTTCTGACAAGAAGTCCGCTGTACTACTTATCCTGGTTCCTTCTCTCTCTCTCTCTCTCTCTGTGTGTGTGTGTGTACATGGATATTTACCTTGCAAGGTATCCTCTTGAGTTTGAGCTTCTGGGGTATGTGGTTTGGTGTCTGTCACTAATTTTGGAAAATTCTTGGCCCTTATTTCTTCTGCCCTGCTGTCTTTATTTTCCCCTCTGTGATTCCAGTTACATGAATGTTACCATTTGATATTATCCAATAGGTCTTGGATGATCTGTTCTTTTTTTTTTTTTTTAAATCTCATTGCATTTCAGTTTGGGTAACTTTGGTTGACTTATCTTCATGCTCACTGATTGTTCAATGATGTCCAGTCTATTGATGAACTCATTAAATGCATTCTTTATCTCTGTTTTCCATTTTAAAAATTTTTTATTTGGCTCTCTCTTGTAGTTTCCATCTCTTTGGCGACATGGCCTATATAATCTTGCATGCTGTTTACCTTCTCCATAAGAGCCATTAACATATTGATTGTAGCCATTTAAATTCTTTGTCTGAGAGTTCTAACATCTGTGTCAAATCTAATTCTACTTCTGATGACTGCTTTATCCCTTCAGACTGTTATTTCTTGCTGTTTTGTAAGTCTTGTAATTTTTTGTTGAAAGCCAAACATGTCATCTAGGACAGTGGATTCCAGGTAAGCACATTGCATGCTTGGAGATGAGGATGCCTTCCTCCTCTGTTAGTTCTTCAGTGTGGAGGTTTCTGTTAATGTGGTCAGGAGTCTAGTTGTTTGTGAAGACTGCTATCTGCTTGGCTATGAGTGTCCCTCCTTGGCTTTGGGTCTCCCTTTGCATGGTTCTCCAAGTTGTATTCCACTGTTATTCTTCTCAAAGCTTGTTAGTGTGGTGGTTGGAGAGTGGAGGAGAGAAGATGGTATCTGATGTTCCGATTAAGCCTCAGCCTCAGGTAGGCACTCTGAACAAGAGTCTTGGTGGTGTGTCCTTCACAAGTGTTCCTGAGCTTTCTCCAGATATACCGTAATGTTAGGTAGCACACATTCCTGCCCCTTCCCCATGGGTAGAGTTTTTTGTGTTCTTCTTTTCTCCTCCTCTGGGTACAGTGAGTTTCCACCAGGAACCTCAGGATACATTTTGGTTGCCCTTCCTCCTGTAGATTAGGGCATTTGTTTCTTAGGAATGACAGGGAATATGATTCTGAGTTGAATATTGCTAGTGGTTGCCATTCTTCTTCCCCTTCTCTAGAGGGATCCACCAGTGCCCTCAGGCTGCAGTTCTGTATCCTTCCTGAAGATTAATGTTCTAGTCAGTAGGAGAGATGAAGGACATGGGTTCAGCTAGAGGTTCTGCAGTGGCTGCTGTTCAACTTCCTCGGTCAAGACCACAGGAAAGGCTTCTCGAGATTCTCCCAGGTCTTCCCTTGGGGCACCTGGCAGAGGAGACGCCTACAACAAAGTACAAACCTCCCCGGGTCTGCCACCCTCTCCTGCGAGCCCATGTTCAGCCTTTAGCAATTTGTTTAAAGTTTCTAGCCAGATCTTCTTACTGGCTCATACGGTCTTGTGTGGTGTTCCCCATGTAAGCAAATGTCCAAGTCCTGCTTCTTCCTGACACGTCTATCTCTCTTCATATTTCAGACTGTTGTTTTCCATGCTATTTCAGATCTCCCAAAGGAGTTTTCTGTTTCTTTGGCTTTTTTTCCTGTTCTAAGAGGGGGATTACTGCTCCTTCCAGATTACTGCCTTTAGCTCTGAGTTGAAATATTGCTGAGTTTTTATTTTGTTTTGTTTTTAGAGATGGAGTCTTACTATGTTGCTCAGGCTGGCTTTGAACTCCTAGGTTCAAGCAATCTTTCCACCTAAGCCTCCCGAGTAGCTGGGACTACAGGTGCATGCCACGGTGCCCAGCCTGTTGCTGTTTTATCAGCACTTTACCAAGTTGTGTGCAATCTTTAATCTCTGAGCTAAACAACTAGCCTGGGTCAAGCACATGTTGCAGCTTCCATTGTCGGAGAAGAAAATGAGTTAGAAAACTTATTACTGTATTTACTACATTGAATATGCATGACCAATCCTTCATTTTCAAGTAATCACAGTGTCATTATAAACTCTAAATTCACTCAGAAGTGACTTCTTATCAGAAGTAAAAAAACAAAGTTTATAATTTTAGATGCCTTTGCCTTCTTATGAAGACATATGCAGAATTCCATCTCTGACTCGTTTCTGGACCCTGGAAATAACTGGCTTTTTATAGCAATAACTCAAGGGACTGAATATAATTTAAAAGTAATATACCCAATACAGGTTGAGCATACCAAATTCCAAATTTCAAAATCCAAAATCTGAAATACTCCAAAATCTGAAAGTTTTTGAGCACCAACATGATGCTCAAAGGAAATGTTTATTGTAGCATTTAGGATTTTAGATTTGGGATGTTCAACTGGTATAATGCAAATATTCCAAAATCCAAAATCTAAAACACTTACACTCCCAAGCATTTCAGATAAGAGATACTCAAATCATTAAAGTACTTATTGAGACTATTAGGTGGGTGCTACAAAATCATTTCCCGACAGAAATGTAGGGAATCTCATTCTAATCAAATTAAAACTGTACATCAATGAAAAATACAACGTTGAAACCGACAATCCTTCATCCATGGTAAATGAATGTCAATCAATTTCCCCTCCTGTGTCTTTGTTTAAACGTCTATGTAAAGTCTGGAGATTTTCTGAGCCTATCTCTTTGGCAACTCCCACTATTTTAATTCACAGTCCTTTCAAGTCCAAGCAAATTTCTGAGTTTCACATTGCTCTCCTAGTTGGATAAATCTTTATATAGAAAGCACTTACATTTCAGTAGGAGGGTTTAGTCATTTGTCAATAAATGAGATAGCTGGTTCAAGCAATCTACCAAGTTTATTTCTATGTGAAAATACTGCTAGAAGTTAGCAGGTATACATGATCTACATGATTTTAAATTCTTTGTGAATTCTCAAAATAAATCTTTAGAAATATAGTATACTAGAACATGTATTATAAAAATTACTTTGCCTGGGTAATCTAATTCATCATTGGGCATACTTAGTATAGCCATATATACATACTTATAAACACAACTTACAGGTATAAGTTGACATAAATGAACATAAACTGACAATCAACTAAGAAGGCAAAGACATTTAAATAAGCACATTGTATTTAAAGAGATAAAAAGCTATCAACTACCTATCAAATGAATGTTCCACCAGGGGGTGTAGTATGCATTTATTATGTCTGCAGCCAATTTACCTGGCGTATGCACCTAAAAACAGTTGAACAAAAAGTATATTTTTGTAGAATGATTTATGACGTCCCACTGGCTTTCATTTTTATTCCAAGGAAGCTTTGTCTGTATATTTTATTGCTTTTCAATTAAATCCAAAGTTATTTCCAACACTTTTGGTTTTCAAATTAAAGCTAAGTTGTAAAGAAAACTGTAAACAAATATCTAGATTCTTCAGGGAAGTCTGCTATTAATGCTAGATTAATTCTTTCCTATAGCCAAGAATCTTTTAGCAAAGCAATTGTTTCTTAGCGTTAAATACAATCTCACAAATATTCTACAAATGGATTTTATAGGTTGAGATTTCCTTTAAGTAAAGCTCGTCGCTAATGAATCTGGAAATATTCAGTTATTTTAACAAGAATAATAGCAGCTAACAGTCATTAGTCCCAAAATAAAGTGTTTCCTTCAATCTCAGATTTACAAAATTGGTTTACCTCCACAACCACATTTGATGAATGAAAACATTTTATTAGATATGTTGATTCACTAAGATGTGCGTATTCACAAATTTATCCAGCAATAGATGTAACAAGCATATGAAATAATAAATGAGAACAGTAGCTTTTTTCCTTGCAAAATGTACACTCTACTGACATCTATATTGGGTCAGCATCACCCAGCCACTAAGCACCAAAGCTGTTGTTGAACGCAGGAGTGGCTGATGCTAAGGCTCAAGCTCTGGTGAAAACCCACACTGTGTGGTCAGGGGAGCCGGAGCTTCTGCCACTGGGAAACTCTTGGTTTCTCCTGACTCTCCATCTTTACCTTCCCCCTCCTGGGGAAGAGGACAGCCTTGCCTGTTGTTGCTCTTACTGGGGGTAATGTGGGAAGGATGCCTCCACCAGGAGGTGCCAGTCATCATAGAGCTCCATGGAAGGCAGCACAGCACAGGCGGATGCAAAAAGAATCCAACATTTCGAGATGCATTATTCAGTAACTAGGTTACACATGAATACACACTCAAGATCAATTTGTAAGGAACTATCAAAGGCACAGTCATGCATCGCTTGACAACAGGGATTCATTCTGAGAAATGCGTTGTTGGGTGAATTCGTCGTTGTGCAAGCATCATAGAGTGCACTTACACAAACCTGGGTGGCACAGCCTGCTACACACCTAGCCTATATGGTATGGCCTATTGCTCATAGCCTACAAAACTGTGCAGCATGTTACTGTACTCAATACTGTAGGCAACTGTAACACCCCTGCAACACACGGGTAAGTATGTTGTGTATCTGAACATACCGAAACATAGAAAAGGTGCAGTAAAAATACAGCATAAAAGGTTGAAAATGGTCCATCTGTATAGGGCTTTTTCCATGAATGGAGTTTGAAAAACTGGAAGGTGCTCTGGGTGAGTCAGTGAGTGAGTGCTGAGTGAAATGTGAAGGCCTAGGACATTACCGTACACTACTGTAGACTTTATAAACACTATGCACTTAAGCTACACTAAATTAATAAAAATATTTTTCTTTCTTCAATAATAAGTTAACCTTAGCTTGCTGCACCATTTTTACTTTATGAACTTTTAAAGTTTCTTAACTTTTTGACTCTTTTGTAATAACACTTAAAACACAAACACATTGTACAACACATTGTACAAAAAAGTCTATATCCTCTTCTGTGACCTTTTTCCTATTTTTAAGGTTTTTAAATTTTTTTCTTACTTTTAAAACTTTTTTGTCAAAATTAAGTCACAAACATACATATTAGCCTAGGCCCACACAGGGCCAGGATCATCAATATCACTGTCTTCTCCTCCACATCTTTTTTTTTTTTTTTTTTTTTGGATAGAGTCTCACTCCGTCCCCCAGACTGGAGTCCAGTGGCGCAATCTTGGCTCACTGCAACCTCTGCCTCCCAGGTTCAAGCAATTCTCCTGCCTCAGCCTCCTGAGTAGCTGGGATTACAGGTGCACGCCACCATGCCTGTCTGATTTTTGTATTTTTAGTACAGACGGCGTTTCCTCATGTTGGCCAGGCTGGTCTCCAGCTCCTGATGTCAAGTGATCTGCCCGTCTTGGCCTCCCAAAGTGCTGCAATCACAGGCTTGAGCCACTACATCTGGCCTCCCCTACATCTTTTCCCACTGGAAGGTCTTCAAGGGCAATTATATGCATGAAGTTGTCATCTCCTAGGACAACAATGCCATCTTCTGGAACACCTCTGGAAGGATCTGCCTGAGGCTGTTTTACAGGTAACTTTTTAATATATAAGCAGAAGGAATATGCTCTAAAATAACAATAAAAATTATAGTATAGTCCAGGGGTATCCAATGTTTTGGCTTCCCTGGGTATACTGGAAGAAGAACAAAATTGTCTTGGGTCACATATAAAATACACTAACACTAACAATAGCTGATGAGCTAAAAAAAAGAAAAAAAGAAAAAAAGAAAATAAAAAGGTCCGTGCATAAAACTCATGTTTTAAAAAAGTTTACGAATTTTTGTTGGGCCGCATTCAAAGCCGTCCTGGGCTGCATGCAGCCCGCAGATTGGACCAGCTTGGTATAGTCAATACATAAACCAGTGACACAATCGCTCCTTGTCATTCTCAACTGTTCTGTATTGGACATACCTGTATGTGCTGGGCTTTTATCCGACTGGAAGCACAGTAGGTTTGCCGACACTAACATCACCACAGGCAGTGAGTAATGCCTTGTGCTATGACCTCGTGATGACCAAAACATTGTTATGCGGCACATGACTATTTCTAAGCTCACTAGGGCCCCTCGTGTCACACAACAGGCATTTGAGAGCCTCAGTCTAACTTCTCACAAGCAATCTGCAGCTTCTCACCAATGAAGAAACAAAGGCAGCCAGGGCACAACCTTTCATTTCCCCAAGGCTGTGAGAAAGAGGTGGTATAAACACAAGTCTTGTGTCCCCAAAAGAAGAATTTATTCCTTCTTACATTTTGGAAATATTGATATTTTAAAAAAATTACTCTGTGTGATTTTAGGAATGTGAGCTGGGCTCTGGGAGGCCTGAGTTTAAACTCCGTCTCTTACTCGCTGTGTTAACCTCTCTGCATCTCAGTTTCCTTCTCTGTAAGACAAGATGACGTCACAAGACGCTTCATATCCCTGCGCCTCAAAGAAAGGCAGTCATCACGCAATACTGACTTAATGGGCCCTTCATCATTTTTTGGGGATAAGAGGTCCAAGACACATCTTTTGTGGGAAGATGAGTTTTCCCAGTGATGCTAAGACACTGGGGGATGGGGGTGGAGGTCAGGTTGGGGGTGGGTTTGGGGTAGGGAGGTGGAGGCACACATTAAAAAAAATTGCCAAACCAAATTTATTGCTGATCTCATTTTCTCAGCATTTCTTCTACATTCATCAAATATTTTAGCCACTGCCTTTTCATTTCATTTTCCTCCAGTTGCACGTGCTTTGCTTTTGATGTGGCACACACTTTGAAAATACATTATTAAACAGATGAGCCTGTCACCCCTGGAGCTGGCACTCTGTCCCCTGCTTATTCTTAACAAATCTCTCTTTGTGTTCTTTTGTGCTGAAGTGATTAATCATTTCCACTATCCAAGGGCTGCTGACAATCTTTCTAGATGGCTCCGCTGCCATGACCCCTCCCCGCATCCACACAGTTTGAAACATGCTAGGAATCTGCTGCTGTTCCCGGGGCTTTATTCCCATCACAGTGGGCTCCTCATCCATACGGTAACTAGCCAACCTCCAAAAGAGCTCCGCTTTTATTTCTTGCCTTTTTCCAGAGTTCGGGGTGGGGGTGTGCGTGAAGGGGCTCCTGGCGACTTCAGCAGGAAAACAAGGAAACTGTAAGTTAAAAAGTCAGAATGATAAATGCTTATTTTGTAGACCAGACAGGAGGTTTTTATCTCACTGTCTGGACAGAACCTGCTGCACCTCATTTTTCTGGGCAGTATCCTCCTCTTCACTGCACTGTGGCTGGGTTTTCTTCTCCCCTTCATGCTTTCCCTCTGGTTATCTGTAACAAAGTTTTCAAATGGCTCCATATTGAAAGCCCAGGCTTTGACTCACCAGGCTCTCAATCTGTAATCTGGTTTCCAGAGCTGCAGCCTAGGTAGGTTTTGGGAAGTTGATCTTTTTTTAATAAGTGTTTACAAACATTTTTAAACTAACTTTAAAGGTACTATTTTAAAAGCCTATCCTTCCCCAACCCCCCGCCCGCCCCAAGCATGCACTGTTAAACTGAATTCAAAAACATGTTCAAAGAACTGACCAAAAATACCATTAGGTCACAAGTTACTGCCAGAGAAGGGAAAGCTACAATGATTCAGAAAGTATTAATAAATGTGCAGAAATAAGTATTCTGATAATGTTAAGGTAATTAGCATAGAATCCCAGGGTGATTTTTAAAAATAATATGTACTTTACATGTAGAAATAAATCTATATTTGAGACTATTGAAAAGATATTTACAAGCACTTGAGGAATAGTTTTAAATTAATACATTATAAGTGTAAAATAAGCATGCTGATCATATGATTTTAACTAGGTTTCAGAAATGTAATTACTGTTCATAGAAAGATACTTAAAAAAATGAGTAGTCATATGTTCTTTGCAGTGCTATTCACAGTAGCAAAGACATGGAATCAGTCTCCATGCCCTTCAACAGTGGACTGGAGAAAGAAAACGTGGCACGTGTACACCATGGAATACTACGCAGCCACACAAAAGAATGAAATTCTGTCCCTTGCGGCAACGTGGATGGAGCTGGAGGCCATTATCCTTAGTGAATTAATGCAGGAACAGAAAATAAAATACCAGGTTCTCACTCATAAGTAGGTGCTAGACACTGACTACACAGAGACATCAGGATGGGAGCGATAGACACCGGGGACTACCAAACGGCAGGGGCTGAAAAACCACCGATCGGATATACCCAGGCTCACTACCTAGATGAGGGGATCACTTGTACCCCAAACCTCAGCATCATGCAATATACCCATGTAACAAACATGCCATGTACCCCCCAATCTAAAATAAGATTAAAATTATTAAAAAAGAATATAAAATCCTTTTTTTTTTTTGAGATGGAGTTTCACTCTTGTTGCCCAGGCTGGAGTGCAGTGGTGCGATCTCGGCTCGCCGCAACCTCCACATCCAGGGTTCAAGTGATTCTCCTGCCTCAGCCTCCCCAGTAGCTGGGATTACAGGCATGCACCACCATGCCCAGCTAATTTTGTGTGTTTAGTAGAGACAGGGTTTCTCCATGTTGGTCAGGCTGGTCTTAAACTCCCAACCTCAGGTGATCCACCTGCCTTGGCCTCCCAAAGTGCTGGGATTACAGGTGTGAGCCACAGCACCCAGCCCAAAATCCTTAATATTTTTAATTCCACAGAACCACAGATCTCTAATTGTTTGAAGTCACAATAAAAAAGGCACTAAAATAAAAACTTACTAACCAAAAACTGCAATAATAAAGAATGAACTGCCCATAGGATATAACTTTTATAACTTTCTAAGGAATCCAGGGGAGAGAGAAATACACACACTTGCATACATAGGTGTACCTTATTAGTGTGTGTATGGGAGTTATGATAAATAAAATATATCAGCTAGTGCTAGCATATGATAATTCCTTTCAAACCTAGTATCTGGAGACACATGAAGAGGTCCACCTACCCTGAGCTGTCATCAGAAACTGAAGCTGCTTAGGAACGTAGTGCTGGCAGAGGGAGGGTCTCTAGAGTGTGGAGGTGCTGCACACGGCACTTTTCTAGAATTTCTGAGGTACAAGTGGGCCCAGGAATGGAGTTCTGGGCCAATGAAATAATGGCTCATGTTCAAAAAACAGTTAATTTAGGAGTCTAAACAACCCCAGCGGTGGGTTAGCGATTGTGAAATTATGGGCTGTGTGGACTGCTTCCAAAATCAGAACAAAACAACATGCAAATAAATATGGGAGCATGCTGGAAGAGTTCTGGAAATAGGTCTGAGTTCCAACCCTGCATTTTCCCAATACTTACATTCCACTGAATCCAATGAGCATAAAAACAAAGAATGGCACATCCACACATCAGATTTATCAGAACGTATAAAACGATGGATAAATGCAATGGCAAAGGAGAAATTAGGTTTCTGAGGTTTTTTAGGTTATAATGAACTAAATGATTACAAGACTATAAAAAGGTAATTATGTCTTATTTAAAATATATGATTATTATCTAGATAGATGTTCTAATTTTTCAAGGCTTATATTGCTTTCATCCTCAAATGATCATTTTCTACCTTAGAAATTATTTTCTAAGATCTGTGTGTGTACAATAGTAATTTGCAGCAAATCAGTGTAATTTCACAACCCTTAATTTGAAAAAATAACAGAGGACACTGTATGTGATTTTCATGATAATAAATACAAATTTAAAATGTATGTTTCGAGTTGATCACTTTGGATAGATGTGTTTTAATTGTTCCAAGAACTGCTTTACACAGAGCATATTAGCAGTGGAAACAGTTTTGACTTCCAGCCCTTGATTCTACCAGCAGCAACATGGTAATTAACCAAATTATCCCTGCAAATGTATTAGCTTGATTTCTTCAACTTGTAAAAATTCATTACCTATCAAAATGAAAGGCTTAGTCTCATGAAAGATACTCAGGATAAAAGTGGCAGACACAAAAAGTCTGAGTTTTCTGACACACACTTTAGCAGGAGCTGCTGCACTCCCTCCTGTTTCTAGCCCTCAGGGGTTAGCATGTGAATTTTCTTCTCTCTTGCATTTGTGCCAATTGTACAATGTGTTCTAATGCTTCCA
This sequence comes from Homo sapiens, assembly GCF_000001405.40. NCBI lineage: Eukaryota > Metazoa > Chordata > Mammalia > Primates > Hominidae > Homo > Homo sapiens. The sequence continues at coordinate 99,825,861 of NC_000002.12, forward strand.
GGTAGCACAACAGTCTTGGCAGTCCTTGGAGAGCTCATGTTTTAGGGGATGGTACCTTGAACCATTTGCTTCAGGACTAGAAGGACAAAAGGGTGAAGAGCAAGAGGTCAAAATCATTCATTCATTATTCTTCATCCATTTATTCACTTAAAAAATTTTTTTTTAATTTTTTGAGATGGAGTCTCACTCTCTTACCCAGGCTGCAGTGCAGTGGTGTGATTTCGGCTTACTACAACCTCTGCCTCCCAGGTTCAGGTGACTCTCATGCCTCAGCCTCCTGAGTAGCTGGGATTACAGTCCCCCGCCACCATGCCCAGCTAATTTTTGTATTTTTAGTAGTGACGGGGTTTCACCATGTTGGCCAGGCTGGTCTCGACCTCCTGACCACAGGTGATCCACCTGCCTCGGCCTCCCAAATGCTGGGATTACAGGCGTGAGCCACCCCATCTGGCCATTTATTCACTTTTTATTAAACATCAACTAAGTGCCGGTCATCGTGCTCACCCCTGGAGGTAGATAACAACAGCCCAGGAGAAAATAAGAAAGACCATTACATATTAAGTATTGTAATAAGAATAAAGTGTAACTGGCAGACATGGAAGAGGAACCTCTAACTCAGACTTTGGGAATCACAAAGGCTTCCTGGAGGGAGTGACATCTCTAGTGAGGCTTGGAAGATATGCAGGAGTCGGTCAGCTAAATGTGTGGTCAGGGGTAGGCAGAGCATGTGCCGGGGTGGGGAAGAGCATGAGTTGCGCCCAGAGGTGATGGTGAGAGCAGTGGTTACGCCTGCAGAAGTGCAGCATGGAGTGTGAGGGGCAACGTGGTGAAAGATGAGTCTGGAAGCATACGCACGGCCACAGCATGTGCGACTCTGCAAACCACGTCTGGGGGTCTCTGGCCTGACTCTATCCTGAACTCAGGGGAGAGCCACGAACAGGTTTCCAGCAAACCTATGCTTTGGAAAGTGGATTCTGCCTCCATTGTGGAGACTAGTGGGAGGCAGAGGGCTGGCAAGCAGGTCTCTGGAGTCATGTAGGAAAAGGATGGTGGATGAACAAGGAGATAGCTGGAGGTAAAGAGAAGTGGACCCACCGGAGGGAGACAGAGCTGACAGGCTTGGTGAGGAACTGAACATGGTGAGTGTGAGGGAGAAGAAGAACCCAACAGCATGGACAGCCGGGGAATGAAGATAATCCAAGCTGCAGGAAAAGCCGGCAGAGGTGTGAGATGAGTTAAGGTGCAGGTGTCCATGACACATCTAAGTGGAGCAATCTGGTGGCCGCTGGGCAGGTGACAGAAGTTCAGGAAACAGAGCTGTGTTTGAGACACACTTGAGACCCATCCCCACACAGATGTTACCAGACACCATGGAAGTACAGCATCTAAGTAGAGAAGAGTCAGGATGGGACCCTGAGGAACACCAACATCAAGGGGGACTTACAGGAAGACAGGTCCACGTAGGAGACCCAGGAGAAAGGACCACAAAGTGGGTGAACCCAGGAGGGTGTGACAGAGACACCAAGGGCATGAGCATTTTCACGTGGATCCTGCAGTCAGCAACATCAAATGCCTGCCAGAGATCACATGGGGAAATGCTCTCTGTACTTCTGATAAGCAAGCCTGGGGTGGTAACCTCAGTAAAAGCCATTTCAGGAAGGAAGGTGGTGGGAGAGATGGCAGTTGGTTGAAGGGGAAATGAAAGTGAAGACACAGAGAGACTTTGGTCTGGAGAGTCTAGTTAGGAAGGAAGAAAGAGCTGCAAGCAATGTAGCACTGAAGATATATATATATATATGTATATATATACACACACATACATATATACACATATATATATGTACACACACATACGATGGAAAGAATCTGTATGTGTTTACTGAGAATGAGATGCCAGCAGAGAGGCAGAGGTTAGAAGAGGGCAGAGAGAGGAGGTGCTCACTCCTGTGCTGGCTTCAGTAGTGCCTGTTTCACTCACCCTTGTACCCCCAGCGCCGAGAACAGAGCCTGGAACAGTGACTGTCTGATGCCACTGGCCCAGGGGTGCTCATTGGATGGCATCCATCTCTCTGGGGACAGAGAAGGTGAAGCGTCTGCGGAGGGTGACGAGGACAGTGACAAGGAGGTGCTGGTGTCACAGGTGTGCAGCAAGCAGGGATGGTCTAAGCCAGGCATTCCCAATGGGCACCTTACAAAATTGGTTCTTGGGGATGAGAAAACCTTACTCTGTGTATAAAGCACAGACTCACATACCATGTACAAACAGACATGCGGTATCTCTGTGGTATTAGAATTTCATTTGGGAACAATTGGGAGAAAAGTGTCTTAAAGGTTCCTGAGGGGGTTGATAAAGTCAATGGTAAAATGACTGAAGGATACTCTTCAAGTCAGTAATGCTGGTGAACATTGCATTGATGGTGAGCTCCAGCGGGGAATAAGTTACCCTTCAAGGAAGAGAGCATAGTTTGGTTACTGTGATCCTGCCCTGGCAGTGAGATCCAGCATAAAGCAGACGTCGCAACCGGCTGGCTGCCTGGAGGGGTCCGCGATCCAGACCTCCAGCACTGGCTGCTGGAGAGAAGCAGCCTGGACTCCAACCTGTCAGTCCTGGAGCAAGTCAGGAGCAGTGCAGACCAGAAAGTGGACAAGCAAGGCAGCAAGCACGAACGTGTAGCGAGCTAGCAGAGACCGCCACGAGACGGACCCACTTCCAAAGGGGGCCATGACTCAGTATAACGATCCCAGCCACAGGCTGAAACCAGCAAGGCTTTTGGGGAGAAACACTGTAGTGCCCTTAGGGAATTTGATGGAGGCAGTAATGGGACTGAAAGGTCTTTGGTGGCTTACACTCGAGGACCTGTTTGCAAGAACCAGCTGCCTGATGGAATTCCTAGGTCAGAGTGAAAAGTTAAAAATGTTGGGTAGAGCTGAAGTTCACAGAGCCCTTCATGCTAGGGATTTTATGGCACAAGAATTACACACACACATCACACACGTACACACATTCACATTCCAAAAATACTTTTAGTAGAATCTTATTTGCCTTCATATTTTAAGTACTAATATCACTTCAGCAGATATTTTGGTGTCTCTACACTAAGTCCTCACTTAATGTCATCAATAGGGTCTTTGAAACTGAGGCTTCTAAGTGAAATGCTATATAATAAAACCAGTTTTACCATAGGCTAATTTTGATATAAACAAGAGTTAAGTTCCTACAGCACATTTCTGATCACAAAAACATCACCGAACTTCTCCATAAGGTCCAAACACTTTTAATATTAAACACTGAAAAAATGTGAGCTATGCATACATTAAGAAAGATTAATAAAACCAGAAAAATACCATTCAGGACATAGGCATGGGCAAAGACTTCATGACTAAAACACCAAAAGCAATTGTAACAAAAGCCAAAATTGACAAATGGGATCTAATTAAACTAAAAAGCTTCTGCACAGCAAAAGAAACTATCATCAGAGTGAACAGGCAACCTACAAAATGGGAGAAAATTTTTGCAAGCTACCCATCTGACAAAGGTCTAACATCCAGAATCTACAAGGAACTGAAACGTATTTACAAGAAAAAAACAACCCCATCAAAAAGTGGGCGAAGGATATGAACAGACACTTCTCAAAAGAAGACATTTATGCAGCCAACAAACATATGAAAAAAAGCTCATCATCACTGGTCATTAGAGAAATGCAAATCAAAACTACAATGTGATATCATCTTAGGCCAGTTAGAATGGAGATCATTAAAAAGTCAGGCAACAGACGCTGGCAAGGCTGTGGAGAAAGAGGAATGCTTTTACACTGTTGCTGGGAGTATAAATTATTTCAACCATTGTGGAAGACATTGTGGCGATTCCTCAAGGATCTAGAACCAGAAATACCATTTGACCCAGCAATCCCATTACAGGGTATATACTCAAAGGATTATAAATCACTCTACTATAAGGACACATGCACAAGTATGTTTACTGCAGCACTATTTACAATAGCAAAGACTTGGAACCAACCCAAATGCTCATCAATGATAGACTGGATAAAGAAAATGTGGCATATATACACCATGGAATACTATGCAGCCATAAAAAGGATGAGTTCATGTCCTTTGCAGGGACATAGATGAAGCCACCATTCTCAGCAAACTAACACAAGAACAGAAAACCAAACACTGCATGTTCTCACTTATAAGTGGGAGTTGAACAATGAGAACACATGGACACAAGGAGGGGAACATCACACACCAGGGCCTATCAGAGGGTGGAGGGCAAGGGAGGGAGAGCATTAGGACAAATACCTAGTGCATGCAGGGCTCAAAACCTAGATGACCAGTTGATTGGTGCAGCAAACCAACATGGTACATGCATACCTATGTAACAAACCTGCACATTCTGCACATGTATCCCAGAGCTTAAAGTAAAAAAAAAATAAAAATAAAAATAAAAAAACAAGAAACCAAGTAAGATAATTACTTACACCATTCTAGGTGAATCAGTGAGTGACTGCAGTTGCAGTGGTGGTGGTTTCCATCAAAGAATAAATGTCTGCAAAGCAAAAATTGTAAGGAGCACCTCCTCCTGCCACGAAGTTTAAAGATAATCACGGGCCAGGCCCGGTGGCTCATGCCTGTAATCCCAGCACTTTGGGAGGCCGAGACAGGTGGATCATGTGAGGTCAGGAGTTCAAGAACAGCCTGGCCAACATGGTGAAAACCCTTCTGTACTAAAAATACAAAAATTAGCTGGGTGTGGTGGCGGGTGACTGTAACCCAGCTACTCGGGAGGCTGAGGCAGGAGAATTGCTTGAACCAAGGAGGCCGAGATTGTGCCACTGTACACCAGCCTGGGTGACAGAGTGAGACTTTGTCTCAAAAAAGACAAAAACAAAAACAAAAACAAAATAAAACAAAGACAATCACAACAGGACCTGCTCACCTAGTGCTTTCATACCATGCTGTTTATTGTTGTGCATCTGTATGACTATTGTAGACTTGAAGATTTGTATGTTAGAATCATTTCTATTCATTCATTCATTTTCAGGCCACTTATCCTAGTTCAGTGGGGTGGGTGGCTGGAGAAAGGCAGGCACCAGCCCTGGCCAGGATGCCAGACAGCCCCTGGCAAGGCACGCTCACACACACCCACACTCACTGACACTAGGACTGTGAAGACATGCCAGTGAACCTAAAGGGCACATCTTTGGGATGTGAGAGGAAACTGGAGTCCCAGAGAAAACCCGCACAGACTTGGGGACAATGTACAGGCTCCACACATGGTGGCCCCGGATGGGAATTGGGTTTTTTTCTCATCAACCTTATAACAAAACAAAGTTGAATGAAATGATGTTATTTGAGCATCTGCTGTATGCTTCTTAATTAGCATTCTAAAAATCCTTTTAAATGCCTTAAAATACAATAACTATAAAAGTAATCTTCAGTTCTCATCTCCAGTAAGTTTTCAAAGTCTGATGAATACGTATGGTGATATTAAGTATGGGAACAAGAAAGAAAAAATAAAATTGCATTGGTTCTCTTAAATAAAGTTAACAAATGACATAAACCAGGTTAGCTGGCTAGTACTGAACACTAGCATTTCACTGTCGGAGAAGAACACTCAAATGAAACCCAGATTGAAAATAAGTTAAGTGTTTGGGGAATTTACACATTTGAAGGTACTGATAGATACTATGATTTGACATGTATTAACCTTTTCAACTCTGTACAATTAAAAAACACTGCAATCGAAAACCTCATTCATGGATAAAGATAAGAATTTGCACTTATTGTTCTATGTGATTCACATTTAAGCCCTTATTTTTTGAAAATGCTCACTAAAATATAAAGAAGAAAAAACTATAAAGATGTTATGAAAATGTGAACGGACTATATGGATGACAATGTGTAGTCCAATGGCCCACACACATACGAGGCCAGTAAGGTTGTTATCTCTCAGCTCCAATCCCACCCTTCTACCCTCTTGTTTTGTGTTGCTGGGGCTGGACTCTCTGCAAACCACCTTTCAAGGACATACTGCTGTTGAAAGAAGCACACCTCTATTTGTTTTCTCCTCTGCATTCCTCCTGTAACTCACTAATCCCACCCGCTCAGTGCCTTCTGCATGTGGCAGCTGTTCAAAGGTACTGAGTACATCTACATTTGACGTACTTGCGTCAGTCCTCTAGTGTAGTGCTGAAGTTCTCCAAGTATCTCCAAGAAACTATGAAACCTTTGCATAAAATATTGACAAACGCCCCGTGAAAAGATATTGACTGCAGTATCAGAACCCGCTTTTTACTGTTAGGGCAGAAGTTATAATCTCACAGACTTTTAGATGCTTGGGCTGCTAACATGCCCTTCATCTTCTAGGCATATGGTTCTGCAAACAACTTTGTGATTTCTAATGACGTGCATCAAAATGAAACAGGTAAGTATCAAAGGGCGAAGCTGTTCATTCTCAACAGGAGCTTCTGGACTTCCAGTATTCCTTTACCCATCACCCCAAAGCCTCCGGGCTCAGAACAGATTCTGAATTAAGGTGGTCTCTTGTCCCACCTCTGCTAGAAAATGAACACCTCCAGAGTCACTGCCAAGTCCACAGATTGTAGTCACAGGGCCCTGCAACATAGTGGCAAGCTGTTGGCCACAGCTTGCAGGCACCAGGGTGCCCTTAGCAGGTAGAAGTGGAGCCCTTTAGGAAGGGCTTTTGGTTTCACCCCAAAGGATTAGCATAATAGCATTTATGAACAATTAATCTCACAGATATAAAATGAGATATAAAAGTGTGGTATTTCTGTCCCTAACCGTTCAGATGGCTAAATGCAAAACGAAAACACAGGACTACCAAGTCAACTAACTTATCTTGGCTAGACTTATTGTAGGTTTTTCTCAGTGAATTTCTCTAGCCCTCCATCGGGCTGACTTTTGTTTTGAGTTTATTTTGCTACAGCAAGTAATGGGATATATTAATGGCGCACCTCTACAGTTACACCTGGATTGATTTTGCCATTGGTGGGCTTCATTTCATCACTAATGATGAAATCTTTGCTCTTGGAAACAAATGAAATAACTTATAAAGGAAACAGTATGAGCTAGAAAAAAAAGCCTGCCTGGTCTGAAGCAGGGAAGATTTGACCTAGGTCCAGCTCTGCAAATGACCCAAATAGGTCACTGAAAACAAGTTATCTCTTTGTTCTCTACCTTCCAGTAGGCAGAGAATGGCAAGTATGTTTTCATTTGATTGACATTTGTGAGCACAAGGCTTCTCTTGTCCCACCATCCGGGGTCTGTACATGTGAGGGGCTATCATGATGTGCATTTCCCAAGTCAGTGCCCTCAACTCACAAATCTCCCAGGACCACAACTGGAAATCATCCCATCCAGGATGCTCCTGAGTTTCTGGAAAACCAAGGAAAAAATGAGTTCCCTTTATTTGCCTCAAGTTTGTTCCACTATAATGTCAGGAAACTGGCTGAGGTCTCCAAAATTTAAACAAGTACTACTTACCCCCTTCAGATAAACAGAAAATGCAACTCTATGTAAATATTCCTTAAGAATATTTTGCAGCACACTGGAATTAAATTAGTGCTAAAGATGATGAGAGCAAGAAAGTAATCTGCTCAGATGTTACACTGAAATTGTCTCTAAATTCATTCCTTAAGTCCAAACCAGAATCTCAAACACTGATCTCTTATTACAAAGGCACTCTATGTTATGAGTGTCTTCAACAAATGCCATGTAAAGCTGTCTTGCATAAAAACTGTACATCCTAGATTCCAGCCCAGCACCCCCACCCATTAAGTTATAAACCAATTTTATTTGCTGAACAAATGTTAATGCCATTCTACGTTAATGGATAATGCTATGAAAAGCACCTAAGTATTACAGCACTGGAACATTTAAGGATAAAATAGAGTGTAACTTGGAAAACTGCCTGTTACAAACATATGTCAGCCATGAAGCCTTCTAGCCCTGATCGCCCATCCTCACAGAACTCTGTTTTAATTTCTCCCTCAGTTAAGAGAATTTTGCAATAACACACAGATTTATTAGGTCCCAGGAATAAAACTCTCGGAGTAAGGATAAAAAATAATTATATGTTAGAACACAACGTAATATTCAAATGACTTGAAAACAGTCACCTCAGCAAAAATAAGGAGAGAGGAAGAAGTTAAAGATGAGGTTGATAACACTGGCTATAAAACCTCTGAATTTAAGTGCATAAATGCATGATCTGGCACTTCCGAATCATAAACAGGTAGAAACGGGAAACCTCCCATTCACAATGAATTGCCTGACTGGTTTCGTTAATGAGCCAGGGGGACGTCTTCATCTAGTAAGTCAGTACAATGTTAAGAGAGGTTGCTGTGCAAGGCGTCTTCATTAGAATCCCAGCTCTACCACTTGCTAGCTGTGTGACCTTGGGCAAGTTGTGTTTAACTTCTCTTCACTTCAGTTTCCTCATCTGTAAAATGGGAATGTTACCAATGCCTACCTCATGAAGCAGCTGTGAGGGTTAAATCACAGCTTAGAACTGTGCCTCACACATAATGCATCCTCAGTCAACGTCAGCTCTTCATCACTTGGTGGTTGTTATTGTATGAGGGACGTATTGCAATTGGAAAGGGAGCTGAAGGGAAGTTACAGCCTTTCCTCCCAAGAAGTCTCTAAATTCACTGACTGCATTTTCTGTTTTCTCGAGTTTGGCTTCTGCCCCCTCTACTCCACCAAAAGGGCACTTGCAAAGGTCACCAGCAACGTTTCTGTGGTCTAATCCATTGTGTGGTTTTAGATCCTCATCTTTCTCGTCCTCTCAGAAACTCTGAACACCACTGAGCTTGAATCTCATTCCTTGGATTCCATGACTTTTCACTGTCATAATTTTCCCTTCACTTTTCTTGTCACTCTCTCTCACTTCCACTTGCCAGCGGCTATTCCTTCCCTTAGTCTCTAAAAGTCAGAATTTAGATTCTCAATGTTCCTCGGTCTCCAGTCTCTCTCCAGAAAAATTTACCTATTTCTACGGTGTTATTACCAATGGCATGCTAATTAATCCAAAATGTTGGTCCAACACCTCAGACCTCTGCTCTGACCTCCTGACCTCCAATATGTTGTTCTATGTTCTCTGTGTTTACTTGAATGTCCCAAAGGCACGCCAAACTCACCATGCTCAAAAATGAATTTATGATTTCCGCCCTTCCCGCAAACCAGGATCTTCCCTAATGTTTCCCATGGCCGTAAGCGCACCACCAAGCATCTCTGGGCTGGACTCCTGCAATAGCCTCCCACTCCCTCTTGCTTCTCCTTTTCCCGGTGGATCCCTCTCCATAGCAGCCAGAGTGGTGCATTTAAACTGCTAATGTGATCACATCACTCTGCTCAAATGCTCAGCTGATCCGCATCTTATAGGATCTACGACCTAGCTCTGTCTGCCTCTCCTGCTTAGCTTTATCTACCTGCTCACCAACTATTCTGCCTTTCCCTCTCCTTGGAGCCACAATCTTGGAGGAAGCCTGGTGTGTCACAGATACACAATAAATACTATGGGCGGTAACCAAGAGTCCTGGTGCTTGCGTTTGGAGGTGAAGAGGGGTAGAGGATCTTGGAGAATGACTAATGTCAGTGAGGCAGGCATAGACAGAAAGCCATTCCAGGAAACACTGGGAACACTAATGCGATCCCCTAGGAGCTCCCCAAATACCAACTACTACTACTAACGCCTTAGGCTGACAAGTAGGGAGAGAGAGTAAAAAGCTCCAGGCTCAACTAGCGCCACCATCATCTCTCTTTCCTCCTCGTCCATCCCACCTCCCCTCCTGACTGCTGCTCATAGGCTAGGAAGAGTGGAATTTGGAGCTCAGTTGCCTCCTAATCCAGCCACCACCTCCACTGCCCTCTCGCACACACATGCAGACTTCAGCCTTGCATATGGACACAAATCTGTGATCCGGTGGGTCCACGTTCTCTCTTTGTTTCAGGCCTCATCCAAAGAGTGTTGTGGCACAGGTGCAGCACTGGCGGTGGGAGGGAGGGGAGGACTGGGGCGAGAGGGGCATGAGGCTCTCATCAGCTCTCTTTAGAAAACAATAACTATAAAGCTGAATGAGCTTTTGATTGTGACACTCAGTTTTATTCAAATTGAATTTTGCTTTACCTAAACTCTATCCTTTTGGTGTGTGAATTACTCAAGTCTTTATTCAAACTTCAAGCCTTGTATGGAGAACAGAATAGGAAGGTCAAAGGATGGATTTCTTCCATATCCTCAGAAGGGCCAAGAGAGAATAAGAAGGTAGACTTTTTCTACTTAGGGAAACCAAAGAGGGGATTGGTGTGTTCTAGTATTATCCTTTTGTGGACATAAACACTATAACCAGTTAAAGGAAGATGGCTTAAAAATGGAATATGTGAACTGCAAATATGAAAGTATGTTGAAAGAGAAAAATAGGAAAAGTTATATCAGCATCTTAGGTTGATTGTTCTTTAACTGGAAACAAAGCCCCAGAATAGAGACAATATAGATATAAAATATACTATGTATTTTATTTAACATATACTTATATACCAGAAATGAAGCTGCCTGTTTTGACAATTGCTTTCTCTATAAATCTCTGCCAGAAAAAAAATCATTATGAATTCAACAAATCACATCTCAATTAGTTATTCTGGTCAACTTGAGACTTAGATTTATTTATGAAATAATGCTTTCCAGAAAGAAAAACATCTGGCCTTTTAAAATAGTTGTTAATGTAAAATTTTAACCCAAGTAATTGTATTACTGTAACTCACTAGCAATTAAAAAAAAGTGTGTAGGATATCCAAAAGAAAGGACCATATTAAATTAAAATAAAGTGTTTTTTTTTTTACAGTAAAATTCATACCATCTGGCCTAATTTGTCTTGGTGTTTTGCCCAGTGTAGTATCAGCTTTTTGAGAACTATAAATTATTAGGTAACTCCCCTGAAAAAATATGAGTGAAGAAAAAATATGGGTTGATGACGACATCCTGATTATATGTCTGAATATTTGGGAAAACACTGATGTGGTGGAACAGCCCAACCTAAGTCAATCTGGGCACGAAACTGGTTCAGGGAGGGAACCCACACTAGACACAACGGTGATGAAAAGGACGGGCTCACAGAGGGTGACAGGGAAAATAACATGTGAAACAATAGAGAAATAACAGTTCCAGATCCTGAACATTACCTCTTTGTCAAGTGCTTCTGATTCCAATTAAGTTTACAGGAAAAATAACCAGGCAACCCCTGCCTGACTCAAAAAAATGTACAGACTATTAAAGGATGCTTTTAAATAGCAGGGTGATAAATGGGGCATCCACATGTGAGCACCAGCATATTTTTCATCTAAATTCTGTTCTTCTGTCTTCCAGCTGATCACTTTAATAGGGTGTCACCTCAGCCTGTGCAGAGGTGCCCAGAGGGGGTGCAGCTCCTAGATTGTTAACAGAAGTGTTGTTTCAAAAACTTATGTGACTACTCTCAGAAAAGGTAAATGTCAAACCACAGACTATGGGCTCCTTTATCATGGAGCCGCAGGTTTCCTTTCTATTTAGAGTCTATGTCCCACAGATTGATAAGACTGTTTAAAGAATAATCTTACCCGGATTATTTCTTCAACACAGCTGTTGGTTTCTCCAGATCTACTCTCCTGAAAGCAAAGAAAAAAAAATTAAGCCTGATGGAATAGATTGATGACCACACAGAAGACATGCAAGGTTCCAAATTAGTCCCCCCCAACAAAAAAATTCAGCGAGTTACAGGTTGAGGGGATGCCTGACCTGGGACTGGCAGACAGGCTCCTTTCCCTAACAGCCGGCTCCCATTGTGGCTGCTGCTCCCCCTTCTCTGGCTGGAGCACCACACACGCACCCCAGAGGCTCAACTGTGGCCCCTCCAACCACCCTACTTTAAGTGGGGTGGGCTCCTAGGGGTACAGAACGTGACCTGCAGGTATGAGCTCCATCCACCTTGGGTGCCATTAACGTGTGGAAACTGTGGCCTCCGCTACAACAGTGGATCCAATTTATCCACCAAATATATGCCGTGGGCCTACCAAGTACCACAATGGTTGCTACGGCTTAAGTAAAAGTCTGGTAGTTCCACCGTCCTCAAAGCCTTGGTTTACTGGTTTGATAGGCAGAAAACTGAAAGACCAAAAAGAGAAACATCCTCTGGATGTTGGACTGGCATGTGGGGCGTCACGCTCAAGTCACTTGTTCTGTCACTCAGCCTGCCCTGTGCTGTGCAGATGTTCCGAGGTGCAGTGGCTTCAGGTCACAGCCGACTCTGGGGAGCATTTTAAGTTCCAGAGATGCTGTGTGGGTCCTGCTGGCTACACAGCCAAGAGTGCAGGATGTGGGTTTGTGGGGACACAGAAGCAGTGGACGCTGGTGAAAGTGCCTACCTGTGGTCTCAGGGAGATCACTTCTCTTCGTCCTGCAATTCAAGGATGTCAACCTGAGAGTAGATGTCACTGTGACATCCTGGAATGAGGCTTTTCTCCACAGTCTCTTCTCCAAGGCCACTCTCCCTTCCTCCTCACTGTTCTCTCTCTACCAAGAATGCTATCTGCACCTTTCCTGGTTTTTCTAGTTAATTTCCTAGTTAATTCCTAGTTAAGTCATCCTTCGAACAGCAGCTTATCCACAGCTTCCTCCGAGCAGCCACCCTGACCCTAGAGTGCTTGCCCCCAGCAGCCTCCACTTCTTCAAAGCCCTCACCACGACGGCAATTCAATAGTGAAGTCTCCAGCAATATCTCCTCCCTCTAAAACATCAGCTCCCTGGATTCCAGGGCTCCCTGTCTTCCAGCACCGTGCTCCACACAGCATGGGGCACCCCCAATAACTATTGGCTGGTGGTAGGTGTATGAATAAATGAATGAGTTTACTTCCTGCAGTTCTGAGGGGCATGAGGCTCATCAGAATCAGCACTAGGACTTTAAAAAATATTATGAAGGCTCTACCAGTGACCGTTCCATCACACTCTCCATGCCCTGTGTCTGCCAGCTCATTCCTTGTCCTGGGGTAGAGCATTTCCTTTGAAACACTCTACCCTTCACTTGAGTTAGGCGCCAGGCTGAAGGAAGGTATGTGAGGCTTGAAAAGGTCACACACATGATTGAGACCTTCTCCTACCCAGAATTAGGGGATTTATCCAAGTCTCCCACCTGAGGCCCAGAAAGTTTACACAACTTGCCGAAGGCCACACAGAGTTACCATATGGTAATCTCTGTTTTAACTTTTTTTTTTGAGACCGAGTTTCGCTCTTGTTGCCCAGGCTGGAGTGCAATGGCGCGACCTTGGATTACTGCAACCTCTACCTCCTGGGTTCAGGCGATTCTTCTGCCTCAGCCTCTCGAGTAGCTGGGATTACAGGCTCCCACCACCATGCCCAGCTAATTTTTGTATTTTTAGTAGAGATGGGGTTTCACCATCTTGGCCAGGCTGGTCTCAAACTCCTGACTTCAGGTGATCCCCTCGCCTCGGCCTCCCAAAGTGCTGGGATTACAGGCATGAGCCACCGTGCCTGGCCTGTTTTAACTTTTTGAGGAACTGTCAAATTGTTTTCCACATTGGCTGTACCATTTTACATTCCCACCATCAATGCATGAGGATTCTAATTTCTCCACATTTTCACCAATACTTGCTATTTTACTCTACTTTATAATAGCTATCCTAGTGGATAAGAAATGATGTCTCATTGTGGCTTTGATCTGCATTTTCTTTTTTTTCTTTCTTTCTTTTTTTTTTTTGAGACGGAGCCTCGCTCTGTCACCCAGGCTGGAGTGCAGTGGCGCGATATTGGCTCACTGCAAGCTCCGCCTCCCAGGTTCAAGTGATTCTCTGGCCTCAGTCACCCGAGTAGCTGAAACTACAGGCATGTATCACCATGCCCGGCTAATTTTTTTATTTTTAGTAGAGTTGGGGTTTCACTATGTTAGCCAGGCTGGTCTTGAACTCCTGACCTTGTGATCTGTCCGCCTCAGCCTCCCAAAGTGCTGGGATTACAGGCGTGAGCCACCAGATCTGCATTTTCTTAATGACTAATGATGCTGAGCATCTTGTGTTTACTGAACATTTGTTTATCTTCTTTGGAGAAATGTTTATTCAAGCACTTTGCCCATGTTGTAATTGGGTTGCCTTTTTATTGTTTTATTATAGGAGTGCTTTGTATATTCTGGATATCAGAAGACTCTTAGCAGATATATGATTTACAAATATTTTGTTCCATTCTTTGGGTTGTTTTTTCACGCTCTTGGTAGTGTTCATGGATGCACAAAACTTTAATTTTGATGAAGTCCAATTTACCCGTTTTTTTCTTCTGCTGTTTGAGCTTTTGAGTATCATATCTAAGAAACCATTGCTAAATTCAAGCCATGAAAATTTCCCTTTATGTTTGTTTTCTTTCAAGAGTTTTACAGACAGTTTTAGCTCTTTTGTATAGGTCTTTGATACAATCGTCTGGGAACTTTTAGGTGAAGTTTATTTTCTTGTGGATTATTTGGTGAATTTTCGTTAAAACAGGAATGTTATCTTTTTGCTTCATTCTAGTCTCATCATTAAAAGACCAACAACAAAATGTGCAAGGCACAGCCACTGCTACTAGTAGTGCATGAAGACAACATGCACTACTTGGCTTATCCTTATAAGCCAAGAAAAATAGTGTTCAATATCATGACACCAATGCTTTCACTAATACTTCACACCCTTTCCTATACTCATCCTTCCTTCTGTTTTCCCAAAAGCTTCAGTTGGCCACATACTTATTACAAGCTTTCACTCCCATTCCCAATTCCTTACCACAGGACTGCTCTGGAAACATCACCATTCTGACACTCTGATACAACTGGATCAGAGAGCTCTTTTGGAACCTGATCCTTTTCCAGGGAAGCCTGAGGTGACCATCACAAAGGTTATATAGGAAAGTCTCAGTCGGGCCGGGGGGCTTGATGGTCACTTGGAAGGATTTCCTTTGGCGTTCATGGTGGGAATGAGTGGTCTGAATTAGAAAATGTACCGTCAAACCTACAGAATATCATTAATCATGACTCTTATCCTACTTCTAAGTCCCAACCATTTCCTACTGCATAATATGCTGGCAGGGCAAATGCTGAATTCTCAATGTGCTTTCTGTTTTCTACCACAAAACAATTAATCAAGAAAAACTTGACCTCAGGTCCTCCTGGTGGAATCACCCAGATATAACAGCACACTACAAATACTCTTAAAATTAAACTTCGGGTTTAATTCCTTAAAGCTAAGCTTCCCTGAATATCACACTTTAATTTCCTTTGATGTAGTTTATATAAATGACAGGTTGCTTTTATAACTATCTCCCTTATAATCCTATACATTTCAACTATTCTACTCTGATAAGGAAATGCGCTGAGAGAGAAATGCAGGATAGATGCCCTATTAGATACTTCTCTCATCACTGGAGACATAGATGTAGGATCTTTACACTAAGTCATCTCTAAGGCAGCTCCAACCAGAAGCCTTGATGGTCTGGACAGACATCAGGTCATTCCCTACTAGGAAGGCCCTTTGTAAAGCTAAGGAGGCGGCAGAGGTGAGGCCAGGGTGAGGGACTTCTAACAACAGTCTCAGGAAGTCCTGGCCTTAAATTACAGCATGGACAGTCTTTGGCAGAGGAACCTCTTGAGTCTTTTCAGAACACTGAGAAATGTTCTGGGGACTCAAGAAGAGTACCACATTGGTTTGAATCTCCAGGACCCCATTTAGATTGGAGTGAATCCATGGGCCACAGTATCGTAGAAAATCTGAATGGGAAAGAACTTTGGAGCTCCTTTCAGCCCAAGTCAATGACTTTAACAGATGGAGATGCCATGGCTCAGAGAAGTGAAGGGCTCTGTCCAAAAATCATTCTGACAGCAAGACACAGTTGAGGCAGAATCCACTCACATTTCAACACCAGCTCATTGAGTTCTCTACTATCTCATGCTGTCTTCCTGCAGCTCAATCCCTAGAGCTGGCTCATGCTGAGGTAACTTGCATGCTCACAGTATGAAAATAAAAGAATGCAGATAGTATTGGGGTAAATTTCCTCCTCCTTTTCCACGTGGCACATTACTCAGCGCTTGATCATTGCCTCTCACTAGCTAATCTCCAACACTACACGTGTAGACCAAAGGGGGAAGAGAGGAGAGGGGAAGTAGAGAGAAAAAGTCAAATCTACTACCCCTTCTGTGACATTAAAAAATAAGGGGTAAGGGTTTGTGTCCTTAGAAGTAGGAGGATGGAATTCCACCTTATCTTTTCCAAATTACAGAAAGCGTAGGTAGATAGGTAGGGTTGGGGTTGGGGGATCTGGGGTACGTTTACCTTCTTGAGGTCTTTCTCAAATCTGGTTTCAGCTGCAGTTGTGTGCTTACTTTGATTATATTTACATTTTGAAAACTTTCCATGTTTATCAACAAGATTAAAATATGCATGTAATTTACATCTCCAAATTCGTGTTTATATTTTTCACAATAAAGTTATTGCTTTCCTTGGAAAGGTACCCACTGAGAAGGAAGGCTGCACAATGCACATTTTAATTACTCTGTATTTTTTGACGGTTTGTAGCTGTTGTTTCATGCTGAGTTGCTGAGCTGTTGCTCCGTATTTACTCCAACTTTGAGGAACCCACCTCATTTTCCTATCATTACATTTTGAAATCTGTCATAACAGTCTCACCTCATTGAACCTCCAACTAAACTTCAATTAAGAGCTAGCAACCCCAGCTGATTCTCCTCTTCTACAGCACTGTCTAGCATGTGATTTCCCTAAATCCTACCATTTAAATGTACATGCCGCACACTGCCAAGAAATGTACAGAACTATGCTGTGGGTAAGTGTAGCTCGGGGAATAGCCAGGAGCATCCCATCCCTGATGGTGGAAGTCCCTAATTACCATGCCAAGCACAGAATATGGGGAGAAGCAGGGCTTAAGGAAAAAGAGTGTGATCAAATCAGTGGGAAATGGTATTTCATTGCAGAGATGGGCTGCACAAGTCCTCATTTTTGAAAATAGTTTAACTCTTTATCACACACATTTCAGGTGGAACTTGCATTCTAAAATACTACTACTTTCAAATCACAATGCCTTTGTTTATCTTCAAGCACTCAAAAGACCCTCAAGCATTTAGAAATTGTGTATCCCATGTACACTCTTAAACACTCCTGCAGAAATATTTTTAAATCAATCTATTCTTGATTTATCACAAACCTGACATACAAAAAGTTAGGTATGCTGTCAATACCACAAAAGCATTGGTGAGAATCTGAGCTCAGATGCAGGGACCATCATAATTCCATGGGAAGTCCATCCCTACAACTGTGTCTCCTGCCTTATCTTTAAGGATAGGGCCACCTGTGAACAGAGGCAGACAGCCAGTTCTCTCCCAAATTCAGCCTGTCTCACACCTAACCTGTACCATCCCCTGTCAGGGGCTTCACTCTGCTCCCAATCCCCAAGCTAGAAGCCCAGCTGCCTCTGAGCCTCCTCTGATCCTCCTGTCTCCACCATCATCTATATATGTAGATGAGGAAAATGCAAAGGAAAAATACACAAACAGCCAGGGCTTTAACAGAGCATCAAAATGAGATATGCTAGGAAAAAGGAAGAGAAATATAATTATTATAGTTAGAAGTATTTAATCCATCCCTATTTTTCCTAACAGACAAAGGATACAAAAGCTCAGCTTCAATACTCAATTTTAGGGTCCTTTTAATGTATTGTATCACCAAGGGAAAATAAGTCAACTGTATTTATATCAGCTTACAGAGTGTTTATCATAAATCCAGAAAAACTGAAACTCACTGTTATTTTAAAATCGTTAATAATTATATTAGTTGACTATAAACTAAACAGTCAAATCTCAATAGCTCTTCTGTGTAGCAGTAAACAATTTAAAAATATTTAAAAATCCCATCCATAATTTAAGAAAAATAAATAAGGATAACCTCAACAAGAAATGTTTGAGATTTGTTTTTAAAACTTCAGAGTTAGCCAGGTGTGATGGTGTCTGTAGTCTCAGCTACTCTGGAGGCTGAGGCAGGAGAATCACTTGAACCCGGGAGGTGGAGGTTGCAGTGAGCCAAGAGTGCACCACTGCACTCCAGCCTGGATGACACAGTGAGACTCCATCTCAAAAACAAGAACAACAACAACCAAAAAGACCAAACAAAAAAAAGGAAAATAAAAAACTTCTGCGTTTTACTGAAAGATACAAAAAAAGACCTGAAAGGGACTGAGCTAGACTTCTCAGATACCTCCCAATTCTGGTATATGATATAAAGCCAAATCAATGTACGAAGAGGAGCAAACCACAAACTACATTAATTTTAAAAAAATTATTGAGGCAAAATTCAAGTAACATAAAATCTACCATTTTAAAGTAAACAATTCAGGGGCATTTCGTACATTCACAATGTTGTAAACCATTATCACCTCTATTTGGCTCTGTAATATTTCCACTGTTTCAAAGTAAAACCCTGTAACCAATGCGTAATTTCTCCCCATTCCCCATCAATACGAGAACTATTTTTTCTTTTCTTTTTTTTTTTTTTTTTTTTTGAGACAGAGTCTTGCTCTGTCTCCCAGGCTAGAGCACAGTGGCGCCATCTCGGCTCACTGCAACCTCTGCCTCCCGGGTTCAAGTGATTCTCCTGCCTCAGCCTCCTGAGCAGTTGGGATTACAGGCATGCACCACCACACCCTAATTTTTGTATTTTTAGTAGAGATGATGTTTCACCATGTTGGCCAGGCTGGTCTCAAACTCCTGACCTCAGGTGATCTGCCCACCTCGGCCTCCCAAAGTGCTGGGATTACAGGCATGAGCCAGCATGCCTGGCTTACTTTTTACAATGATTTTACTGTATTAAAACATTTTACACTGCACTGAAAAGAAGAACATGAGAAAATGTTCATGGGTACCATTTGCTTGTACTGGTAGATTTTCCAGTGGATGTGCTGCCTCTCATTTACGTGTTTCTGACCAGTTCCTAGCAGAGAACTCAGTACAACAGAGCAGGCATTCGATTATATTTGTTGAATGAATAAATTAATGACCAATACACTAAAAAAAAAAAGACTATTTACAAAATGAAAGTCCTAAACTTTATAAGAATAATGCCGGTTATCTACATTACAAAGAAATGTCTTTGCTTTATCCAAAAACTACTACAACAGCAGCAAACCACCAATGTTCTAAATTCTTAGAACATCAACATTTATTTACTTCATTAAAATTAGGCTTATATCCATTAAGTACAGAAACCATTAACAAGTCATTTGACTTCCCTAATTCCCACATTGGTACCTGTAAATTAGAGAGTAAGTATCAGTCTTCTATTAGCAGACAATATTGTTAAAGAGCTAATAATTTTCTGTCAGATATTTAGCACTAGGACAAGGTATTTCAATTATGTTATTATTTTTATGAACAGAAATTAGCGATCTGAATCAGAGCCTATAGTTAAAAGCATATTTGGTTTTCAGAAAGTTAAGTGGTCTGTCAGTGTGCTGACGATGTCAAGAACCTATTGATGGCATGAAGAGATGGGAGATGAGAAGCAGACAGTGATTTCATATCCTGATGACTAATTGATATTGAGTGCTTATCCATGGGGTCATGTCTCAAAAAAGTACCACAGTACTGTCTACTGGGGTCGTCTTTCACACTGCTCTGTCAACACTGGGTGAAGAAACCATGTTACAGGGCTTCCCACTTGCAACTTGACATTGATAAGAATACTTTAAGATTTCTGTGTTCTTTCACCTAAAACCCTACGTCGTTAATTTTACCAAGAAGAAGATCACACAGGTTCAGGCAGGAGTGACAATGCTGAAGTCATTTAATCCTCACATTACAGGCAAACTTCAGTGAGATTTTGCAAATGTACCATTTCCTCTTGAACATTTTCCTGAATCTTTATTTTAATTAAATTAATTAATTAATTTCTTTATTTTGAGACGGAGTCTTGCTCTGTTGCCTAGGCTGGAGTGCAGTGGTGCGATCTCAGCTCACTGCAAGCTCCACCTCCTGGGTTCACACCATTCTCCTGCCTCAGCCTCCCGAGTAGCTGGGACTACAGGTGCCCACCATCACACCCGGCTAATTTTTTGTATTTTTAGTAGAGACGGGGTTTCACCACGTTAGCCAGGATGGTCTCGATCTCCTGACCTCGTGATCCACCTGCCTCAGCCTCCCAAAGTGCTGGGATTACAGGCGTGAGCCACCATACTCAGCCTATGTATTTACTTTTGAGACGGAGTTTGGCTCTTGTTGCCCAGGCTGGAGTGCAACGGGGTGATCTTGGCTCACTGCAACCTCCACCTTCCAGGTTCAAGTGATTCTCCTGTCCCAGCCTCCCGAGTAGCTGGGATTATAGGCACCCACCACCATGCCTGGTTAGTTTTTGTATTTTTAGTAGAGACAAGGTTTCACCATGTTGGCCAGGTTGGTCTCGAACTCCTGACCTCAGGTGATCTGCCCGCCTTGGCCTCCCAAAGTGCTGGGATTATAGGCGTGAGCCACTGCGCCTGGCCGAACATTTTCCTGAATCTTTATACAATTCCATTTATATGATCTAATATTCTTTTTTTAAGGGATGGCAGGAAATGTACACGAAAACACATCTGATTATCACTTATAGTCAGTTTTCTAATCATAAAATTCTGAACACAAAAGCTTGCAAGACAAACAGAGTAATCTAATGTGGCTGAAGAAACTAACCACTTAAAGATCCTACTTAGCACCACTCTAATTTGTGTCCCACAGTAAGATGGATAATCAATTCCCTTTTAGCCATGAATGGAAATGACCATTGTAAATGGCAAAAGTGCTGCTGCGTATTTGACGATATTCTATTTGGCACATTCTATTAATTTTATTTAAGCATTTTGCTAAAAGAGCAGACTCACAAATCACCCTTCCTATGTCATGTTCTTTATGGATCTTTCTCTCCATTATCATCTGACCTTCCCCACGGGGTCTCAGCTCTTCCTGACCCTCAGAACAGGGTTCATTCTGCATACTCAACATCAGCCATTTCTATGTATGCTCTCTGAGGTGATACGCTAGAAATAAATGCTGAATAAATAAATACAGCTAAAATCAGCCAGAGCACAGGAGAGAAGGCTTATCTGAGAGGTGGGAGCAGGTAGCACTGGAAAACATGAGTGAGAAACTGGCACTTTTTTTGTTGGCTGCTGAGGAATTTTTCAATACTCCAAGTTTTATATTTTTAAATCGATCTACCTACAACACCCTATTTTAAATTTATGAACATTTATAGCATTTTCATTCTTTTTGAGACAGAGTTTCGCTCGTTGGCCAGGCTGGAGTGCAATGGCGCTATCTTGGCTCACTGCAACCTCCGCCTCCTGGGTTCCAGCAATTCTCCCGCCTCAGCCTCCAGAGTAGCTGGGATTACAGGCACCTGCCACCACGCCCAGATAATTTTTGTATTTTCAGGAGAAACGGGGTTTCGCCATGTTGGCCAGGCTGGTCTCGAACTCCTGACCTTTAGTTCGTGCCTGTAATCCCAGCACTTTGGGAGGCTGAGGTGGGTGCATTTTCATTCTTTATTCTACTGGTGTTGCTTTACTGTTAGTCTTGGAAAATATTTGCAGGATATGAAGAGAGCTATTATAGTGGCAATCTATTTTATCTTTTCCCTTCTACTCCCATAAAATGTTCAGAGCCTTGAAAAACAAGGTGCGTGTCCCAGTAAAAGGCAGAGTGAGTCCTTCTGCTTGTAGAACTTGGGGTATCTGGGGCTGAACTCAGATATTAATCCTCACATGTGTCCCCTCTCGTTTTTCAGAGCTGGCTTCAGAACGTCTCAGCAGTGACTGCTGACCACTGAATTTTCACGTAAAACATCACCAGATAAAGTTAGCCCCGGGTGATCCTGCTCAGCAACTCAGAAGGGAAGGGAGCTTCAGAACTGCTTTCTATCCTCATTCTAAAGCCTCTGGGTGGGACCCAAGGTGAAGACAATCTCTCTGTATCTTGACGCCCACACTATTATTATAAAACTCCATGGTATTGTAATCTAAAGGGAGAACAAACAGTTGTACAAAACAAAAGGGTCAATAAGAAATAGACATCAGAGGCTGGGTGCGGTGGCTCATGCCTGTAATCCTGGCACTTCAGGAGGCCAACGTGGGGGGATCACCTGAGGTCAGGAGTTCAAGACCCTGTCTCTACTAAAATTAGCAGGGCATGGTGGTGTGTGCCGGTAATCCCAGCTACTTGGGAGGCTGAGGTGGGAGAATCGCTTGAACTTGGGAGGCAGAGGTTACTGTGAGCCAAGGTCATGCCACTGCACTCCAGCCTGAGCAACAGAGCCAGACTCTGCCTCAAAAAAATAAAAATAAAAATAAAATAAATAAATGAAATGAAAATATAAAAAAAGACATCACATGTAAAATATGCTGAGATTATTCTGGCATGATTCTATCTGGACAGAATGCAGATATTCCTGCTTCAATGCCACCTAACACTGTGTATGAGATCCGCCACGTACAGGGAAAAGCTGCAAAGAAAACCATGTGCTTAGGCCACTTTTTGGCTTCACAACCTTTGGCTTCTCTCAAGAGAATATTAGAGTATAGAATTG
Organism: Homo sapiens; assembly: GCF_000001405.40. Taxonomy (NCBI): domain Eukaryota; kingdom Metazoa; phylum Chordata; class Mammalia; order Primates; family Hominidae; genus Homo; species Homo sapiens. Next base: position 99,848,508 of record NC_000002.12, read on the forward strand.
ATCATAAAGCAAATTTCTGCACCAAGAATTTACCTTTCCAATGGAGAAAAGTTTGTGTTTACTGAATATAAAATAAATTAATTAAAAAGGCTTGTAATCCAACTAAAAGACATCCAAGATGATGTTGGAACAATCTAACAAAAAATGATCATTTTGTGATAAACACCCATAAGAGCAGTCAAATTAAGTCAGTAAGTATAAACGAAAAATTGTCATGGTTATTTTCTATCTAACGCCATGACTTAAAGGCTTACAGAAAAATAAAATAAAAAATCATTCAGTTATCTCTCGAATCTCCTCTCCAACATAATCACGCTAAGGAATAATATGCTTAATTATGGACTTGATTTCTAGCACTGGGAAAGTAGATGGTTTTTAGAAACTACTTCCATTAGGCTAAAAAAAGAGGACACTCGGAAACCTAGCAGTAGTAAAGGAGTAAATGATACAGACTACTTAATGTAACATGCAACCAAATGGGGGACTTGGAAGATGTGCCAGGTAGTCTAAAGAGTGAATGTAAGAAAAGACTGGCTACTGCTTAGGTAAATGGTGTAGTGTGAAATGGTACAAAATCAATGGATGACAGAGAAAAGCATGATTCCACTTCTACCTCACTTCTGCCTGCACACCATAAACCATCCTCAAAGTTACAAGCAGAACAAATTAAGAGAGGACTCACCCCAGTTAGATGGCAATAGTAAGAGAATGTTTTAACCACTTTACATGGCAGCCCCAGGGAAAACAGCACCCATGGCATTGGAGGGACTGGCAGATACAGTCACAGAACAACTCTCTAAAAGAAACCACAGCCAGAAAAAGCAAATGTCCTAGCTCTTCCCTAAGATAGGATCCTCAAATTGCAGACTAATTTGTTGCTGGGTCCTCAAAATCACCAGAGGTTGTGTGGCGCAGTAGGCAGGAACATGGACCTTTGCAAACCCAATTCTGCCATTAGTTACATATGTCCCTGCGGTGGGGGCGTCATCTGATTTCTCTAGACCATACGTTTTTCATTTGTAGAACCGAGACAGTAACAGCACCTACGAAATGTGAGGGCTAAAAATGAGGCAACGCATATAAAGCATTTACAAGGTGCCTACTACACAACAGCTGATCAGTATATAAATACGATTATTTTATTTTAGAATTACATAAAAAGTATTTTCGTATTTAGAAAAGAAAGCAATGATTACTAGGAGGCAACAAGAGTTCACAAGAACCAGATGATGTTATCTCTACCATTCTCCTCTGGTTTTTAAATATAATGTGTTTAGATTTCTGCAAGATTGATTTCCCAGTGGGTAGAAGGAAATGATGGATTGGTTGCTCATATAGCTGGACGGACTGGTAGCTAATTGAACAGCCATGCCTAAGGAGTATTGTTCAACAAATACTTCATTGTGCTTACTATGTGTTCAGCATGTCCTATATGCTAAGGATTCATAAGTGAATAAGACAGACAAAAATTCCTGTCCTCATGGAGTTTATATTGTAATGAGATGAGGCAGTAAAATAATAAATAAATTATAAAGTATAGTAGAATATGGAATGTTATAGGGAAAAGTTAGACCAGGGTAAGGGTATGGGACTGTGGGATGGGGCTTTATGCTTGTAATCTGTCTGTTAAATAAGCATGCTATCTGACATCCAAAACACAGTATAAGCCCCAGGCTGTTAGCCTCCTCCCCTCTTCCTACTTATAAACCTGTAGTATTTTTTCCTTCCACTATGAGAACTTCATTACTCTGAGTCATAATTGTGTGTTTAATGTTTACCTTTGTCGCTAAGCTGAAAGCTCCAGAGTCTAGGGAGAATGGCAAGACCAAGGAAGGGTCTCAGCATTTGAGGAATGGCTGCAGAAAGTGTCACGGGAAGGAGAATCAAATGGACCACACTGGATGCCTCGTGTTTTTAAAGGACATTGTTATTAATGGGACAGGGTTCATACTCATTCTGGGTCATTCCAGACACGGGAGTTTGAACTAATGGGGGAAAGTCCAGGGACTAGTCCAGCTTCCCAAAAGTTCTTTTTCACAGTTAGAATAATCTACAAAGAAAGTAAGCATGATTGATTTCATGTTCAATCAGAAGTTAAATGATTAAGTGGAAGTTACTTATTAACCTACACTTCTAAAATGTAAGATTCTAACTTTAAGACTATAATTCTGGTCATTTCCAACAATTTTATTAATAAAACGTTGAATGGTAAATTTCTGTATTTTCTGGGTTAGTGTAGTAGTAAGTCTATGACTTCTTTGTTAAGAAAACCCATACAGAGAATACAAAGATTATTTATTCTAAAAGTACCAATCTAAAATTATGAAATAAGAGTCATTATAGCAGCTAACAAATTAAATGGATTAATTGGGTAGAGATTTGAGAGATTATAATTAATGATAAATCAATAAAGTATTCAACATGAAAATCTATTACAACCCTGTTTATGTTATTTAACTTCAAGCATTCAGTTCTGTATGCTTCTAATTAGCAAGCTATAAAAGATGCCATCCATAAAAACATAATGAGAAGAACTGTTTATAATGATAATTAAGATTCATTTGCTCAGAGAGAAGGGTTCACACGGCTACAGGTTGCAGCAAACAAAGGGTTAAGCTCATTATTGAGGAAAATACTACATTTAGGCAGCATTTATTAGACATTTAACCCTATCAGGCAGAGCCTTGCCTTAGAAAATACATCATAAATAATGCTTCTTACAAGACAGGCAAGATTTTCCAAAGTGAGGTAGCAACTACTGGGAGTCCATGACATTCTGTAACTTTGCTGGGCTTGACTCATCCAACTGTGTTAGTAATAATTAAACTCTAGCTGATGGCTTTTATGTTCTCTTTCTGGTTTCTCAAGTCTTCCCTGCATTGATGTTTTATTAAAAATATATTGTGTATTGTGAAGGCCAGTGGAGAAAAAATTTTACATTTTCCCTTTCCGCCTCTGGGCTGGAGTTTGCCTTCTATAGCACTTTGTCTCATACTCCGAGCACTGTTTGAGGCTTCTCATGGGCTTGCCAGTGGCAAAATTGAGGCTCAGAGGTGGGAAACATAAACCCATAATACAAAGACCCTCACTTTTTAGATCCTTTTGTAATTCTGGCTTTAGAAAAATCAAAGTTTTCATTCAGCAGAGAAGAAGCTTCTTCCCCCTTTCACAGAAACTCTAATATCTATAAAGACCCACTCAGTGAAGCCCAAAATGCTTTCTAGACACATAATTGTAGCAATAAAAGTGTGTCTTCACCTCCCACTGTACCTCTGAGCTGATAGATACAATTTGTTACTCCATTGACAACCTGCCAACACTTCACAATAATTAGAGCCAATGGTCCTTTTCTAGATATAGCATAATGTAACCTTCAATATTAACGTTTTTTTCCCCCATCAGTGCAGGCCTAAGACAGAACAACTCTAAGACTAGTCCTAGCCTGAAGTCACAGAGACCTTTAATGCAGGTCACGGGCAGGACAGCAATGATCAAGGGTAAACTCTAACACATGAACTGGTAACCCAGCAGTCAGCCACTGTGTGGCCTGCTACATTAACCGCCCTCTGAGCCAAGCAGGCACCCCAGCGGTCCTCATTTAAAAAGAAAAAAATATAAGAATCTTAATAGAGAGATTGGGGGGCTTATTTTTCATGATCATGTGCCTTTAAAAGGAAAGTCCTAGAGTCAGCCCTGATCAATACAGCCTCTCCTGCTTCCTGCTTTCAATCTGTTAAGCAAGAAAATGCTTTCATGTTGGCACTAATCCCACTGTGCCCCCAAAGAAGAGAAAAAAACCTCCCGAGAGACTATTTAATATCCACACAGTCGGTTTTTAGAAAAACAAAACAAAACAAAAAACCCAAGGAAATGAAGACTATCAGGAGAACACTCCCGGAAAAACCCTCCTGAAAACATGCCTGAGTAAAAGAAAAGTCAAAAGACTAGATAGAGAAATGATGTCCAGGGAGCTCATAATCTGCCTGTGCAAGAATTCTAGTTTCTAGAAAGTCACTGATTAATAAATTCATGTGCTCATTCATCCATTCACAGATAACTGCTGGGCACCAATGCTGTGCCAGTACCAGGGATACCATAGCGAGCAAAACCCGTAGGGCCTACCTCTCAGGGAGCTTGCACATTCTACGGGGGAGCAGGCAAAAAACAAACATAACAATTTTAGATAGTGACAAGTACTTGCAAACAAAGTAAATAGTGTGATGTAAAAAGGCTGGTCTGATCATTACGATTCCTTTCAGCATGAAACTTCCCTCATATCACAAGGTATAATGAGGACTTTTAGTCCTTTGGATGGAAGTCCTAAGATGAGAGACTATATTAATCATAATAGGTGTAAAAGACAAAAATACAACAACGTAAATTTCAAATGAAGAAGCAATATGCAATCTCAATTTCTACCATATCCCCAAGACCCTTGGAAGAACCTATTTATAGCTTTATCGCAGCCATTTTGAAAAGGTAGAGAAAAAAACATCACAGGTTTTTGAAAAGAAATTTTGCAAATAACATGGCAGTATTGCAAAATGCAAATGGAAATGCTGCTGAGCCATCTGCTCAATATTACAGCAACATTGGGAAAAGGCTCTGAAAGAAATGATGTTTGAAATCATTAAAAAAATAACATGTCAAGTTTAAAATACTCAAGAATCTTAAAACCAGCATCAACACATTCAGCAACCATATGGCCCTACAGCAGGTTAAAAAAATAATCGCCCTGCTTGCAATTTCTACTTCAACCCAATGGTTTCTAAAACATGTTTCTTTTTCCCATTTGAGTACCTTTTCTTTCCATTGAATTCCTTGGTGTTTACAGTTACTTGAATTATACCTGGAGCATAATTTTTGTTTCACCCTTTCTGAAGTAGAAATAAGATAGTAAGGAAGATTAAAAGTCACCTGTTCAAGAAAAAGGAATGTGCAGATGACTCTATATAAATTGTTGAACACATCTTGTTTTAGGTTTATTGATTTCTCCATCCTGATCTCACTGTCTCAGTAATAACTGCTAATCTCATCGAGTATCGTAATTTTCCAGGCACTCTGCTAAGTGCTTTATAGTCATTATATCATTTAATCACCACAAATTTATAAAGTTGATGCTGTTATTATCTACATTTTCTAGATGCGAAATTTCCTCAAGGTCATACAGGTAACATGCGGCAGAGCCAGAGTCCAAACAACTGTGGGAGCCACGTCTGTGCTCTTAACTGCTATTATATGCAACAATTCAGTGTTCAGATGTTTGTGCTGACTTCTCAAGGTTAAAAAATGGGCAACATAGCAAGATCCCATCTCTGCAAAAACATTGTAATTTTTTAAATTACAAAATTTATGAAGGCCCAGAGAATTACAAATTTATAATGGAAATCCTTGGTGTTTCAAATGAATTAAAAAAGTAGTTTCATTCAACTTACTAGCTTCACATAGTAGCTTGTGGATACAGTAGGAACTCAATACATGATTACTGATAGCAGTATTAATTCACATATAAAAATATTACATCAAATGATCTGTGTCTGGTGCATGTATTTTAAATGCTAAAGTTCCTTTTGTATCTGGATCATAAGAAGACTTTTTAAAATTACAAATAATATTTAAAGGTGATGATTAGTTTAGAACGGACCTGAGGGAAGTCAGGCAGTAGGAATATCTGCCAAACACTTAAGTTCTCTAAATGTAGAGATATAAATGAAGTTATAAATGTAACACTATCTATAGCAAAAAAAAAAAAAAAAAGGAATAGATGAGCGTTACTGATGTGCATGGCCTCATGCAATGGTCTCAGTGCAGAACTTTATTTGGTCTTATGAAACACTTTACCAAAACTTTCACTTGGCATTCCTCTGTCTGTTGCTTTTGCCTAATGATCTTATCTCTTCACTGATTAGCAATCTCGTCTGTCTTTAGCAACCCTTTAAATCTCATGCAGCCAAAAGTTATAAATAAAACAAAGCAAATAAACAACGTGGGTAAAATAAATCAGTGTGATAAGCAGTTGTGAAATTACAAACTTATTACGGAAAAATCCATGTAAACAAATCCACTAAACACATAGTCATTAATTACAGCTCACAACCTCCCATCACTTCTGCCTTCTGTTCTCTAACGTGGGGTGCTTGGTAAATCTCTGGTCTAGAGTGGCATTTTATTTTTGCAATCCTTGGCTGTAGGTAGAGCTTGGCCTCTTTTCCACTCAACAGGAAGTCTTGAAAACAAAGATGCTAAGGTTTAGAGTATTATAACTGGAAATATGAAAGGCATTTTGCAATATTACCAAAAACTTGAAATGAAGGTTAAGAAATAGATCTGCATATAATGATCCATTTATTTTTGATGAAAATGATTTGTCAAAAGGTAACTCAGTGAGGAAAAGGTAATGGTTTTAAAAATGGTTCTAGAACAACTGGCTACCCATATGCAAATAGATGAACCTTGAACCTTGCCCCATAGCACATAATTAAATCGTCCCAAACTGGATCTCAGACCTAAATATAAGAGCCAAAATACAAAATTTCTAGAAGAGTAAACATCGGTGAAAATCTCAATGATTTTGGGGTTACGAAAATATTTCCTAAATAAGACACAAAAACACAAACTACAAAAAAATCGTTAAAATTAAATACTTTTCTTCTTCAAAAAACTGTGAAAAAATGAAGATATAAAGGGTAAAGGGTTTCTTTTGGGTGTGATGGAAATGTTTGAAAATTGGTTGTGGTGATGGTTGCATAAGTCTGAATACAGTAAAAACTGAATTGTACATTTTGAATTAGCAAATGGTATGATGTGTGAGTTATGTCTTATAAAGCTGTTACAAAAAAATTAAGAGAATACACAGTCTGGAAGAAAATATTTGCAAAACATATATTTGGCAGAAGGTTTGTAACCAGACTTTACAACTCTTAGAGCTCACTAAGAAGACAATCACCTCAATAAAATGAGAGCAAAAAAAATACCTTGATGGAGTATGTCAAAAGGACAGATAGCCAATAGAAAGAACTTCTAATGGCTAAAGCTAGAACAAGAAAAGAATTAAACAAAGTAGCATTGGATTATAAGGTGAAGTATTAAAAAAATTTTCATGATCCCATATTGATATAAATGAATGCCCAAATAAATAAATAGGATAGGATAAATATCTTGCGCATAAGAATTAAAATAATTTACGTAGCTACTCTGCCCTCAAGAAGGTGGAGCGTAACTCCCCAGTCCTTAAGTCTGAGCTGCCAATGGTGACTTCTTTCCAAAGAGTATAGCATGGAAGGAGGGAAAAAGGATAATTCTGGAGTGGAGAAACCTGTCAAACACTGTCTCTGCCAAGTGATTAAGGTTAATGTCAACTGTGCTAAGTCATATTGATAGTATGTAGACCTGATATGATATGATTAGACTGGCACTTTGCCTGTGTGGTCTTCCTCCCTAAAACTCATAATCCCAGTCTAAACATAAGAAAAACATCATACAAATCCAAATTGAGGGGTAGTCTATAAATGTCAGACCAATATGCCTTAAAACTCAAGGTCATCAAAAATAAGGGAAGTCTGAAAAACTGTCACAGTCTATGGAAGTCTAAGAAGATATGACAACGAAATGTGTGGTATTCTAGATGAAATTCAAGAGTAAGAAAGACATTAAGTAAAAACTAAGCAAATCTGAATAAAATATTGACTTTACTTAATAATAATGTATCAATATTTGTTCCTTTGTTGTAATAAATATACAATACTAATATAAGATGTTAACAATATGATTTAAACAAGAACCAGAATTTTATTACACAATATTCAAAATGTCCAAGATATAATCCAAAATTACTAGGCATACAAAGAACCGGGAAAATATGAACTCACATGGGGAGAGACAACAGATGCCAACAGTGAGATCATCCAGATACTGAAGTTATCAAATTCATTGAATTGTCCATTTAAAATTGGTGAATTTTATTACACATAATTATGCCTCCAAACAAAAGGAACAAAACAGCAGCAAAAGTTTTAAAAAGAGTACAGATAACATTGAAGCATTACATTAGTATTAGTTTAGCTTGAGAGTGAGATAAATTGATTCTTATGGACTATTCTGGAACCAAATAACTACTATTCACACCATTATTTCTTAGATAAATTACGTTTTAAGTTTCAAACAATCAGCTTACAAAAAACCTTCTGGCGCCTAATCCTTTCTTAAGTGGATGGCCAAGCATTTCAGAAAATGTTGAACTCCAGAGACCCCATTTAAACCCAGGAACATGAGACTTCTGATTATTTGGGTATTAAATTATATATAAGTATGTTAATGTTATTCATATCTCTCAAAGGATTTTGGAGACAGTTTGGAAGAAAGGATTTTAGAAAACTCTCTAAAATGATGACTCGGCTGACATGGGGCATATAGGAGAGAACTATTAAACTTTCTCCCTTCCTCTGGCATTGAAATTACTGTTAGAAATGAATGAGTTCTGCTTTTATAGAGTACTACTCATTAAGTTCCTCGGTCCTTTCCTAGAAAGAACCACAGAGACAAATAGTGTTCTAATTTTTATCTTTACTTTTTACTAAACTATTTGCATAGGTACATAGGTTTCAAGAAGATTGCTCAAATGAATATTTATTTTCTTACAGAGAAACATCTGTGAAACTGATCATCTTTCACTCTAAATAAATAAATAATCATAATTGGTATCTGTTTGAGAGCTCATTTGCAAACTGTTCCTATAATTGTGCCACTCATTTACAGGCACAACAGAGAGAATCAGAACATAATCCTGCACCCTACTTATTTGCATTAATTGTGATCAATTGTCACAGTTTGTTTATAAGACTGAATAATTTTTAATTCTAAAATAATTATGCTGATTATCAAATGATTCTGTATGATTTAGTTTTTAGAACATGTTTAATACAATCATTGCATTCTCAGATGTTTAACTACAGGGCTGTTTATTTCACTGTATTTGCTTTACGTCCAAGAACTGAGAGGTTTTTCCAAGTCATTCTGTCAAGAGTTCATTAGAAAAATAAACTAAAGTGAATATATGCTGTGCTTTTTAGGTGTAATAAACATTAAGATATAGGAATGTAACATTGGAGCTCATACACACACAAATCCCAGCTTGCAGCAGATCAACTTCCTGTGTCTGATGGTGAAGGATCCCACTCATCCTTCAACCCTACTCAATTCAACCTTGGTCCTAAAAATAATTAATCATTCTCTTTTATATTCTTCCAAAGTACTTTGTGTCTCCATTGTCACATTTTTCCTTGACTACCTTTAAGTTAGGGAAGTCCTTCTCCTCAAATTGACCTTAAACCCATGGAATTCAAGATCTCATTAATGACTTTTTTCCCCTGACATAAACTAAAGAAAAATAGCTGGTTTACCACATTATACTGGATTCCTGTTCAGAAAATAATTCACTCCCCTCCTCCTCCCACTGTGGATGGAATATCCTCCCCTACCCCTTGAGTTTGGTTGGTCAACTAACTTGCTTTGACCAATGGGATGGACTGGACATGACAGCAGCTGAGGCTTAAAATGTGCTTGCTCAGCAGGGCTCACCAGCCTGAACTCCCACCATCATCATGAAAAGGACATGCCCCAGGTAGCATATGGTTGAAGGAGGACTGACTTGCAGATCAGATCTGAATTCAACCTTCAACATGGAGCTGGGCCCAACCAGTTCCAGCCTGGGCTGGCAGGCCCACAACGGAAGCAAAGTGAATAAATAATTGCTGTTTTGGCAGGGCGTGGTGGCTCATGCCTGTAATACCAGCACTTTGGGAGGCTGAGGGGGGCGGATTGCTTGAGCCCAGGAGTTGGAGACCAGCCTGAGCAATGTGGCGAAACCCTGTTTCTACAAAAAAAAAAAAAAAAAAATTAGCTGGGCATGGTGGCATGCACCTGTAGTTCTAGCTACTCTGGAGACTGAGGTGGGAGGACTGCCTAAGCCCAGGAGGTCGAGGCTGCAGTGAGCCACAATCTCCCCACTGCACTCCAGCCCAGGCAACAGAGTGAGACCTTGTCTTAAGAAAAAAAATGCAGCCACAAAAAAGAACGAGATCATGTTCTGTGCAGGGACATGGATGGGGCTGGAGGCCATTATCCTTAGCAAACTAACACAGGAACAGAAAACCAAATACTGCACGTTCTCACTTATAAGTGGGAGCTAAATGATGAGAACACATGGACACATAGAGGGGAAAAACAGTCACTGGGGACTTTTGGAGAGTGGAGGGTGGGAGGAGGGAGAGGATCAGGAAAAATAACTAAAGGGTATAGGCTTAATACCTGGTTGATGAAATAAACTGTACAACAAACCCCCATGACACAAGTTTGCCTGTGTAATAAACCTGCACTTGTACCCCTGAACTTAAAAGTTAAATAAAAAAGAAAACAAATGTTGTTCTAAGCCCCAGAATTTTGGTGTGGTTTGATCTTCAGTAATAGCTGACCGATACACCTGCTTTATAAACATGGAACTTTATTCTCCATGAATATGGCTTGGTTAAATCACATTTTGGAAGAACTGCCAAAATAAAGCAGCTCCGCTTCTCCTGTCATAAGCACAGTGCTAAATTGAGTTTGGATGGCTTTCCTCTAATAGAATTATTTTACACTTGCCCACATCAAAGCTAATGTTTCTCCTTGCTGCCCACTCAGTCTTTCAAGATTTTCCTGTGAGTTATCCTCAGCACTCTGGTGCACTACTCTTCAGAATAGCTGGAGCTATCTGCAGACATGCCACTCTACCCTGCCTTCTAGAACCACATCCTTTTTAGCATGGAATTTCTTTTTCTTTTGAGAGTGGTCTGGGAACCACCGGCGGCACAAGCATTTAGAACTGCTGTTAAAATTACCAATTGCTGGGCCCACTCCAGACCTACTGAGTCAGAATCCCTGGGGTGGGATCCAAGATTTTACATTTTTAACCAGCTCCCTAGGAAATTCTTATATTACAACCAGGTTTGCGAAACCCTGATTTATGAATATGCTAACTAACCAGATCCTAAGCCAATACCTAATCCTAGAGGATTTCGATGATTATCCACCATCATCTAGAAATGCATTTGTTTATTCCTAATTTTTGTTTTCTATGTGTTCATTTTCTGTCTACTTCAACACGTTTTCTTCTCTTCATTTTTCATCACATGAAAGGTCAATTTTTTAAAAAAGTACTCTTGGTACAGAATATTTTCAAAGCCTTTGTCTGAACAAGAGAAGAAGTTGCAAAATTCTGAGCAAGCACCAGGAAAAATCATCTTTGATCAGTTGGTTGTAACCTACAACATGCTACAGAAGGGCCAGACGAAACCGGGAGCTTAGGCCTGGGGGTGATCAGCCAGGAACACCCAGTCCTAGCAGACCAGGCTCCTAGAACTTTCAGCCAATAAAGCTTATGGTCGCCCCCCGCAAAAAAGGATAACCTAAATAAGTTATTTCAGTGGTTATTCTTTACTAAGAAATGCATATATTCTCTCAAAAATGTGATACTTGGGTTAGTCAGGTATTTTCCATATAGAAACCACACTCTCCGTTCCTCAAAGTGTTGTCCTTGCACTTTTAACTTTTTAAACTTATTAACAAATTTTTATATTAAAATATTTAATTGTGGCTGGGCACAGTGGCTTACACCTGAAATCTCAGCACTCTGGGAGGCTGAGGCGGGAGGATCACCTGAGGTCAGGAATTAAAGACCAGCCTGGTCAACATGGTGAAACCCTGTCTCTACTAAAAATACAAAAATTAGCAGCTGGGCATGGTGCTCATGCCTGTAATCCCAGCACTCTGGGAGGCCGAGGTGGGCAGATCACGAGGTCAGGAGATTGAGACCATCCTGGCTAACATGGTGAAACCCCGTCTCTACTAAAAATACAAAAAAACTAGCCAGGGGTGGTGGCGGGTGCCTGTAGCCCCAGCTACTTAGGAGGCTGAGGCAGGAGAATAGGGTGAACCTGGGAGGCAGAGCTTGCAGTGAGCCGAGATGGTGCCACTGCACTCCAGCCAGGGCGACAGAGTGAGACTCTGTCTCAAAAAACAAAAAACAAACAAAAAAATTAGCCAGGCGTGGTGGTGTGCGCCTGTAATCCTAGCTACTCAGGAGGCTGAGGTAGGAGAATGGCTTGAACCCAGGAGGTAGAGGTTACAGTAAGCTGAGACCACATCATTGCCTAGCCTGGGCAACAAGAGTAAAACTCCGTCTCAAGAAAAAAAAAAAAATTAAATTGACAGATAAAAGTAGTGTATATAATTCAAGGTATACAATGTGATCACCTGACATATGTATATATTGTGTAAAGATGATCACAATAAAATTAACGTGTCTGTCACTACCCATAGTTATCATGTTCTGTGAGTTTGTATACATGTACAGTTAAGACACTTAAAATCTGCTCTCTCATCAAATTTCAAGTAAGCAGTGCAGCATTATGAATAGTCACCATGCTGTACACTAGGTCCCCAGAACGTATCCATCTTATAACTGAAAGTTTGTACCCTTAACCAACAGCTCCCCCTTTGAATTTAGTGATTCTCTCCTTTGTGGAGAGAATCAGAGGGCTTCAGATGGAAGTGACTCACAAATCCAAATTCTTTAGGTTTCTTATGGAAAGAAATCATACTGGTAACAGACCAGATTTTCAGCAATGTTGCCAGTTAAATGATGGGTTTTGGTCAACAGCTCCAAAATTGATGTTGCCACTGACTCTGTTTCATGTGCAGCTTCCAACATTGCCAATTCAAAAGATATGTTGATCCTTTCAATGTAAGAACTCATGCAAACTTACATGTAGGCTCTTTCTATGGTAATACGATATGGGGAGTAGAGAAGTGGCCAAGAACAAGGGCTTTAGAGCCAAACTACCTGGATTTGATCCTGGTCACTCTCTGTGTTTCAGTTTCCCCCACTACATAAATGAGGGTAATAACCTACCACACAGACCTGTGTATAAGATGGGTTATACACTTAAAATAAATGGTTAAATAATGTCTCATGCACTAGAAGAGGCCAAGACTTGAAAGTTGTTATCATTCTTCTGAAATTCTGGAGTGTATTCTTGGCACTGTTATAAAGCTTTGGTTGAGCTGCTCTGTACTTAACCACTTCCTCTTTTTGTTTTCTTATCTTGAAACGCATCATACATAACAAAAGAATGGACATAATTAATGTATATGTACCTTGTAGAGAATAACAGTAAAATAAATATTTGTGTACCCAAACAGCGTAAGGTACAAAGTTATAACAATAAATGTCCAGAGCCACTGTGCTCTTCAATTATCTCATCAAACCCCCTTCACCATCCTAATTGGTGTTTTTGTCATTCTTTTGCTTTTCTTTATAGTTTTACTATATATTTGTTCATCACTATTTTTAAAGAAACTTTGCAAGTTGCTCAAAAATTCTCTTATGGCCTATTTTCTTGTTTACACTCCCCATCTGCCACCTTTTTTAGGCTTCCCTGCTCTCCTCAACCAGGGAACTGCTGCAGATTTAGAAAGATGTTTTAGTCTCCACATTGGCCAAACTGCTTTTCTTCACTGATTAGTTTTTGAAGTCTTCCCCCACACTTCCCCCACCCTTCCCCAAGACCTCATCATTGTGATCCTGGGTAGCTAATGATAAATGATTTTAAAGTTTCCAGGTTTTCTTTTAATATCTATACTTCCTATTTTTTTTCCTAAAAGCTGAATTTTACTGCATTTTCTCTTAAATCTGTCAAAACACGGGGTAGAGTTCTCTGGTTTTGCTGAATTCACTGGAATGGTCCAGCTTCCGGCCAGGGACTGTCCTCTGCAGCACACTATTTCATCCATAGATAATGTCCGGGGTGTTTTCTACTTACTGGGGCCAAAATGTGCTGAACTTTTTGGGTTCTGAGTTTCATGTTTCAGAAACAATCATATGACCTACGTACATGCCTTACTCCAGCCAAGAGGACTTTTCTCAAACCCTGGATCACTAAAATTCCATTTTCACAGCCTTATCTAATTTTTCAGGTGCATTTACAGATAATGCCCCACATCACTAGGTCTGGCCCAGTGCCCCACGGTGTGGTCCTGATGTTGGCCCAAATTACTGAGGAAAGGGAATTTCCACATTCCTAGCTTGTTCCTTTATGCTCTTCATCCTGTGTAAGAACCAGTGTAAAACAATATTTTACAAACATAAAAGGGACCTTTGAAACTTATTTGATGTGTTAGCCTGCCAAAGGCAAAGTCATCACGAAGTGGACCGAATGAGGTTGTGGTTAAACTTCCTCAATTTTCTCTTCTAAATTAAAATCTAGTGCCAGACACCAAAAGGTTTCCTCTTCCTGTCCCTCTTTTATTAAGTAGTTACAATGGCAATTAAAAAGACCCCTTTGGTCATTCCACACTACTCTCTACTCCAACCACTTCCTATAATCTAATGATGCTATCTTGGCAAACTAATATTATAAAGATTTTTTATTAAAATAAATAGGTTTTAGAAGAAACACTCAATCAAGTATCTCAGTGGATGTGTTTCCTGCAAAGGCAATGGCAGCACAGAAATTAAAAACTAATTCATCCTTCTAGACAGCTGCCCACCTTGCTCAATAAAGACTCTACTATTCATTCCTTATGGCCATTGATTTTTGCAAGTAATAACAGAGGTTGAGAAGAAAAGCGTAAGCTTTTTTACAGATGGATGTTTCTATCATTTGCCAACAGCTTCTGCATTGTCTATGTAATGGGGAAAATGTAAAAATTTATCTTGTGCTAAAAGGATAACTATTTCAGAGTAAAAGTAATGCTTTTGGGCAATAAAGATAACTATTTCAGTGTATTATATTTTCTTTTGGGCTATGAAGTCAGATGATGACTGATTTAAACCACACAAATATCAACAGTTAGACTATTCTATTTGTCTCCTCTTTAAGAAAAAAAAAAGTTTCAGAGAAGAGTTTGCATAATCCCAACCCTAACTCTTCAGCCACTATATAAAGTATCTTAAATAACTATGACTTAGAGATACTGGAAAAATATTTGGATTCCTCTGATTTATGATTTTTACATGCAATGTTATAGAGAACACTTCAAAAAATCAGCTGTTGATGTATACGTGATGCTCTGACCCCAAGATACAATCAATATTATTTAATGGAGACTAATTTACCCACACGGCAGACCCTTCTTAAACAGGGTATATCCAGAAGTTATTGGGCTAAGTGCGGCAAGAATGCATGAGTCAGCTGGTGGTTAGCACCCAACTGAGCAGCCCTGGGCCAGATTAGGATGGATACAGCAGATGAAAGAACATGACAGGTTCATGCTCAGTTTTCATTTGAAATGCATATGCCACAAAGATGTCGCTTCTTTCACAATGGTGGAGCAAACTCTCCATGTTGGAAATGACAAAGAAGGGACAAAAGAAAGATAACATGAGGACCTTCTAAGCCATCAGAATATCAGGAAACAGAAGCAGACATAACCATCTACTTGGTGCCTCCATTCCACAGAATCCTCCAAAAGGAAGTCAAGAAAGTCCATCGTTGCCACAGAGTCCTGAGCAATAATTCACCACTACTGGCAACATCTGATTAGATGAGCTGCTTACTAATCTCAGCCACTGTGGTCTTGCAGAATTGCAGCTTATCTAGCTTTCCCGTGCTTATGTGATCCAAGGAACCTGATGATGGCTGCATAACACAGGCAAAAAACAGATGGGGAATAAGTTCAAGGTCTATTCTCTGGGACTGTCACCTTTACCAAAGGTGTCTGATCCCACTGGTGGACCTCCATTCTGGGTCCCTGATAAGTTTATCTGCTGATAAAAGTCCCTACATGTACCACCTACTCTTTTCCTTGATGAGGAAGCCAGGAGTGGCAAAAATGACTGAACCAACAATGTCTCCAATGTGCCTGCAGTAGAGCCCCAGGGTGGCTCTCTTGTGTTCAATCTATTTTATACAATCATTTTTAAAAACACAAAAATAGACTTGTAGGCTGGGAGAACTATCCATCTAGTCCTTTGGGAGAGTCTCTCAAGTTAACAGGCTACCATTGTCATGAAAAGGCCTCATGACCAGCCATTCAAGGGCTGCCTGCCCACAACTGCTCTGAAAGACACCCATATTCCAGATACTAGAAACACTCTGCTGCGACTGGTACCCGACAAACCAACAATGAGCAATGAGAAGCTGAAGTTTAACATGTTAGCCAATGCCAGGGAACACTGCAAGTAACCAAAGGGCTTCATCGGGGAAAGAGAACTGAAAGCTTTGCCTGAATTCTGCTTCACAGTCCAATGTGTTCACTGGGCATAAAATAGTAAGGGCTAGGTAATATGTTCTTTGGGAGTGTGATAGGCAGAGTTCAGCATCATGAAGACCTCACAAAATTCAAATCAAACAAAAGGGCAGAGTCATGCTTTCTTGGCAGTTGGAGACTGAGAGGTGACATGAATGTCGCATGTTGCTCCTGAGGCATTTTAATCAGTGTCCCCTATGAACTTCCTTTAGCACTGAATAGAAAGGAAAGAGATTCTGAAACAGAGCCAATCTGACAACACTGCAACACTCAGTGTATTTGCTGAGCCCAAACTGCTGAGAACATGTGGTGGTTGGATGGAAACCAGACAGTTAAGCAACGGTCGGGTGAGATGCTGAATGGAAATGAATATAAGCTGGGTGGGTGGACAAAATCCTCTAAGGGCACAATGGCACAGCTTCCATTGCCATGGCCCAGCCATCAGGTGTGGGGGAAAGCAACAGTTGGACGATCTTAGCCAGTGGAAATGAGACAGCTTCTTTGAGTGGACTCTTTGAAGCCTTCAAGGAAAACAGCAGGCAGCTTTGGCCCATGAGCAATAGGCTCTAGAGACAGAGAGTGGTGAAATAACAAGCCAAAGAATAATTTACATGAGCATGGAAGGTCCTGGCTGTCAAATTGCTTGGGTGAGCCACACAGAGTTCACGTGTTTGACGACAGAATCAGATTCAGAAAGATCTCGGTTAAGCTGGATGGACCAACCCAGCAAAATGAAATGTAATAGAGATAAATGGGTATTATATGTAGGTCCAATGATGAAACTCCAAGAACATATATATGAGTGGCAGCTTAGCAGCCCTGTGTGTCTAAAACTTAGAAGTTATAGTTGGGAGCCATCAAAGAAGCAAGTTGATGAAAAATTAATTTGATTAATAATGTAAAACAAAGAAGGAGACAACCCTGTTTACAGACCAAAGGCTCCAGATGTCATCCATTAGGAAGGTGTTCAAAGAAGAGGAATACAGGAAGTCACTGACAGCATTTATTCCGGGGGTGTGAGAACTCAAGGACATAAAGGCTTACATTTTAAAGGGTTATGATGTGGACAAGAGATTGAAGTTATTCTATAAGCCTATTATGGATAAAATGAGAAGCAATGATGGACACTACAGTTCAATCATTCATTCAACAAATATGTTAAGCTCCTACGATGTGTCAGCCATTGTGCTAGGCAGCCCGATTGGCAGTTAAGGAAAACTTTCGCAATACTCAAGCTTTCCAGAAATAAACAGGGCTACCTTCTGGACACAATTCACACATGGTTGCTGAAGAGAGTAAGGCAAAAGTTGAAATTTCAGTCTTAGACTGGTTGGAAATGGAATGCATGCATCTTAAGCTCCCCACCTCAGAGAGGTTTACAATCATCTGTGAGTTACACTATGTACCTCTCTTTTTCAGTTCTTCCACATTTCAAGAGAGATGCTAACCAACTCCACATGGTGTTCAGTAGAAAGCAG
Source organism: Homo sapiens (assembly GCF_000001405.40). Lineage (NCBI taxonomy): Eukaryota > Metazoa > Chordata > Mammalia > Primates > Hominidae > Homo > Homo sapiens. The sequence continues at coordinate 99,866,270 of NC_000002.12, forward strand.
CCAAAGCCAACATTGGCAAATTTAAATTGAAATGAATGGCATTTTAAAGAGAATACTGGGTTTCCCATAGACTCTCCAGGAGACCTGCAAAAATAGGCTTGAAGACCTCATCATCAGAAAAAAAGCCCAGCCATGCACTGCAGAGCTGGTCTGGGACGACGCCTCTGCAGCGAACCATGAGCTCACATCACTGTCAAGGGACGCTGGATGGTGCTACAGGAAAACAGCAGCCTGGAAACCAGAAGAAACTGCCACCATCATCACCCTCCTCACTGGAAGGGATTCCAATCATTCTCCAGGTCTTTGTGTCACCAGCCTCCACAAGAAAGTCTGGTGAGGCTGAATCAGACTGGAAGAGTCTGGGTCACGCTGGGTCATGGCTCTAAGTCCTGGCTTCAAGGCGGGATAAAAAATCAAGCACTGGCGGTCGGGCGTGGTGGCTCACGCTTGTAATTCCAGCACTTTGGGAGGCCGAGGCAGGCGGATCACCTGAGGTCAGGAGTTCGAGACCAGCCTGGCCAACATGGTGAAACCCTATATCTACTAAAAATACAAAATTAGCTGGGTGTGGTGGCACGCACCTCTAATCCCAGCTACTTGGGAGGCTGAGGCAGGAGAATCACTTGAACTGGGGAGGTGGAGGTTGCAGTGAGCTGAGATCACACCACTGCACTCCAGCCTGGGTAACACAGCATAATAATAATAATAATAATAATAATAATAATAATAATAAAAAATAAATAAAATAAAAATAAAAAATAAAAAAAACAAGCACTGGCATTTTCAGTTTCTATAGGTGGGCCCTGCCTCACAAGAAAGGGGATTCTATGAGTACACTAGATGCTGAGTTTCAACACCTTAACAAAGACCAAAAACATTCAACATAAGGTGTAGCCATTCTTCTCCCACTACTCATTTAACAAAGCCCAACACTTGAAGACAAAAGGTGAGAAAATTAAAGTTAGCAACATAACTTCCCTAACTTGATGAATAGCATTTGCTTCGAAGGATCCTTCTTTAGGAAGAATTCTGATGGTCACAGTCACTCACAAATGGGGTTGACATTGACTGGGAATTGTCCCAGTGGGTTTGAGATAAGGCGGCTCTCCCCTGAATGGAACTGACAGGAGGACAAGCTGAGGAGAAACCAGGAGTTTCAGCTTGTATTACGGCAGATGAGTTTTCAGGTCATTCTGCTGGGAAACTAAGTGACCAGGAATAACTTCCTAGTATCACAGGAGTAAGAGAAACCTCCAGCAGTCAAGAAATCCACCACACAGTCTCCCCAAGGCCTATATTTCTATATTAAAAAAAAAAAAAAAAACATAGCTGGCAGCCCCCTTTCTCCAAAAGCCTTGAGAGAAAGTCATTTGATAAGTGAGAACTGCAGGTGTTCGGAATGTTCCTTGCTAATGTCTTGTTCTTTCTCTCCATATCCCCCCAATCCCCGGGAGTGAAAGCAGAGTGGAGTGGAGGGGCTCACCATCTCTTCCATCCATTTCCCTGTGGTTTCCAGAAGACAGTGCTGAGGTCAGAGCCAGGATAACCTCTCTGGCTACACAGTGACGCATCCACTGGGGCATTCCAGACTCTGGGTGACACTTCATTACGCCAGACTTCCTCCAGGAAGTGTGAGCAGGCTAATCACGCCCCTGGGCGAGGCGGGCACGTGGAGGGAGAGATTAGCGTTCCCCCACAGCTGTCAAGCTGGGCCCCTCTCATTAACACCCACGACTCTCTTTCTTTCCTTTTTTTTTTTTTTTAGGTCCTTTGACGGCAGCTCGTGTACTTGAAGTATGTCACTGAAAAACGCACAGATGGGATCTACCAGATCATGAGAATGCTTTCACAGCTTTTGAAAGAGTGCTGGGTTTCTTTCCTTCAGAAGAAAAAAGAAATGCTGTATTCTCAGGTCTACCCATTTTCCACTCTCTTCCTGCTTTAGAAATAAACTATTGCAGAAGCCAATGTAGTAATAACCAACAGGGCAATAACTAAAATCTAGATCTTTTGATTTTTTTTTAATGCTAAAGTAGCTAATTGTATCTGCTAATCATGTCTTCATAGTTCACAGAGAGGGTACAGCATCTGAAATATATTCAACATTAGCTGCAACCTACTGAAATCCAACATCAGGCCGGGAGGGGAGACAGCAGGCCAGGCGAGCGAGTGTCTGACAGATTGTGCCCTGAGGGAAGATGTGTCCCAAAGCAGGAGGAAGTTGCTCAGGGAAGGGATCTTTTATCTTGCTATAAAAGTTCTGGACAAGGGTCTGGGTGCTTTAACATGGAAGCAGTAAGACAATGAGGCCTGGAGGAAGAGGACCAAGAACTGTGAGTCTGTCTCGGATGATCCAGAGGCTTTTTGAGCATTTTAACCAGTATCATCTATGATCCTCTGAACAATATCAAAGAGGAAAAGAGGATAAGGTTACTATTCTCTGGGTGGTCACTGTGTTCTCTTTTGTATGAAGCTGTCTCTTTGTGCATAGAAGAAAAGGAGCTATGCCAAGGCCCAACAGTCCTATTATTTTCTGTTTTAGAGATAGGGTCTCGCTCTGTCACCCAGGCTGGAGTGCAGTGGTTTGATCACGGCTCACTGCAGACTCGACCTTGTGGGCTCAAGCGATCCTCTGGCCTCAGCTTCCTGAGTAGCTGGGACTACTGATGTGCACCACTGTGCATGGCTAACATTTTTATTTTTTGTAGAGATGGTCTCGCTTTGTTGCCCTGGCTGGTCTCGAACTCCTGGCCTCAAGTGATCCCTCTGCCTCTGCCTCTGCCTCCCAAAGTGCTAGGATTACAGGTGTGAGCCACCGTGCCCAGCAAACAGTCCTATTTTTAATATAAGTTCCTAGTTCTGGACTTCCAGGTGGCACCTGCCACACCTACTGCACCCAGTCAGCTTAGGGCTTTCACCAAAAAAATCTGACACCAAGAAAAGCGGGTCCCCAGGAAGCGGTAAACTACAAGAAATGGACGGGATTTGCAATCTTCCCAGAAAATACCCAACAGCATTTATCTGTAAAGACTTTGCTGCTGATAATATTACAGTACTTCTTAAATCTCAGCAAAGGCCTTCCATAAAAAGAAGGCATTCACTCAATAAACATTTACTCAGCACCTTCTATGCCCATGTGTCAGCTGTAGAGCTGGAGGGTGGGGGTGGGAAGAGAGGAGGGAATCTAAGATGATTTGATAGGCTCGCTACTGCATAGAACCCCATCATTTAAAATGCCACTAATACAATCTTGGAAATTATGAAGTTTGGGGACTTCACAGGACTTTGACTGATAAGTAATATTGAAAAATAATTACTCAAACATGCCCATTTATCTCCAGCCCAGTACAGCCACTATTGTGCGTCCTTTCAAGGGACATCAGGGCAGCAGCACAGCTTACCCTGGGGTCCCCCTGGGCACCCCAGCATAAGCAGTGATGTGCTAGACAGCCACCAAAACCAAAGTATAACTACAAAACCTTGTTCCAAAGGGTTCTGGGGGAGATTCAGGGGGAAAAGTTACATATTCTTAAAATTTTGATCACTGGTGGATGCACTCAAAATCCTGCTCTTCTCTGGGAGCGATTTTCATGCTGTTCCTGAAAGCTCAGAAAGAATAGGAAAATTTTATGTTCAGTGATAGATGGGCTAGACAATGGGAAACCTGCACTGAACCAGACACAAAGGACCTAGCAGAGGTGACGCCTGCCAGGGCTGTGCACCTGTGTTTCCTTAACATCTGCTGGGACCCCATTAGTAAGTTTCTATGAAAATGAATTAGACTGTGTGCCTTCTGGTCTTGCGGGTCAGTCTCTTACCTCAACACCAGTGTCTGAACTGAACAGAGCTTGGCAGATTCTGATTCCCCCTCCAACCTCTGCCCCAGCCTTAGCCTCTGCACCATCTTCTTGGCTCTGCTCTGGTGTCAGGAGCAGCAAACAGTGCAGTCTGCAGTTAGCACCTTGTCACTGCTCAGCCATAAGCCCCTAGACGTGACAGAATTACTCCTCTGAGATTGAGGCTGTAGTTGGCTATCTGGACAACCTGCATCAACTTCCTACACCCACAACCCTCTGGACCTAGATTTCTACCCTGACTCTGCAGCCACGTAGGCCCCTTCCCCACAGCAGGTGGAGGAGAGGGCAAGGTCATGTCTGCCCTCTTCCATCATGTGTGAAACTGGCTGAGAAAAGCGGGGTTGTACCCTCAGCATCCTAGCTCTGAGAAGAACCTGCACCAGCCCTGCTGGATCTACCCATGCAGACCCCACCCCTGTGATCTCCTGGAGAGCTACTTCCTAGATAAGGAGGTAAAACTCATGGAGAAGATGGGTGCCCACCTGACAATCCTCTGCAGGCCAGCAGGCCCCCTGGCAGGCTGGGCAAGTTCCCCCAAGAAAATAATTGAAGGCACTTTGTAACCATCTTGGACCCTTCTCTCTTAAGCTGTGGAAAAAGTGCAGACAATATAGCTTTTTGTTGGAAAAAAACAGCAACCATAAGAAACAGAATTTGACAATTTATCAACTACACCAAGAAGCCACTCTGTGGTCCCTCAAATTGATTTAAATACCATAATATGTCATTTAAAATGTGGACTCTGGAACTGGGCTGCCTGAGTTCAAGCCTCTTTGTATCTCAGTTTGTTCTCCTATAAAATAGGCAATATAAGATTATTCTCCTCATAGGCATTTTGTAATTACAGATTGCACATCCCTAATCTGAAAATCTGAAATCCAAAATGCTCCAAAATCTGAAACTATTTGAACACCAACATGACACACAAGGTGAAAATTCTACACACAAGCATTAACACAAACTTTGTTTTGTGCACAAAACTACTAAAATATTGTATAAATCACCTTCAGACTATGTGTACAGGCATATATGAAACATAAATGAATTTCATGTATAGACTCAGGAACCATCCCCAAGATATCTCATTATGTCTATGCAAATATTCCAAAATTCAAAAAATATATAAAGTCAGAAACACTTCTGGTCCCAAGCATTTCGGGTAAGGGATACTCAATTGGTTTCGGATGGACAGCAAAGTGCCTGGCATCTACTGAGTGCTCATCTAACCAAGTAAATATGAGCTATCATTATTTCTATTAAATATTTATTTAAATCACGGAACTATGCTTGGTTCTATTTCTCACCTCAATGAATTCTCTATGATCCATCGCGAAAATAGATTAAAAACCCAGATAAGGTGATAAAATTACTGTTCACCTAAGGAAAGGCTCATAAAACTGGCTTATTTTGCAGATGTTTCTTCAAGGCTGACTCTTAACAACTAATCGAAGGCCGTATTGTGAACATTGTTACTACACATGGAAAATATATTTTGAGAAATAAATGATAAAAGTTGTAATGTGAACCCTGAAATCATAACAATTAACTTTAAAAACTCTGTCACATTAAAATCTACTGGTCTTAGACACTGGGGACTCCAAAACATGGGAGGAATGGAGGGGGAAAAGGGTCCAAAAACTACCTGTCAGGTGCTATGTTCACTACCTGGGTGATGGGTTTAGTTGCAACCCACACAATACATGACAAAGCCCTCAGTATCACACAATACATCTATGTAACAAATTTGTACATGCATCCTGCCCTCCCAAATCTAAAATAAATATAAAAAGGGAAAAGTGGGCCAGGTGCGGTGGCTCATGCCTGTAATCCCAGCACTTTGGGAGGCTGAGGTGGGTGGATCATGAGGTCAGGAGATCAAGACCATCCTGGTAACATGGTAAAACCCCATCTCTACTAAAAATACAAAAAATTAGCCAGTCGTGGTGGTGGGCGCCTGTAGTCCCAGCTACTCGGGAGGCTGAGGCAGGAGAATGGCATGAACCCGGGAGGTGGAGGTTGCAGTGAGCCGAGATCGCGCCACTGCACTCTCCAGCCTGGGCAACACAGCGAGACTCCATCTCAAAAAAAAAAAAAAAAAAAAAAAAAGGGAAAACGGCACATGGCAAGAACATCTCTAATTAGTGATCACCGTAGAAATGCCTTAAGAACTTGATCCATATATGTGCTTTTGCCTCTGAGTCCAAACCTATTTGTCTAAATACCACATTTTGGGAGTTTGGGGGAACAGATTTCAAACGATGTGGAGACAAGCACTGAGAAAGACCACCACAGAGCGAAGGGGATCTATACACACAGACAGGCAAGCACAGTGTTGTCTCTGCCTAGGAACAATCCCTCCAACCCGAGGAGAAATCCTAGGTCTCATTTTAAAAATATCCTTCAGAAAAGAAATACCTCTTCAACCCACACAGTTCCCAATGAAGTCCTATGCAAAAATGCTTCTTACAAAAATAAAATAAAATAAAATAAAATAAAATAAAATAAAATAAAATAAAATAAAATTTATCGGTCTATCTTGAGCTCTAAATGAATCTTTTACACATGAATAATTTTTTAACATCATGCATCGGTCATTTAGAAAATCTTGGTTCACTGAGTTGTACTGATTTTGCAATATAACATCGTTCATTATACGACATTTAAAAAGCCCACATTCATTAACATTACCACTGATCTCATCAAAAAAATTCTTTAAGTATTTAAGTTAAAGTAGTTGTCAAACTCCTGGTGGCAGATACAAGTTTTCTAAGTTCTAATTTTTGCTTAAAAGCTCAAATTTTATCATTAACAACAAACACTGTCAGTTGTTTTCCTTGAAGTGACAAGTTCACTCCATTCATTTCTGGGAAAAGGTCTGTCAAATACTCAAGTTTGAAAATCATAGTCTGTCTCTTACCCATTCTTTAAAGTGAAATAGTGTTTCGTGAATAAACGTAGCTTTTCTCAAGACAACCATCCTACCTGAACAGGCAGAAGCGCCTTGCACATATTTCATATTTATAGAGTATTAGAAAGCACATACTCCACTGTTGAGATTTAATAAAATTGGTAACGTTTGTTACTTCATCAAGGACATTCTTAAGTGAAACTGGCATTTTTTAAAAACTGGGTGTTCGTGGCAGAAAAGAACAAAATGACTGCTAATAGCGTTTGGTAGCACCGCTTTGATTCCTGCTAAGTTGCCTGCAGTACTGTCATCCATTGTTTTTACATCTATCTAATGTATTATCAACACAGTGAAAAAAGACAAACAACATTTTTGTATTATTATGAAGATAGTTTTGATCTTGGGTATGCATTGTAGGCATCACTGGGCTTTCAAAGACTCTACCTGGAAAATCACTGCCTTAGGTAGACTCCTTCACCTCTGCATGCCTCAGTATTCTCATCTGTAAAATGGAGAGGATTCGCAGTACATGTCCTGCAGGGATGTGGTGAGGACTAACTGGAATAAATCATGTAAACAATGAAGAACAAAGCTGGCCTATGGAGATGCCATCTATGGACTGGCTATAAGGAGATCAGACATCATTTGAGGCTCTTGGTTAATCCAGGTGTGACAAAAATCACCATCTTAGTGGTTTTTTTTTTTTTTTTAAAGAGCATTTATCAGCTATCTCCACTGCATTTATCAATTATGTCCACTGAGAACATTCCTGGTTATTTTCCTGAGATTGTTAGAGACACCAACAGGTCAGAGACTCTTTCAAATGCCAAAACAACTAGACTTCTCTTTAAGAAGCTGGGCCGGGCGCGGTGGCTCACGCCTGTAATCTCAGTACTTTGGGAGGCCGAGGTGGGCAGATCACGAGGTCAGGAGATCGAGACCATCCTGGATAACAAGGTGAAACCCCGTCTCTACTAAAAATAGAAAAAAAAATTAGCCGGGCGTGGTGGTGGACGCCTGCAGTCCCAGCTACTCGGGAGGCTGAGGCAGGAGAATAGCGTGAACCCGGGAGGTGGAGCTTACAGTGAGTCGAGATCGCGCCACTGCACTCCAGCCTGGGCGATAGAGCTAGACTCCGTCTCAAAAAAAACAAAAAACTCTACTCACTGTAATTTCCCCTGATGTGGCCTGAGAACATTACCTAGCCCACTTCTGCAGACTTCAGAGCATGTCTTCTTAGGGGCTGTCGCTCAAAAACACTGGAGGAAAAAGGTGGATGTTTATATTCATGTCCTTTTGTGTGTCTGTGTTCTCAAAATATTGTGACACCAAGAGACAGAAGAGAAATTGCCTGGTCCCTGAACCTGATGTGCAATGTCAGTTCTCTTTGGTTCAACGTGGTTTTCAAAAACGGACAGACTCTAAACAAAGGTATCTGTCCCTTTAGTCAACGAGACAGGGAACTGATTTGGGGGGTTGTTTTTTCCTAATGATACTAGGTTGAATTTTTAAAAATTAAAGCAGATGTGGATATATTAGGAAGTAAAATAAAAACTTGTGTGATTTTTTTAAGACAATTTTTTTTTTGACTAAAGAAACAGAACTTACTGAAATGTATGATTCTGGATCACAGGGCAGAAGGTTGGGGCATGGGAAGAGCTACAAGAATCTTCATTAAGAAAACTGGTGAAATGTGAATATATTCTGTGGATTATATAATAGTATTATATCGAAGTTAAATTTCCTGAATCTGAATGATTGTCTGTGTTTATGTAAGAGCTTGTCCTTGTTCTTAGGAAATACATTGAAATATTTAGCAGTAAAGGGGCATGATGTCTGCAAGTTACTCAAAAATGATTAGGAAAAAAACATTAGAGTGAGACACGGAGAAAAAGAAGTAAATATGGTAAAATGTTTAAAATTGTGGAATCTGAACAAAGCGTACATAGGAATTATTTGTATTATGCTTGTAACTTTTCTGTAAGTTTGAAATCATAAAATAATCAAAATAGAAAGTTTTAAAATGTCATTTAAAAAAAGGACAAGACATTCTTTTGAGTTTCTTGTGTCACTTATTAATGACAGTGCTCCCCAGGCAATTTGCTCCCTGCTTATCTGTTTGGCCTTGTCCTGTACCATCTCCTTGTCCAGCTCAGAGCACTGCAACCTCTGGGCCCTTGTCTCTGACCCTCAAGTGGGCCCCGATCTGCCCCCGAGGCCTGTGGTTCTGGGTGCTCCCTAGTCCTGACCACTCTCCAGGCTCTCCTCCTCCAGGGCTGCCTGTTATCACCACCTCAGAGGCCTTTCCTGATCCTCCTATTTAAAGGAGTCCCCTCACTTCCACTTCTGTCACTCTTTATAACCACTTCTATTTTATTTATCTTTCAAATAATATTACCACTGCCCAAAATTGCTTTATTTACAGTTATCTATCTTCCTCCAACGGATTATTCTCCATCTGGGTAGAGACCTTGCATTTTTGGTCGCTACCACTTGTGCTTGGAACATTGTAGGCACGCACTAGATATCTGTTAGCTGAATGAATGAACAGATGTCCCCAGGATCTGGCAGTGGGCATTCAAGCTCTTCCTCCACCAGGGGTACCGGGCATGGCAAGTACTCAATATAGATGTGTTGATTGAATGACAATATGTGAATGAGTGGATAAATTAGAGAAAGTTTCTAATTCTAAAAAGGACTAGTTCTGGAAGGCCGGTGAGCTCAGGGATTATACAGAGAAACCCACATGCAGCCTGGCTCAATATGGTCTCCCAGGCATGCACTTTGACATTTACCCTCCAAACAGCCCCAGTCTGGCTTTTGTTCCATTGCTCCACAAAAGCCGTCCCTGCGAAGGCCATTCACGATCTGCATGTTGCTGAATCCAACAGGCTTTTCCATCTTTCCCTTCCATGTCACTCTAAGCAGCACTTGACAGAGTGGGCCCCTCCCTCCTCCTTCAGTGACTATTCCTCAGGCTTCTATGGCACTGGCGACTTCCAGTTTTTTCCTGATTCTCACTCTCCTCTGCCAGCTCCTCTCCAATCACTTAAGATCCCTAGGGGTTACAAAGAACCCAGTCCTGGGCCTCCTCCACTTCTCACTCCATGCTCATTCCCTAGGACATGCTATGAATCCCGGTGGCTTTGAAGACCATTTGTATTCTAAGTTGAGTCCTGAATGTGCATCTCCAGCCCAGATTTGCTGGCTGACCTCCAGGTACCTTTATCCAACCGCCTAGCTGATACAACCATTTGGATATCTCACAGAAATCTCAAAATGTCTCAAGCTGAACTCTTGATCTTTGCTGCTAAACTTCTCCTTTTTCCATCCTTCCCGCCTCAGGGAACATCCACCTTATAAACCCCCTGGATCTGTCCCTCTCACATTCACTTCATCAGTAAGTCAGGACAATTCTGCCTCCAAAAGATATCACACATCTACGATACCCCGATCCATCTCCAGTGCTGTCACTGTATCCTAAGGTACCATCACCTCTCCCCCGGCCTGTGTCCCACTTTCCATTCTCGCTCAACTCCACTCTTTACATAGAACCCAGAGGAGTCTCTGTAAAAGAGGAATCAGATCATGTCATTCCCCTGCTTGAGATTCTCCAACGGCTTTCCATGGCCAGTAGAATAAAAACAAAAATTCTTAACATAGCCTAAGTGGTCCTATACGATCTAGTGCCTCCGCACCCTCATGCCAAAATACTTTCTCTTGGCTCACGAAGCTCTAGTAACATGGATCTTCCCTCAGTTTCCCTAAAATATAAAGACTTCTCCTACCCCAAGTCCTCTGCACATGCTGTTTCTCAACCTGGAACGTATTTCCTCCAGCTTTTCAGCTCTCTAAGTCATCCACAGGCTCTCATTCATATTGAAAGGTTTTAAGAAGGAAAATTGCTTAAAGTCGAGTTGGATTTTATAGTGGCAAAAGAGTAGAAACTGAATTGGAGTGTTGCTGGACATAAGGGCAGGTTGGTAGAGTGGGTGGAGGCTACTAACGCTGAGGGAGAGAGGAAGATAAGAAGGTCTAACCTAACAACATTTCCAGGACAGTGAGGAATACACAGATTCTTGGGAAATTCCTGTCTCCCACCATTCTTGGGAAACATTCCTTAAGGACAATCATGGGAATCAGCTGGACATGGTAGCCAGCATGGAAATGCTGAAGATGCCCTCTCAGTTTCTGGGTTGGATGAATGACTCGTCAAACAGTGAAGCCACTGAGAAGTGGGATTGAGGGGGAGATGTAATCGGTATGAAGGGCAGGAGGAAGATGATGAGCTCAGTTTGGGGCATGCATTTGGGATGCCAGGGGGCCTTCAGGTACAGATGTCTACCACCTGCTGTGATGGGGACTTGGGAAAATGCTAACAATTGGAATCACCACTATGAGAAATGAGACTGAAAGTGATTAGAAGCATGAAGAAAGAGGCTGTGAGGCCCATGGGTGGTGAAAGCCATTACAACTGATGGCAGCATAGACAGGGAACCTCCTTTATGACGAGACTGTCACTGGCACTTTATTAAAGACCATCATTCTATAGTCAGAAGTTCAGACCATGTTCACAAAACACATGAAGCCAGGATGATTATTTTTGGAATGCAATGAAAAGATTAAATGAAAACATAAAACTATTTTATGAGCATAATATACTACTTTGTTTAGAAAAATATATACTGCTTGTTTGTTACTAGTATGAAGGTTGCTAAATAGAGACTAGACACTATCTAGACTCTAGGTGTTAATTTTTTTCCATTCCAAAACAAAGTAATTCACAAAAACGTGCACTATTCATTCATGCAATAAGTATTACTAAGTCCCACTGTGGGCCAGATGCTATTCTAGGTGCTGGAGAGAGAGTAGTAAGAAGTACTGAAGGCACTAAAAAAATGCATGTTGGATGAACACATCAAATCAAATCACTCTATTATTACATCACACCCTCAACACTGCTCCCCAGTTCCACAGACATGATACTATCAGTCAGCTTACCTTGATTAGTAATCATTAAATGTTGCAGAAACACCTAACAGTTAAGTCCTATGTTGAAAAAAAATAGACATCCAATAAAATGCAAATTTGTGGTAAGCAGTAGGAGAAAACAAGAAGCGGAAAGAGGAAGGTTGCCTAACCTCGATGGCAATATTCTCTAGGTCATCCGTGAGCTTTGAGTTGTGAAGAAAAATCCAGGCAGGTCAATTTGACCTTGGAACAGAATTCTTTTGGTTGAATGTTAAGTGGCTAAATTACAACTTTGGGGAGAAACAGTTCTTGCAATGGAACGCTCTTCCCTGCCTGATTAGACTTAATCAGACTTTTTTGTACTTTAGGGTCAGGGAAAATTTTCAACCTGTAATCATGTACTTATTGGGACACACTAAGAGTTCATGATGGATTTTTAAACACCCAGAGCCTTCCAAATTAACTCAAAGTCTCATGATTTCTCCCTTTAATATGTTACTTTATAACAAGTAGATTTTAATAAAAATTAAGGGAAAAAAATTTCAGGTTTCTGCCAGGAGGCACTGACTTGTATTTCTTCCAAGTCTCATGCTCTCTGGGGGTATGCATCTACTGAATTCATAAAATAAAAACATAGTAAATGGTAAATGTAAATGTAAGAAGAGGTAAGACATTTCCATCAATTCCCTAAGAAAACTATCACCAAACTCTTGATTTGGAAATAATGAAGTCTCCCAAGTAAAAGTAAAAGGAGGGTTGGCTAGGGGATTCCCAATGCCTGCCAACAAAACCTGGTTTAGACTTTCTGTTTTAGAGCATTCTGGCCAATAAACTTCACAGAGATTTAAACAATAGCCCTTTGGATTCACTTTGGATTCCTTAAGTCCATGGACTGTCTTTCAAATATCTAAATGAAACTAGACAGAAGTTAGAAAAAAAACAACTAGATAACCCTAAGGCCACAAAATTAGGTAACTTCAGAGAGAAGATGTCAGAATTTTTTTATGTGCATCAAGTCTATACTCATGGGCAGCCCAGGAATCTGCGGGTAAGAAGCACTGAAGTGATAACTCATAGGGTTGAAAAAAATTCCGGAGCTGATCACGGTGAAGGAAACATAAAGCACGCAGTTCTAAAACTGTTTTCCAGATTGTATTCTTTAACAAAGATACCTATTATTTATGCTTTTGAAAAAAGTCAGTGACGTCCCTACACAGTTCATAATGAGTTCTGCAGATTCATGGAATTCCTTTCTTGAAATCATTTCCTTTCCCTGAACTTCTATGTTTATACCATCCATAGTATCACATCCATCTTCCAGCTTATTTAAATTCTGACTGTGAACAGGGACCATGTTTGTATCTTCTGGGCTGTGCTCATCAACTTCCTAGTAGCTCCATAAACGTGTATAACAACAATATTAATAATATTAATGAAGCACTACATTAAAAACTACAGCGTGTGTATCAGTATTTCTTCTATTTCCTTGAGGTACAGCAAGCAACCTTTGTAGAATTTCTCTATCACCTCGTGGGTAGGAGAATGAAAAGAGTTTCTCTGTCAAGATGATTTGGAGCTTTTGGATAGTTTGCTCCAAGTCAACAGGGTATAAAAGAATGGTCCTTATACTCTTGTGTATTTTGCCAAAGGCAGCAAAATAAATTAGTCATCATTTCACACGTGGCCAAGTTCACAAACCATCACATCTTGCCAACGTGCCCAAGGACCATATCTGTGCTCTGCGACCTAAATACAGAAACCCTAGTCTTAATGTCCACCACTTTCTTGAGTATTTTATGTCCTTTTTGATTACTATTAATGTCCATGGGAACAGATAAAGTAGCTACAAACTCTTTTAACAGGTATGAGTATCAGCTATCACTGTAACTTTCATTAAAATATAAAAACAGTTAAAAACCAAACAGAGCATCACTTTTTAATATTATCTAAAATAACAATAAAGGTGGTCAGATGGTTACGTGTTCATTTAATTGCTAATGAAGCCAGACCAATAAGTCAAAGCTGGATTCCCTGTAGAATATCGATTTGAAGTATTAGCAGCAAGGATCGTTTGGTAAGACAGATTTAAAATAGGAGTAAAGATTTTACTTTCCAAGGATTCATCTTTGAATTCTTGTGGGTGGTTGTTTTATTTCCAGCCTGCTAAAAACCATAATATCACCTGAAGCAAGCAGGCATGAGCCTGGAACGGGAGTGAAATGACAACGAAACATTTGTACATGTTATTAAAGCTAATGAAGCAAGACACGCACTGCCTGGTTTTGTGTCACGCGCCCCTGGAGAGCCCAACTGTGTTCTGGGGCTGGCTGTGGCATCTCCCCAGGATATGGCTCACCCTGAGGCCTCTGATTCAGCGGCAGAGCTGTTTTTCCCCTCGGGAAAGACCAAACAGACACCTGACCTTTTATAAAACCTCTAGGATGAATCACAAGTAAAGTTCTTTGGCATTCTGAGGTGGTGGGTGGAAATCAAGGCTTGACAGGCGGCCATGGGATGGGCAGCGTGGGCTGGCGCTATGGGCTATGCCATAGCGTGGAGAATCCCTCACACTAGGACCCCTGGCCTGCATGTCATCTGGCATCCAGAACTCCCACTCAATTTCCAAAAGGTGCTACCCACCCTGGAAAAAAATCTAGCCCACTGAGTAGCTGGGAAAATCCACAGCCAGGGAGACAGATGGCTCAGGAAGAAGCAATCTGGAATAATAGTGAGGGTGTGGGAGTTGGAGTGTAGGCTGGGCAAGGAGATCAGAGAGGAAAGAACGGGCATCTGTATGTGGCGACAGATGACGGAGTGCTGTTTGGGACGAGCAGTTGGAGGAGGCAAAGGAAATGGAAGTAATGTACTTATGCATAAGGGCTGTATCATAATTAGGAAAATTCCCCTTCTGTCTACCCCGCAAGTCCCACTTGGTTCAGATGGGGGCAGACAGCAGAGAGCACTTACTTCACGGAGGAAGCAGAGGCTACCCGCTATTCCAACAGGCTTTCTATTTCTGATAGAAACAAATCCAAACTGAGCTAATTTGTGTACAGCTGCAGGCAATATAAACACGGCTATTTAGAATTCTTTATAGAGTATAGGCCTTTGTACTCTATACTTCATGGAAGTTAATAAGTAGGTGTCAAACTCTGAATTAAAATTCCCAGAAGAGGACACAGCACAAAGGACAATAAAAATGATTTTTAAATAATCATAGGGATAAATAGCATCCACTTCTGACAAATGTAAGTGCTGGCATAAAATGTTATTAGGCTACAGAGATTGTCTTTTGTTCAGGAAGTATATTTTATTCTCCTGCCTCATCATTCATCATCCTAATGAGCCCTCAAAATGTAAATTAAATAGCAAAGACGGATTCATTTGAAAAGCATCTTTTCAAAAAAAAAAAAAAAGCTAGGTGTTAAACCATTTTTTCTACTTTTATTCTATATATTGTTTCATTTTTTCATTGAAAAAAAGCCCTCAGTACTTGAACACTTTATGGGGTAAGTTCATGCAATTCATATTTTCAGTAAACAGTTCATTCATTCTCCAGTACTATGGGATTGGTGATTTGAAAAGAAAAAAAAAATCGCATTTTAAAATGGTATGCCCTGTAAATGATGTTTGATCCGGAAAATCTGAGAAACCTGTGCACGCATTCACTTTTTTGTTTTATTCAGAAGTGATTTGGTCCAGGGAAACCCTCAATGGAAAAGGATTAGTGAAAATTTCAAACAGCTTTAGTTTACTGAACTGAATGCATTAATGGCTAAGCAAACACCAGTTCAACCATTAATGATAAAAGAAGAAGGTCATGAGCCAAATTAGTTGCAATTTCTTGTTATGTATTGATAAGAACATTACCCGTTCCTATGATGAATAGAGAAATCAGGGTTTTGTACTTGACCTGAATTTATGCATGAGCACACACAACAGAAGTGACTGAACAGCTCTGCTGGGGAGGCACCCAGGAAAAACACGCTGGGAAAGGAAAATAGCAGCAAATCATGTCTCATTTTGGCATGATTGGTCCTCATTTGCCTGTCTCTCTCTCTCTCTCTCTGTCTCTCTCTCTCTCCCCCTCACTCTCCCCACCCTCTCTCACTGCAACCCATAAATCATTCTTCGCATTCTTTGGCTGTTCCTGCTTATGTGAGAGAGCTCAGCTCCCAGCTCTCTGTGGGTGAACATATATAAAATGAAGACACAAGTAACTGCACTGTTGAGGTTTGCCTGATGTCCAGGGAACAGCCATTAATCTGCACAAGGGGGTTTCAAAAGCCCCACTCTGCCGAATAAATTATCGTTAACCAATCTAGGCATTCTAAAGACACTATATTTTTATGAGGTCAAATGTTGCAGAAATATCCCAGAGGGAGGGTAGAAACTATCCAGCTGTGAAAGAAGCTAGTGACAGCACTGCACAGAAGCCTGGGGGGTCCTGCAGTGGCTACAGACCGGCTGCAGCCCTGGCTGAAGCACATCCTCAGTCTGCCTGGTTCATGAGGACTGCTGCATTTGGGAAGCACTCATCCCTCACAGCAGTGCCCAATGCAGGCTCACCTCTAGAGAAGGGGCATCTCTCTTGGAAGGTCTGGCTGATGAAAGAGCATATCATGACAGACAGGAGCTCATGGTAAAGCCTGCATAATCCACTGGCCATCCTGTTCCAGTTTACTTACTCAGTTATTTTTAATGGAGAATTTTCTTTTTAATGTGACAGAACTGAACTCAATGCAAGGCTCAAGGCTGTCGTCATGACAGTTGCCCACATAAAGAAACTGTAGTCTGGGCCCAAGGCATGGCCCTAGCAATTTCCCAGTAATGCACATTTTGACGGGCACATCAATTGGTTTATGATGTAAGAACAACACTAATTAGTGAGGAAGAAGCCAATGTCCTGTGTTGATAGGGCCCGGTGCAGTTTAAGTGATGAAGTGAACGTTACTTCTAACAAAGGAAAACAAGGTATTATTCTGCACAGATATTTAACTCTGAAGAAGTGTTGAACAATGATAGATGTATTTTAAAGTGGAATTGAAGCTTCATCCACAGTTTAGGAAGAGAACTGGCTAGGATATCAATAAATTGTTTTATATTTGACCCCAGGCAGGAAAAACAACATGCAACCCAGGGAAGGGATGGTGCCTTGCTGTGAAATATGTGCATTTTAACCTTTGCAATATGTTAATAATTAATATGAATTCACACCAATACGATATCTTCATAAAAACACAGAACTCTCATGTATAAAACCTTTCAAGTATAAAAGAAATAAGCTACCCCCTAAAGGTTTTCTGAAAAAAATTCCCATTAAAGAAGGTTCTCACAGTCTGAATGTAGAGACTTTTAACCAGACCTAAAATTCTTGCGAATAAGCCCCATGCTATATGACTGACAGCACCATTAAAAACGCTAAAAAATAAAATACACGCTTCATTAGTCTCCCAGCTGAACTCAGAATCTCTGGCCCAGAATAAATCTTAGCCTTTAAGAATAAATTCTCTTCTGAATTAACATCTCAGAGTCATTAATCTTTGGAGTGACCCTTCAATTTCATTTGGAGAACTACTACATTCCTCAAAGGTCTTTTTTCTTTTGGCAAGCCATGATTTCATGGAGAGAAGGAAAATAACATGATCTTTCTTTTATCATTTCCTCATTCTCGCCCTCAGGGTGGCTTCTCTTCCCTTCCCAACTGAAACATCCTAAATCTAAAATCAACAGAGAGCCTTCTACTGAGTCAGCAAGGAACTAAAATTTAACTTTAGGGATACGTGAAAATAAAAACAAGACTAGGCAGAATTATTATTATACATTTCAGGAAGAAAGGAAGCATTATCGTGAACACAATTTTACCAAATTAAAAATGGTACAGACTTTATTCTCTATTTCAGGGGCCTTGTTTATTAAGCAGACAGAACTCTGCTTGATTATTCCATGAAGTCGCCAACCATTAATCATGCACATTTGTTTAACAGGTCAAATGAAGAGAGGAAATTTGTGTGCAGTCACGGCAAATACTGCCTCATTTTACCCACTGTGATACTAAAGGTACAGACATCATGTTGTAACTACATTAGGAGAGATTGGTCCATAAAGTAATTTGATTATAATTCCTTCTTGAGCAGACAACTATTTTTGAAAAGCAAATAACTATTTATTTTTTGATTATTTATTTTTAACTGATAAAAAGTATACGTATTTATGGGGTTACGATGTGGTGTTCTGATAGATTTATACATTATGGAATGATTAAATCAAGCTATTTAACACATCCATCACCTCACGTACTTTCGTTGTACGGCTTGAACATTTAAAATCTGCTTAGCAATTTTGATATATACATTGCTATTAACTATAGTTACCACGCTTATTTGCTTATGTATGTATGTATTTATTTTTGAGACAGACTCTCACCCTGTCTCCCAGGCTGGAGTGCAGTGGCATGATCTCGGCTCACTGCAACCTCTGCCTATGGGGTTCAAGAGATTCTCCTGCCCCAGCCTCCCCAGTAGCTGGGACTACAGGCACATAACACCACACCTGGCTAATTTTTGTATTTTTTTTTTGGTAGAGATGGGGTTTCACCATGTTGGCCAGGCTAGTCTCAAACTCCTGGCCTCAAGTGATCTGCCAGCCTTGGCCTCCCAAAGTGCTGGAATTACAGGCATGAGCCACTGCACCCGGCCTGCTTATTAATCAAGATTTTCAAAGTTAGATGTTTAATTAAAGGATAATATGTCTATACCACTCATCCAACAATTTTCACTGTGAAGACCACATTAGCCAGCTCCCAGAGGAGACACATTCTGGTGAGGGGGTGGCTGGGTTCACCATATTCGCTTCTACCATCCTCCAATCCCAGCCTCTCCCTCTACCTGGGGGATTCACTGGAACCATCCATTTGTATTCCCACATTTTTTGTGTTCTTAAGCCAGAAATGTCTCCCATATAGCTTGCCAACTGCCCACCGCTTCCAAACACCTCTATCCTCTACTGCCACGTGAATCTTAAAATAGAGCTTCCACTGTTCAGTTCTCCAGACTCACCAGCCGTTAATAGCCCCTCATCACCTAGAGGATAAATCTATAGTCCTCAGAGCCAAAAGCAGCCCTGCCCTCAGCCTTCTCATCTGGCTCATTTGGGCAATTTCTTCTGAACAGTCTACAGGCGTTCCTATTGGGAACATCTGCTCATCCATCCCACCTGCAATGCCTTTCAAAATGTGATTCAAATTCATCCACTTTACCCTACCTCACACACAAAGGCCTTTCCCTCATTTTCCCCCTCAAAACCCAATGACCACACTGTCTTGCTTGATATGCATTCCCTCCTGTCTCACAGGGCTATTTAACATTTCACTTGTTTAAGTCTTATCCATGTTTCCCTGAGAGCAGGAATTGTGTTTGGTACTCACATGCACACAGCCTGCATGTAACATCACACCTTACCCAGAGTAAAGACTAAAACAAAAATGTAATCATTTAAAACTTATTTTCTTGTTCCTACTTTCAATCAAGGAATCATGAGTCTCAGAGATACTCTAGGCCCCTAAATCTATATTTGTGCCCAGGAGTTGCTGATTTCAGGGATGGGAGTTTCAAAGAGAGGGTGCAGGGTCTTTTTTAAGTCTTGACAATTCCATCCATGGCCCCTTGTAAGTTTTAGAGGTTGTGAAAGATACTGAATCCTTGGGGTTCCATGAACTTGTCTGTAGTGGGTCTGTGCATTCACTCCATCATACTCTTGGTTGGCAGAGAAGCTCAGCCACTTGGGCCACTGGAACAAGGTCATTTGGAGGGCAGAACTCAGCTCTGGGGCAGATCATACGCACAGGATTGGTTTTGGAATCTATCATGTGATAGAGCTTCTCCACCTACCTTCTCTTACTACATTAACCCATAAGAGAGGCTTACCTGTTACCAACTAGTTTCATCACATACTGTCTGGAGATATGACAGGAGATACTGGAACAAGGAACACGCAGACAGTGAAAGTTTATTGATTCAGTTTACATTTAATGATTGATTGGTAGAAAGAGAAACAAGTCCTGAACAAAGTGTGCCCCTCCTTCTTGATGCCCCAAAATGCATTTAAAAATCTCTTTCAAATATACCTCGTATGTACCCTCTGCCTCATACCTAACACTGATCACATTTTGTCCAGTTAGATTGCACCTTTCCTACCTCAGAAAGGTTTACCTGACCTTACTTGACCATGCTAGCGAGGTCTGATCACCATGTTCCATGCACATATTTTAAAGTTGGTGGAGCACTTACTTTGTCCCTGGCCAGCTCCTGCTGGGGAACCTTGTCTTTAAATGGACTGGCCTTAGCCTGTCCCAACATACACATGCCCCAAGATGCTGACAGTAAATTACAACATACTCACTCGAGTCATTACAATTTTTTTTTTTTCAGGAATAAAGGAGGTACGCGCAAGGTCAGAGAGCCTCCTAAAGCAGTTTGGACACATTTCCATGATGCTCTCTGCCTGAGAGCAGAGCTAAAATCATCCACAGTCCTCTACTGCCTCCCCCTCCATGCTACAAAAATGTAAAAGATGCACATTTGCCATTAGGAAAACTCCTCATTGCATTTTGGACTTGAAGTCCACTGGAGTAGGGCCATTTAAAAATGGTCTATATACCACGCTTCATGAACAAGTTTTATTACCCAAACTGAAAAAAATTAGTGATGGAAAAAATAAGGCAGATGTATATTACATCAGAATAACTGCTGCAGAAAAAATTCCAACATCATATTTCATTTGAAGATTTCTTGAATGGCCAAAGAGCAGTATTTGTGAAAATTTTTACCATATGTATTTAGGATACTTTCTTAAAGTTTTATTTTTTAAAGACTTCAATTTAGGAAAACCATGTTTAAAATGCATTGACTTCAACTCATACCTAGTGCTGTAAGAAGTAATGCATCTCCCTTAACGAAATGTCCAGTTACTCCTAATTTTTAAGATTTCATCACTTCTCTCTTAACTTCCCTTAATGAGAAGGCTGAACTAGCTCGCCTAGCTGAATTTATCAGTAGCCCATGCTTGAAAGAGAAATGGTTCTGCCCTCTGTTGGGGGCAACAGGTGTGCTGATGGAAGACAGATGAGCTAATCTGTTCACCTGAATCCTCTCTGTCATGTTCAATTTAGCCTCAGTCTTTAGAAACACAACCTAAAAGGTCTAAGGCAAATAGCAGCTGTCCAAATCAGAGACCAAATTAGAGACCCTGTCCCTGAGTCCAGAAAGGGTAAACATACTCTATTGTTTCCTCACCATTTGTTTTTGGAAACACAAAATTATAGGAGGGGGAAAACCTTATTGTTATTAGAATCATCTTTCAGCAAGAAAGACAATAAATTCTAAGACCCTTAGCCTTTTGTATAACTGTTCAGTCAGGGGAGTGTTAGCACTGTGCTTGTTAATTTAGAATCTAGTTTATGAAGCTGATTATCTTTTTAAAGCAACACATTATCCGTGCTCACAAAATATCATAGTATTACTAGGAATGTAGTTATCACATTATATTGTAATTATCACTTAAATATCTGCGCTGTTTACCAGGAAATATAAGCTCTTCAATGTCAGGAGTTACTCCTTTTTCAAAAAAATCATGGTTCATAACACAACATTTGAAACATGTTTAGCATTAAATAAATATTTATTATTGCTATACTTATCATTAAACTACGCTAGTAGATATCAACTATTGAGTTCTTATTGCAAAAGGCATCGTGCTCAACTCTTTCCATACATTGTCTAATCCTTTATGGCATCCCTATGGGACAGGTATTACCACCCTCTGTTCACAGGTAAGCAAACAAGGCTTAGTAAGGTAGGTAATTGCTCCAGATCATTCAGCTGTGTAGGGAAGAGACAGGCTTCCATCCAGGGCCACCCAACTCCAAACAGGCACGTCCCTAAATGCTACACTAAATATCCATGGACGTCCATGATTCTGAGAACTAGCTCTCTGCACTCACTATTTGTAATCAAAATCAGCAAGTGTTATATTAATAACTTCAGAAACGCTGTCATAGTCAAAAATTTGCATCAAATGTCTTAGAAATGAGCCTAATAGTCACAATACTTTTCATCATCCCCAAGAAAGAGACGAAAAAGTATATTCCCAATAAAATACTTGGATGGAAAGGCACAACTCGAAAAATAAAACATTGTAAAACTTCACTGTAATATGAGAACAAATGAAGAGAGCAGATGATGAAGGTACTGGAATAAATTAAAGAGAGCTCATCTATAAAGCATAGATATCGAGGACAAACTTACAACTTCAAATGAATAAAAACTGTTAATTAAACAGGAGCTTCAGTATACATATAATGTTTGAACTTTGTCATTTAAAAATAGCATTTCGTTTTCTGCACCACTAGAAACTACATTTTGAACACATTCAGGATTTCACAGCTACAATACTAGAAATGTTTATTCCAATTAAATGTTACAATTACTCTACTGTGTATTATCTTTTCCTTTATTTCTCCCTATTTCATCAATTTCTTTTTAAAAATTGTGTAAGTCATGCAGTTTTTGAAACTCACCATCTTACAATGACTTTTATTCTTAAGTATGTCAGATGGACATTTAACTCGATGTGACTTTAAGAACTCTTTCTTTTACGTAATCAATCACTTGTCCTAAAAAGACTAAAGCATGTGCATCAAAACTGTATCTTTTTTTTTTTAAGCATGCAGCTGTCTTTGTCAAGCACTGCATCTTTTCAAGGAAATGTCAGCAATGTTATTCTTGGGCCTCCTTCTGCCCAAGAGGCCAAGGAGGGATGAACAATGACGGCAACAAGACACTTAATCAATAGCAGTCACAGCACCATTTTTTATCCTCCAGAATCTTCATTTTCAATGAGGTTTACATCATTAAAGTAAGAAAACAGGACCGTCAATCTCCATTGGCTTCAAGTGGTGGACGGAAGAATTAATTTGACTGCCATAAAAATAATGATGTAGCTGTATGCTTTAAACCTTTAAAAATTTATTTTTAGGCTTAAAACCTAGGAGGAGGACAGACATGTTGCCTAGAAATAAAAGCACTGATTTATCAATTCTTTCTTTTTCTTATATTCTAGACAGATTTTTTTTTTAAATTTTATAGATGTGGTCTCACTGTGCTGTCCAGGCTGGAGTACAGTGGCTATTCACAGGCGAGATCATAGCTCACTGCAGCCTCAAACTCCTGGGACCAAGCAATCCTTCAGTCAGTCTCCTGAGCAGCTGAACTACAGGCCTGTGCCATGGGGACTGACTCCACACAGATTTCTAACAGATCTGAATCTTGTAAAGAAAGGCAATAGGTTTCAATCCAAGTCCTTTTAAGGTG
Source organism: Homo sapiens (assembly GCF_000001405.40). NCBI lineage: Eukaryota > Metazoa > Chordata > Mammalia > Primates > Hominidae > Homo > Homo sapiens. Next base: position 99,889,375 of record NC_000002.12, read on the forward strand.
TTATGAATAATCCATTTGAAATATATTTATTAGCAGAGGTACCTGTGCCATTGTTTTTGAATCATGTTGACACATGCCATCTCCAACATGTGTTCTCACTATGACAGATTTATATGAAAGGAGTAAAAACATCACAAGCACCCGCATAACGCCTTCCCAGGGGCAGAGGCAGGTTATCTGGGCCCTTAAAAGCTATAATGCTATCTTTAAAGAAAAAAGCAAAATTATGGGTTTGAAATTAAGTAGAGGGCCTTAGAAGAGGACACTCAACCCCGGAGCCCTGAAACTTAAGCTGTTTTTTTGAGACAGAGTCTCACTCTGTTGCCCAGGCTGGAGTGAACTGGCGTGATCTCAGCTCACCGCAACCTCTGCCTCCAGGGTTCAAGCAATTCTCCTGCCTCAGCCTCCTGAGTAGCTGGGATTATAGGCGTGTGCCACCACACCAGGCTAATTTTTTTTATTTTTAGTAGAGATGGGGTTTCTCCATGTTGGCCAGGCTGGTCTCGAACTCCCGACCTCAGGTGATCCACCTGCCTCAGCCTCCCAAAGTGTTGGGATTACAGGCATGAGCCACCGCATCCAGCCTGAAAGTTAGACTTCTTTAATGGTAAATCTGCCCCTGCCTCATCCACCAGAAAACACAGGTGCCCTTTTGCGTGTGCACAGGCGAGTTCTGAAATAGGAGGGCTCTCTGTTTGGTCTTTTTGTTCCCACAGTGTTCTCCCCCGAGTGCCCCAGACATTCTGTGTGAATTTGGTACATGTACCAGCATACGCCTGGAGTGGTAATGGGACACCAGCTCAGCCAGCGGTGCTCTGTGAATTTTCTGGAAAACTACAGGTGGCCACTTCCACCCAATGAGGCAGCAGCAAGGGAAATGGCAGGACAGGTGAAGGGTTTTGATTGGTACAAAATTCAGGGAACACACAGGCTCTGTCATTAGGTGTACGTTCTGGGTTCTCATGCCTAGCTCTATACATTCAAATACTTTGCTTCTAATCCTTTAGTTTTGGTATTCACTTCAACTGAACATTCATCAGAAATGCAATTAAAAATACTTTTAACAAATGATTGAGATACATGCATTCCCAGCTCATTTTCAATTATGACAAAAACAAAACAAGCCTTGCCTGGACAGTCACGAGGCTTGACCGGGCACACTGAATGCTCAGAGGTCAGAGTGGGCAGGAGCCCCGGAGCAGGAGGAAGAAGCGGGCAACCTCTCTGAGTTCTGCACTTTCTCCCAACCAGCACTCTCTCACAGGCTGCACACTAACTACCCCTCCGTGCCCCTGTCCTTCAAAGGGCAGGACTGTGGGGGTGTTGGGGGCAGGCTTTGACGTGCACCACTTCTGTCTGGGCACAGTGACCTCTGCATGCCCCTGGCCTATCAGGTACAGATCCACAGCCTGTCAGTTGCACCCTCCCTGACACCACCACCGGGACCTGCACAGACTGGGAGTTCATTTCCTTGCTCACTGGGGCCTGCCTTCCCCAGGCTGGTGTCTTCTGATAGCCAAACTGAGGGGTGGGAGGTATTTTGAAATGCAGATTTAATTATTCATGTGTGGTGAGGCCAACAGATCAGGAGATAACTGCCACTGAAATGATAGTTTGTTACACACAGTTCCCAATGGGAGGGGACATGCCACACACGGTGGGGGTCACACAGGGAAGCACCAAGGTCAGCTGGGAGGTAGAGGGAGCCAGGGAGAAAAGTGGGCAAGAGCCTTTATTGTTTTCCATGGGAGGGAACGGACAAGGATTTGAGTAAGTAGGTTTAGGATTGGCTATTTGGAATAACTTCAGCGAGATCTGGAGCACAGAGGCTGTCCTGAGTTATCTGGTATGTGTCCTGGATTGATTAGGGCAGGAGACAGGGGCCCAGAGTGTGAGAGCCCAGAAAAGGAGGTGGGGTATGGGCTTTGGAGCAGTTGTTTGTGGGTGAAAGGCGTGTTCCCAGCAGCAGGCCAGGCTTTTGCTGTCTCCGGGAATTAGCTAGCCTTTCAGGGTCAGTGAGGCCCTAAGATGTCAAAGCTTCAAAATGCAGAATAAAAAGACATGATCAGTAAAGAAGCGAACAAGGAGCAGGCAGGTGAGCATCACAGCCTCCAGCAGAGGCAGCCAGAGTCTGCCCAGCCCGGCAGGATGCTGAAGCTGGGGAAGACAGACTTCTCTTACCCCTGCTGCAGGTGCGGGCAGGCGGGCGACTGAGCTTTCCACTTTGGTCCTGTGACAAATGGAGGACAGCTGCAGATGGATGTTTCACCCAACACCAAGCAAGCAGACATAACCTCACTGTGCGAGGCGATACTGCCTCACTGTACAGATGAAGACACAGAGGTTCAGAATGTGTGGAAGGGCTTTTCCCAGGGTCCCACAGCTCATAGTTGGTAGAGCCAGGATTATCTCCATTTTCTCTCTCAGGCCCTGGGCTTAAAGCCCACCAGCACATTTTTTTTTTTTGAGACAGAGTCTCGCTCTGTTGCCCAGGCTGGAGTGCACTGGCATGATCTCAGCTCACTGCAAGCTCCGCCTCCCGGGTTCACGCCATTCTCCTGCCTCAGTCTCCGGAGTAGCTGGGACTACAGGCACCCGCCACCATGCCCGGCTCATTTTTTGTATTTTTAGTAGAGACAGGGTTTCACCGTATTAGCCAGGATGGTCTCAATCTCCTGACCTCGTGATCCGCCCGCCTTGGCCTCCCAAAGTGCTGGGATTACAGGCATGAGCCACCACACCCGGCCAAAGCCCACCAGCTTTTGAAGGTCTCGCACAAATGTTTCAGACCTTTAGAAGGAAAATATATGGGCTCCAAAATAAAAAGAGAAAGCAATAATGTCAAAATTAATAATGTTTAATTAAACGTCTAAAAACATATTAAGCCATTTTTATTCATTGTTACATTTAGTTTTCATTACAAAATTCATTACACTTGAAAATAATATGTAGCTTAGATTTTTTCCCACATTCTAAGAATTCTTGAGTTTGCCTAATGATAACTGAGAAGCCAACTATAAATTAAATGAATTACTCATAGTCAGATAACTCCAAAAGCAAAATTATAAAAGCTCTTTATAAAGAGCTTTATAATAAACTTTATAAAGTTTAAAGAATTTTTTCAACTGTTGTATTTAATATGGGATGTGAGTCTATTTTAATCTGTCTCCCAGGATGGGGTGGGGCCTCTGAAAGAAAGCAGGCCTACTGTTTCGGAGGTCTTCAAAGGGCCCTGCCTGCATCAACCTGCTCTCAAATTCCAGCTCCTTCTACTCGCATTCCCTCCCCAGCAACACCTGCCCTGGACGGCAGTTCCAGAGGTCCCTTCAGAGCAGGCCCACTGCTGAGAATGGCTCAGGGGCTCTGCTTCCTGCTCAAGACAGCATCCGATCTCTGTAGCACTGCAGGCCCTGACTGCTCCCACAGAGTGTTATGGCCTCTACGCACACCAACATCCTGAGCACCAGAGGGAATCTTGGGAGATCAATATAATTGTGGAGAATAATTCTAAGATTACCTCCCAGCTCGTGGTGGGGCCCAGCATTCAACTCTGGGTCCTTCCATCCTAGAACAGCATAGAGGGAAGGTGTGGACTTGGGGGGTGACCAATGCCAGTGACCAAGGAGAAGCTGTTCCAAGGGTGGGCAAGGAAGGGAATATGGTTGCTTAATTCTCACCTCCCTGGCGCTCCCACAGATCATTCTGTGCCCATGAAGAAGACATCACAGGGTGAACCATGACCATTAACAGCTTTGCTAAAAAAATCCACGTAACTGTCTTTGTTACCCATGGCAGGACCTGCCTGCTCCCTGGTGCTGGGGCCACCTTCTGCTCAGGATGTGACAATGGTCACACCTTCTCAGAACCTTCCACAACAGGAATATATCTGATTATATGAATATATGTGAAGTATTTCACAGAGTGTGCTACACAGAGCAAGCATTTAATACGTATGACTGACTAGGAGCCTGACAGTCTCTATTTAGACAGCACTGTGGACTCAATGCACGTTTTTCCTCAAAATTCACAAGTTGAAGCCCTAACCCCAGTGTGATGGGATTTGGAGATGGGGCCTTTGGGAGGTAATTCGGGTTGGATCAGATCAGGAAGGCGGAGCCCTTGTGATGAGTGTCCTTGTAAGAAGAGACATCAGAGACACAGCACAAAGGTGGCTGTCTGCAAGTCAGGACTGGGGCTCTCACCAAACACTGAACCCTGCCCGGCCCTGATCCTGAGCTTTTCAGCCTCCAGAATTCGGGGAAAATAAGTTCCCCTTGTTTAACTCTACAGTCTATGGCATTTTGTTACGGCAGCCCAATAATGCTCACTGATGGTTTTATAAACTAGAGAAGAACATCAACTAACACTATTTGATTTTCATAAATTGAGAGGGGCTAGACACAGAAACTTCCAAATACCTTTATCACTATCCTTAAATTCTATTTGAAATTTTTATCTATCAGTATTTAAGGGACTCAGAAACTGAGAATCTGGGTTCAGACTACTTGAGTTTACATCCCGTTCTGCCACTTTCTAAGTTTTGAGGCTCCATGTATCTGAACCACAATCTTCTTATCTGTAAACTGGAGCTAATAACCGGCCTTCTCTCATGGAATGGTTGTGGAAATTAACCCATTTATGCCAGAGGTTGCAAATTTCTTTTTTTGTGCAAAATCAGACCTTTGCAATGACCTTGAGTAGTAGGATATAAATAACTCCCACAAGCTTAGCAATAATGGAACCAGTAATGGAACACTAGGCATAAATGGGTTAAACAGGATGTTCCTCACAAAGCCCAGAAAAATACACATTGATATGGTGCCTGGATGCCTTTTTTTGAAAAAAAAAAAAGGAGGGAAAATAAAGATAATATTTATGGCTACATGTGCATCTGCTTAAAGAAAACTCTAGAAGGACACACAAGGTAATACTAAATATGGTTGTGGTGGGTTGAATGTTGAGGGAAGGGAGGAGAGAAAAAAGGGAGGAGGAAGGGAAGAAAGGGAGGGAGGGAAAAAAGGAAGGAACCAGAAGCAGTGTCTGGTACTTCATCAGCATTCTGGTTGTTTGACGTTTTTTCTGATCAGCGTCAGGAATTTTTTTTTTTTTTTTGAGACGGAGTCTCGCTCTGTCGCCCAGGCTGGAGTGCAGTGGCGCGATCTCAGCTCACTGCAAGCTCTGCCTCCTGGGTTCACGCCATTCTCCTGCCTCAGCCTCCCGAGTAGCTGGGACTACAGGCGCCCGCCACCACGCCCGGCTAATTTTTTTTTTTTTGTATTTTTAGTAAAGATGAGGTTTCACCATGTTAGCCAGGATGGTCTCGATCTCCTGACCTCGTGATCCGCCTACCTCGGCCTCCCAAAGTGTTGGGATTACAGGCGTGAGCCACTGCACCCGGCCAGGAAAATACTTTTAAAATGCTTAAATTACATAATACATAGGTGTATGCTTTTAGAAACATCACACAGTACAAAAGCACACAGATTTAAAAATGTAAGTCCCTCTTCTGCTTCAGTCTGTATCCAAAATTAACCAATTACTAATAGCTTTGTGTGCCATTATTTAAAAATAAAAATGGAACCACGCTATGTACAGGTGTGGCAGCTGCCTTTCATTCAGCATTTCTCGAGGCCTTTTCATTGCCAGCACACATAGGTTGGCTCCATTTTGTGTAACTGACACATGAGAAACCACACCATGATTACACCACGATTTACTGAACTTCTTCTGTATAAGAAAGCACTGGGGTTGTTGACAGTTTTTCTGTATATGAGTTGATGCATGAGCATGGCTATTTCTACTGGATATGTTCTGAGCAAGGAACATCAAGCTCGAAGGGCTCACACTTTCAAATTGTATAGATACTGCCAAATTACATTCTGCAAAGACAATGCCTGTGTCCAATCCCACCAACAAGGTGTTTCCCATACTTTGGAAGAGATTTATGTAAAAATCATGTAAACATTTTTAAAGTGTTTTTTAAGTTGAACCGCAATTCAGAAACATTGAGTAGAAGTGTGTCTTTGATTTTAAAAAGATGATATGCTGAAATTTAGATACGCTGAAGTGCAGAGACATTCTTGTGGAATAGGGATCAGAGCCTTCCCTTATATATTATTGAACTGCATCCATTTACATAACCTTCTGAAGTCAGTTTTATAAAGAGGCCACCAGGCTCATGGCAGACAGGATCTTACCCCTGATAAAGGCTGACCTCTGACACTGCAAAGCCCCTCACCACCGTGCCAGCCACAGTGAGCGTCCGGGCTATGCTCTCCATCCTTGCTGACGAACAGACAGAGCACACAGCAGGGACTCGGTGGGAGTGATTTAAAGTACTGAACTGAAGAAGGGAATAAACCATATTTGCACATTCTCCATAGCTGCTTCTACACTTATAAAAAGCTGTCTCGGATGGGCGTGGTGGCTCACGCCTGGAATCCCAATACTCTGGGAGGCTGAGGTGGGTGGATCACCTGAGGTCAGGAGTTCGAGACCAGCCTGGCCAACATGGTGAAACCCCATCTCTACTAAAAATACAAAAATTAGCCAGGCATGGTGGCACACGCCTGTAGTCCCAGCTACTTGGGAGGCTAAGGCAGGAGAATTGCTTGAACCCAGGAGGCGGAGATTGCAGTGAGGCGAGATCGCACCACTGCACCCCAGTCTGAGTGACAGAGTGAGACTCCTTCTCAAAAAAAAAAAAAAAAAAAAAAAAGCTATCTCATTTTTTCTTTTTTCCCCTAAATTTCAATGGAGAAACTGGCAATATAAAACTCAAGAAAACTCTGTCCACCTTAAGTTTCTGGATAAATAACTAGGGAGGCCTAAGTTGGTTGTATAATAAGTAGGGCATTTATATGACCTTGTAAATTTGTATGAAACTGTGTACTATGGAATGCACCAAACATTCTGCATTGAGGAGTTTCCTACTACTATCAGGGACCTCTGAAGCTTCCCCATCTAAAGACTCACCTGTGATCCCCAAATTCCAGAAATATAGAAAGCCATCCTGACCCACTCCCATGCTGCAGCCACCTGTCCATAAGCCCACTCCTGCCACTTCTGCAGGAGTCTCTGGTTCTTGGAGTTATCTTCCTGGGTCAGTGCCTGATGCCTTTTGCATGAACTGTCACCCAAGAACCTGTCAGAAGTTTCCAGCTGAAGTGAAGCAGATTTAAGTGAAATGACTCTAAATTTCTAGTCAAGATGTTTCATTTGATCATTTACTTCCCTGTCAAAATGCTTTTTTTTTTTTTTTTTTTTTTTTTTTTTTTTGGAGACGGAGTCTCACTCTGTCACCCAGGCTGGAGTGCCGTGGCACGATCTCGGCTCACTGTGACCTCCACCTCCCAGGTTCAAGCGATTCTCCTCCCTCAGACTCCCCACTAGCTGGGACTACAGGCACGCACCACCATGCTCAGCTAAATTTTTGTATTTTTAGTAGAGACGGGGTTTCACTGTGTTAGCCAGGATGGTCTCGATCTCCTGACCTCGTGATCTGCCCGCCTCGGCCTCCCAAAGTGCTGGGATTACAGGCATGAGCCACCGCGCCCGGCCCTGTGCATTCTTATTTCATAGTTCTCTCTCCATCTTCCCAGGTGTACATGAACTGTTTTGCAAGTACACCCCGTGAATTTTAAAGAAATGGTTTACTTTTATTAGTTACTACATATAATTTTTTTAATTGTATTGTGAAGGCTTTTTAAAAAGCTGAACAATAGTTGGTTACTTTATCTACTAAAGTTAAGTGAAATAGATATTTACTACAAAATAAATGAAAGGTGAATTCAACTAATTTACCATAATTATGATTGCTATTTTGGGATAACAAAGACCAATATTTAAACTGAATTTCAGGACTTTTTATTCAGCAGCAAGTATAAGACAAATTGGATGGTAAGCATATATACTTTGAAATTTCATTTTCAGTCACATGCAATTAATTTGAAAATAAAACACCCCCCTGGCTCCCATTCTCTCCCCCTAAAACATCATTCCAGCCTATTTTCATAGAATCGTAGGAGTGAAATAGAGTCACACGGACTGTGGCTATCAGGCCCCCTCAGACTTACTCAAAATGTCTCTTTGGCCAGGTCTGCCCATCCTTTGGTGGAGGCCTGCTCAGACCCACTCGGGTCTCTCTGCTCATGTTGGTCATCTCTCCTCACACTGACCTCCCACTGCCCACACCAGACCACCTTTTCAAAACCCGGCTTCTTATCTCACCTTGCAAGGCCTCTGCTGAGGATTTTAGTGCCCGGTTCTAACTTCCTTCCAGTTCTGGAGAGCTCACTGTCTAGACCACTCCTGTTAGTCCTCATTCACTTACCGTCTTCTATCATCATTTGACAGTCCTTTCTGATAAGATCCTTTAGGAGTGAGACACACATATATTGTTTTATTTGACCAGTAAGGTAATGAATATGTAGTTAGCAAATGCCAATAAACACTGAATTGAAATACGTAGTTGAAAAAAAGATGTAGGCAAATGAATTTTATGCACTTAAGAGCCCCAGAACTCTAATGCAAAATTATAATCTGCCAGTTTAATAAAAACACATTAATTGTGAATTGATAAGAAGAAACAAAGCCTCTCAAGTGATTACCTTCTGAAAAATACTGGAGACCTCATCTGATAAGCTGGGTTGACAAGTCTTAAGGCTTTTCAAAGTCTAGCTCCCTCTGTAATTTCCACCAAGTACACGACAATGTTATATGAGAACCACAGAAAAAATGTGGCTGCTTCTCTTCCTTCCTGTTATTAACAAAAATGTTTGCAGAGTGGAAGATGTCTGAGTGCTCATTCCCTTCATTTCTGCTTTAGCTTCTTAAAGAATGGACATTTTTTCCCTAAAGGATCTTCAAAATAATAACCACTCCCATTTACTGGGCACCCACCCCGTGTGCAGCACAACGTCAAACGCCATATGGGATCATCTCACTTTACCATCACTCAAGTCATAGAGGCCAGATCCTCCACAAGGACACTGAGGCACCGAGAGAGAGTGGGTACCACGATGCCATCTCGCAGCCACATCCTTGCCCTGCTGCCAGGCTAGCTCTTGATGCTGACCACAGCTCTCCAAGCCCATCGCCTAGGAGAAGCTGTGGGTGCAAACTTCAAGAACAAGCTCTTCCTCAGGAAGAGTGCTTCTGTGAGCCACTGGATCTGGGGCAACTTCTCCTTTTCCATCATCTTCTCTGCCCCGGGCATGGCATCACAGTCTTGTCCACAGTCCTGCACTTGCTCACGTTGACACTGGGGGCTGCCATGGGTCGCCTCTGGCCCACCTGCTGCACCCGGATACTGAGGAAGCCCATTCCCCAGGAAGCCTCTTGCGGCCACCCACTCTGATCACCTCCTGCCACCAGACCAATTTTTCAGTCATACATTTTCATCTCAGCATAAAATTCTAAGACAGTCCCCACTGCCTTCAGGCCTGACATCAAAGGCTCCACTGCCTGGGGCTCTCTCGCTTTGGCCAACGCTGACTCCCACTTTGCCCTGCCCTCACAGGGCCTGTCCTGCCTCCTCCCCACCAGCAGCCCAGTCTCCTTCCTGTTTCCTGTCCTCCACTCCTTGCTCCCACTCTTCCCTCAAACCTCTGCTTATGCTAATCTCACCTTCTAAACCAAGACCACTGCAAATGCCGTATTTCTGCTACAGCCATTGTCACAGGGCTGGGCACACAGATTGTCTTAATAAGTACCTGTGGATTTGACATGTCTGGATTTTGGCAACACAAATGGAATGCAAAATACTGAATAGATAAGAAAACAAAAATGCCTACTTCTGAAAAAATACCTCTTCCTACTTTCACGCCACATTCACAAATATACACAAGTTCTTCCAACTCTCCTAATCTTGGCAAGTTTAAACTACAGTTTTCTGAAACAAAGGTCACTTGCTCAGCTACAGATAAATAAAAATTCACAAGCATCTCCAGGAAAATCAATACAGGTACTAAAAAATCTAAGTTGATAATAAATTTCAGTTCCCCTTGCACATAGCTCAGGAATGTCACTATTTACTGGAATCACTGTAATATCAGATATTTCAGAAGAGTATTGATTTGGCCACTGAAGTGTGACTAAAGGGATAAATAAACTGCTCCTGGGGTCAATCGATCCATTTATCTTCACTGGTATTTTATAAAAAGTCAAAGTAGCATAAACTTTGATAAATAAATGTTATCATGAAAGAAGTATTGCTGACATAAGGATTTGAAGGAAAAAAGAACAGACAGTTCCGCTACCTGAACGCCACACAATTGGCTTCACATTTTAGTAGTTTTAATAGTAGCTACCGACATAGAAACATTCTTTTTCTCCTGCCCTACATAATCCATGGGGCCAGGTCAAAGTCTGAGCCACATGGCCAAGAAACAGAGGGGCCACAAGTCAAGTCCTAATGAAATAGAAAGGCAAAGGAAATAACATTTGTTTCTGCCTTATTAGAAAGTAACTGCTAGGGTCTCCAAGGTAGACACATGTCTTTGGATATTTTGAAGGCACGTCTGGAAATGGCAGAACTATTTAGACTTAGAAAATCAGGATGGTGTGCACTCTGAAGTGGCTTTTTAGGGCTTTATTGTTAAACCATGCTGCACCAATAACCACTTAACTGCACTGCAATGATCCCATAAGATTTCAATGCAAGGCCATGGAGAGCTCACAACATCGTGGCTGTAATAGGATATTAAGGCTTGAGAAGAATTTTAATTCAAATGTAGGAAACGTGGGAACCCTGTGAAGAGGCTGTAACTTACCATGAGAAATTATACTGGCAAGGTTTTACTGCAGTTGTAGGGAGACAGTATTACCATCTCATGATGAAACAAAGTGATGATGATGAAAGTACATGAGTTGATACTGTAATTTCAGCCCAATAAAGACTTCACTTAAATTACCATACCCCAGGGGAACGCACAGCTTTCAGGATGCAGAGACTGTTATAGATCAGAAATTTGGTTTGGGTCACCTCTAAGAGGGCTCTCAAGCTTTAAAACATTTCCAATCCAAATATGTAGCTCTAAGACTCGGGCCCACCCCCACTCCCCTTCTCAGTGACCACCCAGGGCTCATTCAGAAGCTCCTTATTTTAATTCTTGCCTTCACACAGACCACTGGACCACTGCCGCCTTCAAAGACCCCTGCCCATAGCGACAACGTTTTTCAGGGTCCCATTGGAGGAAAGCCCACTCAGCATTTGGTGAGGCAGCTAAAAGGGCTGTACCTCCTGCGGGCTGGTGCAGTGCCCAGCAGGACACAGTGGGCCCTGGATACAATGGCATTTACTGACTGGAAGTGTCTGGGTGGCCAGACCAGGCCTGGGATTCTCTGAAGGTCACAGAATGTTGGCAATGTGGTTCTAGCAGCTGCTAGAGCTACTCTGGGCAAGAATAGAGCGGTAGCCATGGGTACAGTCAAAGGGGGAAATGCCCATGACGAAAGGCTGTCTGGCAGGTTTGATGATCTCCGCAAAATAGGTCTGGCTCAATTCCGTGACGGCAGGTTGCTAGAAAGAGTCCACAGAGTGAACAATGCTACTCATTTTCCTCCTTCTCCTAAAGAGCCGCAAGTGCAGGATTAGCCACAGGCTCGTAAAAATGCAGGTCCCCTCTAACAGCAGGTTGCTCCATGTCTTTTGAAGAAACAGACTGTGTGCGTACATGCATGTGTGCATGCCTGCATATGCATGTGTGTGCATGCATGCAATCTGGCTATGAACGCATTGCAAAAAGTCTCTCTGATGTCATGACACTAAAGAAATAAGGTGAGGTTATCTTTGATGGGATGTCTCTTTTCTCTTTTTTACCCCTCAATTCTTCTGAGGTGTGCTGGGATCCCTGAAGATACCTCCCCAAGGCATTATGTCTGCGTATTTTGAGCCTGCTCTTTCTCTACCATGGATCTCCTCTACATGTGGATTATTTAGTTTGGCTACAGAAAATCTAAACATCACTGCAGCTTTGTCTGGGTGCTTGGGCTGTGCAGCAATCTGTGTTTCTCCCGCTGTCAAGTGGGTTCTTCCAACCCTGCTGGCACTACTAAACCATTGCCCTCCTCTCTCTTCACAGCCGAAGGGACACCTCCACTTATAAGAAACTCATTATCGTGATCCCAACCTGCTACTCTTCAGGTGTTCACTATTTCAGAGAATGGCTGGCAACTCCACCCTTCCCACTGGCCAAACTGGGAATCTGGGGCTTAGCCTCTCCTCCCTCCTCATTTCACCCCCATCCAATGCATCCTCCAGTCTTTCTGAAGAGCCATCTTCTCTGGAGACTCCTCTCCGTTGCTGCAGTACTGAGTCTAGCTCAAGCTTCCACTCATTCTTATCAAATTGTTGCAGTCACCTCCCTGCATCTGCTCTTTCTCCAGTGGTTTCCCTTGCTGCAGTCACAGGGATGTTTCTAAAACACCAGTCTGATTATGTTGCTCCCTGCTTGAGACACTTTGATAGCTGTGCCCCCCAGAGCAGAAGGCCAACTGCTTGTCACAGCTAAGAAGGCATTTCATGACCGGTCCCACAGTCATCTCTTTCAGCTCCTGTCACAACTCCACGTTCCGGCCTCTTTCCACGCTCACCCACACTTTGAGGCTTTGAAAATGTTTTTCCCTCTGTGCCTCCTTTGCGTCTCTGCTTGGATGTAATTTTCTCCTACTTAGAGGCAGAGGTCCCTCCTGGGTGCTCCCACAGAACCCTTGTGTGCGGGTGAATACTGTTCATCAAGTATAGATGTCTGACATATTTGGAAGTATATTTGCTTATGACTGCTTAAACTGTAGGCTCATGGACTTTAAAACAGTATAAACTTTAATAAATAGTATAAATAATTTATAGCCCTGTAAATTCTTAAAATCTGGAAGTCACATGCTACAATTAGTATTGACTTGTTATACATATACAATGAAGGAAATAATTCTTTTTTATGGACAAACTAAGCATTTGTTTAAAACCAATGAGCGATAAACTCTGATTTCCAGTGTGCGGCTCTTCTGAACGTTTTAAATGCATAAATACACAAACACACACCGCGCACTCACTACATGCTTGGGCATATTCAGCAGAATTCAACTGTCATCTCAACTCAATGCAGGTGTCCCTCGTCAAGGCAGGTGTACCTCATCAATGCAGGGGTACCTCATTTTACATGATAGGCATTCTTTTAAAGTAGCATGCAAACTCAGTTTTTGTGAATCAAAGTTGATTTTAAGTGTCCCATTTGAGCAAATTCTATGGTAACTGTATGTTCAAAGGGAAGAATCACCTCCAAATTTAACCTTCTTGAGTAATCCAGACTTTCATAATTGGATTTACTTAAAGCAGTATTATAAAGTAATTAAATTGATTTTAACGAAGAATAAAACACAAAGAAAAAACAGTAAGATGTGTGGATCACATTACACACTGCCAACATCCTACATAATGCAAACACTGAGATGATTAAGCTGTCTGAAAGGCCTCCCATGCATAATGATGGAAAAAATATAGGAAAGTTTAGAGTTTATATTCTTGTGAATCCCATTTTATCTACTAATTCAAATTTTTCTTTCTCTTTTACTCTCAATTTACAACTACCAAGGACACAAAGAGCATTCTATATTGAAGCCATTTCTCCTCCAGAGGCATAACAATGAGTTTCATGGAAGAAGAATCTCAATTTTCTGAATAAATATGAATAAGTAAATAGTTGCTTAGGTACACCAGCATATATGTATAATATTATTATGTAATTGTACCATTACACCCTATTTCAAGGATTCTTAGATGCTACCAGTATAAGACACTACCACGTTGTGTGCCATTTAGAGAGAAAAACTGCCAACCAAATTATGACACGTAATAGATTGTAAGACACAGTCCAATTTCAGAGCTATTAAAATGTGAGAAATGTGTATCTTTTAATCAATGATATATGGTAACAAACTCTCTTCTGCTTTATCTCCAGCATTTGGAAAAGTGCTTGGCAACAGTAAACACTCTATCAATACTTTTTGAGTACAGGAAGAAATAATAAGTGAATATTCAAAACAATGAAATAGGTATGTATCTTGCATTTAAGACAATTATAAAATGATTGGCACTGATCAAACGTTTTAAAGAGCAGTAGTTGCTTTATATACCAGATTATCTCTTCTTTAAAATTAGAGTTCAAGAAATTGGAATATCAATAATAAACTATTTACAGACTTCCATCACATAGATAACATCATCAAGTTTAAGATAAATAAAATCAGATATGAATTTAATGAGATTTTTAAAAACTAGATGGTGAAAATTTCTGTTATAGTTTGAAATATATTTGTATTTGTCTCCTAGTTGACTTATCTCTCAGGTCTGGGGTATCTTAATGTTACTAGACACCCTATAGGCTTCTGTCTTGAGTCACATCCATTTGAATGGAAAATGCCATTTTATCATTGCTAACAACCTGCTGATGCTGCCAATTACGAACCTTCTTCCTAAATACATTACAGGAAGTCCACTCTATTTATCTTCTCTATCTGACATCCTTTTAAGACATTCCCAGTAGACAGCCCTTTTCTAAATGAAGAGAGAATTTAATAACATCTCATTCCTGCTTAAATTTGCTAAGTTTAAAGCAACTGTTTTATATATCTTCTTTATTAATTTTATCATTCATCTGAAAACTCTTCTCTTTTCTTCCTCACTTGTTCTGCCTTCCTGGGCTCATGAGTATGAAACTGGAAACTAGATACGTCATTTCTGATAGCTTTACCATCTGACGCTCAGCTGGAAATGGAAGCTACGATTTCCCCAAGCCTTGATCTCCATGTATAAATGCTGGGCCTGTCAGGTCTGAGATAAATCTGTGTCTCCTCTGTGCCCAATACACAATGCAAAACAGGGTCCACGCCCCTGGAGAGTAGCTAGGCAAGGACATCATGTTCTATCTTTAAAATAAAATGCACATCCTCCCATTAAATGGCAAATCCTTCATTTCTAACGGTTGAATAGGATGGTACTTACAAATGAATTCCACTTGGTTAAATTTAGAGTTCGGAAAAAAAAAAAAAGTCCTATCCAAAAATACACTCTGCCTTGGGGCCCTTTTTGTCTGATTTTGAATTAATGTATTTACACCCTTTCCTCTCAGTATCTTGTGAGACAAACACTAGTTGATATAACAATATCAGACTCTGAAATCTGAAACTTGAATACTCTGATTTAGTTCCTTGTACAGTTATTTATTTAAAGGGGGCTTTCTTTTTATTAATATGCTTTTCAGGGAGGGCACTATTGAAAGCTTGTGTGTTTTTCATTTTGTTTGTTTCTTCAATAATCAACCTTCCCTTTGCCGCTTCCCCAGACAACCCAGGAGTCCCTCCTTTCCCACAGGGAGAGGGGAAGATAATCCCGAATGAGAATGGCCCGTTCCATAGCCTGTCTCCTTCAAGATTCTCTCTGCAAAACTAACATAGGTGGGTCCTCTTTTTCAGGGCCCCTTAGGTCTAGAGTTCGAGCCGTTCCCATATTGCTGGTGCTTGCAGCCCTCCCCACAGCAGTGCTGGGCTGCTCCAGGATGGTGCCTAGGTGCCCAGTGGCCCCATCATCCTGACTCCCCTTTCCTCCAATCTCCCCACTGCTGCTCCCACCACTGGCTTCTTCCTCCTCATGCCAGACTTTGTGGCCTTCTCCTCTGTGGCTGTCACTCCAGCTTTTCCTCCTCCTGCTCTCTCTACCACCTCTGCCCCAATGCTGAGACAGCCCAGAAACATGCTACCCATGGCAGCATCAAGGGTTGTGTTCTGGCTGCTCACAACTTTGTGGGAATCTGATGGCGCACGTCTGTTCTGGAGGAACTTGCTGCTCTTGCCCTCCGTGGAGCCCACGTCTTCACAGAGTTGCCCTGGAGATGCCTGCTCAGGTTCTTGCTAGCCTAACCCTGCCTGTCTGGGGAAAGGCTTCCAACAAGAACTTGCATAAGAGCTATCCTGGTCATGGTGACCATCAACACAGAAGGCCAAGGATGGTCACCCATGAGCCTGCCTCAAATTCTCAGTCCGAATACTTTTTGTCTGCCCCTCTGCCCTCCCTTCCTCTTGCTCAAAAATTAAGACTATATCATCAGCTACAGTTTCTTCTCTTGTTGTTTCAGATGCTGGTTATTGTAAAATGCCAAGGAGGAACCACACTGGCTTATTGTTTGTTCCCTTTGCTCTCCTGTGTTTATTCCTAGCTTCCTGCATTTCTGCGTATTGGCACAAATATAAGGCTTTTGTTTGAATTTTATATTTCAAAAACTATAACAGATATTCATGAGTTTAATTTAACTGTCTACTTACTAGCAGCCATGCTTGTTAAGGGCTGCAATAAACCAACTGAAAAATTAAGCACTCCACTTCCTCACATCCTAAGCAATGCATTATTTTAAGAGTCCTGTCATTAGGAATTCAGTTGGTACTCATACCAGCAGCAGCAGATCCTAATGACTCCATTTGGTATTCATACAGATGTTATCATGTATCACGCCCTCCACTGCCATCAGAGAATCATTCCCATTCAATGTTTTTTTTTTAATTCCCTGTGTTTGATAAATACGCTGATAATCTTTGCTCTGCACAATAAAAGAATATTAAATTCAGGCCTGACTAATGCATGGCTGGAAACATAAAAGAAACTTTCATAGGTCCCAACACCAAAATACTCTGACCTATTCCTACTACTCCAGCCAGCTGATTTTTAGGCATTCTTACATTTCTGGACGCCATTCTAAATAATGCGAAGATAAAACTCTCTAAATTGAATCTTAAATCTTAAAATGTACCAAACCATAACTACCTTTGACTGTTTACTTTTATCATGCCAGATATTCACTTGATTGTCTTAACAGCCCCATGAAGCCAGCATTATTAACCTCATTTTATGCAGGAGGAAAGAGAAGCAAAGAGGTTAGGAAACACGCTTGGCCACAGAGTGAGGATGTGGCAGAGCTGGGCTTCAGATTCAGGACTTCTCAACTACCAAGTGGGTGCTTTCGGACCTATGTGTCAGCCAGCAATGTAACCCTACCCCTATCTATCTGGGATGGTCAGTTCTATATGTCAATGAGGCAAGACCTCAGTCCCCAGTCATTCAATCAAACAGAAAGGTTATTCAATCCAGGTCTTTCTGTGAAGTTATTTTGTAGATAAGATGAAAGTCGATAACAATAATAAAAAAAAGTCTATCATCAGTTGACTTTAAGGAAGAGCATCCCAGACAACCTGGGTGGGCCTGATTCAATCAGTTAAAAGGTTCTAAGGGCAGAAATGAGGATTCCCTGAAGAAGAAGAAATTCTACTGGTGGACTTCAGCTTCAGCTCCGGACCACATGTTTCTTTCTACACTGCTCTTCCTGATGGCCTGTCCACGGCTTTTGGACTTGCCTGCTAGCCCCATATTCGTATAAGCCAACACCTTGCAATCAATCAATCAATCAACCTACCTATCCATATTACACACACACACACACACACACACACACAATCTATGTACACATCCATATATCGCCTACTGTTTCTGTTTCTCTGTTGGAGCCCATACTGGTACACCACTGAAGGGCTTTTACTGACGACTGAAGAGCTCTCAGGTGCTAATACTATGCCAGGCACTCTCACCTGTTAATGTACTACAAGTCTATATGTGTACTACATGCCAGGCAATTACTGAATGAGCCACAGTCTTTAAAATCAACCTCCCTCAACCCCTTAATGACAAGCAATTTAATTCTAGCAACACTCATGGCTATTTCTCCTTTTGTAAGCTGGGCCTCTTTTTATCCTAACGGAGGTGGAAAGTTACAACCCTTCCTCTTCACAATCTGAAGCCACTCGTGTTTATCATGTCATTGATAAAAAGATGATAAAATTATGTAAAACCTGTAAGTTGCCTAACACTGTGCCAATTCTGTTCACTGTGTGTAATTTTATTATTTTATATAATTAACAAGTTCATGCAAAACTCAGTCATTCTATGTGCAAGATTAAAGTGAAGTAATTCGAGTATTACCAAAATATTATTCCTTAGACACCAGTTTAGAAAAGCCTATTCTTCTCTTCAGGTTAAATAACCCACGCTTTCTTAATGCTTCACTGTGAATCATGCACCCAGACTTGGAATTACCTCCCTTGTCTGCTGTGGAGCTTTTACTATTCTTTTTTTTTTTTTCTCATTCAAAGTAGCTAACATTGCCTTTGGTCTTTTAATAAATGATTCTGAATTGTTGAGGAATTCTGGTTTTTTTCTTCTTGTTGTTGTTTTGTTTTTTTTAGATAGGGTCTCACCCTGTCACCCAGGCTGGAGTACAATGGCACGATCCCAGCTTACTGCAACCTCCGCCTCCCAGGTTCAAGCGATCCTCCCACCTCAGTCTCTCGATTGCAGGTGTGAGCCACTGTGCCTTGCTGGAATGCTACTCTTAATATAAAACAAATACTATGTTTACTAACCACATTCATTCTTGGGTTCACTGTATCCTTTTTGTCCCACTAGAGTCTACCTTCTGATTCTCCCCTTCCAAGCAAAGAGAATCTTGATCCTTTACTGTCAGTCTTGATTCGAGTGAATGAGTACTGGCCTATGACCATGGGATGCGTACAAATTATCTGGTCTTTAACAAAACTGTCTGCCTGATGCTTGTTTCCATTCAGGTGGCTTATGCTTGCCCAACTTTCTCCTATTTCATAAATTTTAATCTGTTTTGGCTATGTCACCTCCTGCCTATTGGTCTAAACCAATAACTGGTCACCTATTTGCCACTGAACATAGTTTTCAACTTTTCACTCATGTCATTGATCAAGAGATGAATAAAAATAACCTTTTTTTGGAATAGGTGGGGAAAGAATTCCCTATTTAATAAATGGTGCTGGGAAAACTGGCTAGCCATATGTAGAAAGCTGAAACTGGATCCCTTCCTTACACCTTATACAAAAATTAATTCAAGATGGATTAAAGACTTACATGTTAGACCTAAAACCATAAAAGCGCTAGAAGAAAACCTAGGCAATACCATTCAGGACATAGGCATGGGCAAGGACTCATGTCTAAAACACCAAAAGCAATGGCAACAAAAGCCAAAATTGACAAATGGGATCTAATTAAACTAAAGAGCTTCTGCACAGCAAAAGAAACCACCATCAGAGTGAACAGGCAACCTACAGAATGGGAGAAAATTTTTGCAACATACTCATCTGACAAAGGGAATATCCAGAACCTAAAATGAACTCAAACAAATTTACAAGAAAAAAACAAACAACCCCATCAAAAAGTGGACAAAGGATATAAACAGACACTTCTCAAAAGAAGACATTTATGCAGCCAAAAAACACATGAAAAAATGCTCATCATCACTGGCCATCAGAGAAATGCAAATCAAAACCACAATGAGATACCATCTCACACCAGTTAGAGTGGCGATCATTAAAAAGTCAGGAAACAACAGGTGCTGGAGAGGATGTGGAGAAATAGGAACACTTTTACACTGTTGGTGGGACTGTAAACTAGTTCAACCATTGTGGAAGTCGGTGTGGCGATTCCTCAGGGATCTAGAACTAGATCTAGAACTAGGAATACCATTTGACCCAGCCATCCCATTACTGGGTATATACCCAAAGGATTATAAATCATGCTGCTATAAAGACACATGCACACGTATGTTTACTGTGGCACTATTCACAATAGCAAAGACTTGGAACCAACCCAAATGTCCAACAATGATAGACTGGATTAAGAAAATGTGGCACATATACACCATGAAATAGTATGCAGCCATAAAAATGATGAGTTCATGTCCTTTGTAGGGACACGGATGAAGCTGGAAACCATCATTCTCAGCAAACTATCGCAAGGACAAAAAAACCAAACACCGCATGTTCTCACTCATAGGTGGGAATTGAACAAAGAGAACACATGGACACAGGAAGGGGAACATCACACACCGGGGACTGCTGTGGGGTGAGGGGAGGGGGGAGGGATAGCATTAGGAGATATACCTAATGCTAAATGATGAGTTACTGGAGGGAGGGGGGAGGGATAGCATTAGGAGATATACCTAATGCTAAATGACGAGTTACTGGGGGGAGAGGAGAGGGATAGCATTAGGAGATATACCTAATGCTAAATGACGAGTTACTGGGTGCAGCACACCAACATGGCACATGTATACATATGTAACAAACCCACACGTTGTGCACATGCACCCTAAAACTTAAAGTATAATAATAATAAAAAAAAAAGAAAAGAAAAAAGAAAAAGCGTTTCTCCACAGAGTGGAGAAGTTCTTTTGGGTCTCGGTATAGGCCATGTCAGCTGCACAGTGAAAACCAAGAATGTGGCATTCCTTGCAAAGAAAGGAGATTCATTTTGAAATTGCTTCTCAACTTTCACGTAAATTATGCCCAATATTTTAACACATTGACAATATGATCAGCTTTCTACTTCAGAATGTGCTGAGTTTTTTCCCTATCTTTATGCAGTTGTGAAGTACCTATGAAACCAAGTGGATAAACACAGTGTTATGGGCTGAATTATATTCTGCCAAAAGTTCATGTGTTGAAGTCCTAACCCCAGTTCCTCACAATGTGACATTATTTGGAGATAGGGTCTTTACAGAGGTAATAAAGTTAAAAAGAGCTAAAAATAAATAAATAAATAACCTTCTTATGTATAGCCGCAGTATGTTCAATCTGAAATGAACTTTGAAATACAAAATGTACTGATTTGGATTGAAAAGAGCATTACTACAATGCTATCCCCTGCCTCAGAGACTATTCGCTAAATATTAATTCTATTAAAATGACCATTCAGGAGAAAAGCACTCTTAATACCTGATTTGAGAATAAGCATACTTCTGTTTAGACAATAATAGAAAACAATTCTCCCATTATTTATTCACTAAGCATTGGTAGTTAGCATTTTTATTGCTCATTTGTTTTCATTTCCAAGCAGATTTTTCAAAACTAGACTTGATTAATAATATACTATATTATGTAGTAGCATTTGGATATTATAAAACATTAAGGAAAGGTCTAGATAGAGGATACAAATATGTTCTTCCTCCACTGCTACTGTACTTCATTTTGATCACTGCATGTGCAAAGGTATGCATCAGAAACTTCTAGATGAAAACTGCTAATTATTACAAGGATGCCATAAACAATCTTGCCTTCTGCATCACTGTGTAATAGTGCAAACAGGAATAACATGTCTTGGACCAAAGTGTAAGGAAAACTGTGCTTCTCTAAGTTGCTAAGTTGATATTTAAGGACAATATGACTCTCAAAGCCCTTCGAGTTTCTCTTTTAACTTCAGCTGCTAGGAAGCTCAAATCCTGTCTACAGGCTACTTTTACTTACAATGTAATAATTGCATGAATTTTAACAAGTCACCTTACATTCTTTTCTAAAGAAGGACATAAGAATAGCATTGTAGTTTGGAAGGCTAAGATATATGTGATCATTTCGGGAGCTCTGACCAGCTTCGCTGTTTGGCTGGACAAATCACATAATTAGAGCTAACATTAGACACTTCTCCACATAGGAAATTAAGACTCTACAATGCCTTCCCTCTTATCCAAGCTCACTCTGATATTTGGTGAAGTTTAACTGAAGAATCTTAAAAGAAAGCTTTTACATAAATGCTAAGGAAGGCATAAAAAATGCTTCTGATTTGCGCACACATGCCGTATAATAACCCAGTGCAGTGTCTGAGTCAGAGCTGCTAGGGTGTGGGCTTCCTGGGGCGGAGCACCTTAGTCCATCTATTCTGTTAGTTGTCTGATGCTTTCCTTTTGACAATCGATTGACCTGTTTTGTAGGAAATGTGGCACTATGGGTCTTCATGATTTTGCATGATTAGCCGGGCATGGTGGCACATGCCTGTAATCCCAGCTACTCAGGAGGCTGAGGCAGGAGCATCACTTGAACCCAGAAGGTGGAGGTTGCAGTGGGCCGAGATCGTGCCACTGCACTCCAGCCTGGGCAACAGAGTGAGACTTCATCTCTGGAAAAAAAAAAAAAAAGAAAGAAAATGCACTTTTTATGCTGAGGGACAGGCAGTGCAAAGGATGTGAGTCTGGCTGCTGTCGCAGGTTCTGACCCCTTTGACATGGAAAAATTCCAAGTAGGAAGGTTCAGTAGTCATTTGGGGTTTCCAGTGCCCTAGGACTCATACTGAACTTTACTGATCAACACTTGAACTGCACAGAAATGCAGCTTGTAAATGCAGGTATTATGTATTATTTGCAAAATGGTCCTTTGAAAAATTAAGCTGCTCTCCTCAGCAGCAGCTGCCATCATCTCCCTGAAAGAAGGCTCAGTGGTAAACGAATGGCAGCCCAGGGGCTGCAAGGAAAGACTTGTATCAAAAACATGTGCACCACAGACACAAAACCCACTACCTGTGCCAGGTGTTAGAGAACTCTGTGTTGTTATGCCATAATGTGAAGTTTCAAGAAGAGGTGAGTATCTGCAAAGCAATTTAACATTTTAAAAGCTGTAGGTGGTAAAGGTTAACCTCCCTGGTGATTCATCAGGACTGTCTTGTTAAGAGTGGCAGAATTTACAAGCACAAAATAATAGCTGGCAGGAGAAAGTGCCCAAATGAAAGAGGAATAGAATCCATCTACAGCCAGCTCACCAAGCCTCTGAAACAGGATTCCTTGGCATGTGGAAGTAATTCAGAGATCAATGGGAGTAATATATTGCTCTTTAGCCCAAAGGAGAATAAGGCTACATTCACACAACTAAGGAATAGTGAGTCCTGATTTCTACAAGAGATTAGCCTATAAAAGGAAGACTGTCCTATTTATTAACATAAGAACCTAGCATTATTAGAGGCTTAGGGCAAAACTCCACCTTGACCCATGCGAAAATATTTGCCCAGAAACTAACAATCAATTGTTTTACATTTAGCTAAAGTTTTATGCTTGATGACAAACATAGTCCATAAATGCCACTTGGTAATTTGCATTGGTAAAAACTAGCCAAAAGTCACACTTAGGGCATATGTGCTTCCAAATACCGCATAACTTGTTATAACATGTCCTCAAATTTACAACTATGCTGTATGTCCCCATTAAAACCCAATAAATAATTTCTCTTCACCAGTGATTATGAAGATTTTTCTTCATTAGAGTAGCTTCCAATCATGCAGTGATTTCAAAAGGTCCTATTTTTAACCCCAATAAACATAGTTGTATTTCTCACCAAATGGGCCCTCGAGATCAGAAATCACTAGGATATGAAAGAGATAGCTACATACTCAATCAGGAAACCATAAATTTAATGAGGCAAAATCTCACAGGGTCATACATACCCAATGGATAACATAGGGAAACAAATTCTTAGCTTACTGTTTCTCTATTAGGGATTGATTTTTGCCCTGCCAAAATTGCATATCCATGAGCAAAATAAATTGTTATGGCTACTTTAAGTCACTTAATTTTGCAGTACTTTGTTACACGGCAATAGCTAACCCAGAAATGTCCTTAAAGAGATTTCAGAGATGCATGTGAAGGGCTGTCCTCTTTACAGAGACACACACTAAGTAGGACCAAAATAGACAAGAGAAAGGAAAAACCTCCATCTGCGCCCCAACACACTGTTCCCCACTAACCCCACACTCCATCAGAGCCTAGACTCACAAGCCCTTTACTGTGTTCTGATAACCACTGTGACAAAACCAATTCAATTTCACCCCTTCAGTTCAGAGGGGAAAAGAAAGAAGAGAAGGAAGTAATTTAATGACAAAGACAGTGTCTTATTCAGCTATAGCCCCTACTGTACCTACATACAACAGGAAACTTTATATAAAGAATTATTTTAAACAAATATTGAATTCTAGATAGCAGCCTTGATTTTCACAATGTTAGCAATTTTGAATCCACTTTTTTGTGTATTCTGATATTGATCAAATAAGTAAGTATACTGTGGATAGTGGGAACAAGTTTTCTTATAGTCAGAGAAGGGAGTTATAAATGCAGAAGCGGGAACACTAGAATAAACCTGTGAAACTGGACTGGAATTGGAGATGTCAATATGAACCCTAGTTTCTATTAGATAGATTGGTAGACAGATAATAGATGATCAATACTGAAGTAGATGTGGACAGATATACGTATGTATATGTATATATGCACATGAAATACATACACAGTCTAGCTCTGTCCAATGAACGGGCCTAGAACACACAACACTTAAGTAGTAATGAGCACATGTGGTATCCGGATCTTGGTTTCTAAATACCATGTCCGCAATCAAAGGAACCAGGGCTCTCTTGAAAACTGGCTGATTCTAGGTTGGGGTTGTAGAATGATGAAATGATTCTAGAACATCTTGCTATACTGGAAAAAGAAATAATGAGGAATGATGGGGATATGTCAAATGAAAACAAGCCAACTTGAAGGGGATCCCATTGACCAAATCTCAGATAATTTGACAAAAAAAAATGTGAATAATCAATCATAACCTACTGAA